>NC_000004.12:172046381-172671381 GCF_000001405.40 Homo sapiens | reverse complement strand
ACAGCTAACTAGGGAGGTGAAACATCTCTACAAGGAGAACTACCAAACAGTACTCAAAGAAATCGGAGATAACACAAACAAATGGAAAAACATTCCATGCTCATGGATAGAAAGAATCAATATCATAAAAATGGCCATTCTGCCCAAAGCAATTTATAGATTCAATATTATTTCTATTAAATCACCACTGACATTTTTCACAGAACTAGAAAAAACTATTTTGAAATTCATATGGAACCAAAAAAGAGCCTGAATAGCTAAGGCAATTCTAATCAAAAAGAACAAAGCTGGAGGCATCACGCTACCTGACTTCAAACCATACTACAGGGTTGCAGTAACCAAAACCACATGGTATTGGTACAAAAACAGACACATAGACCAATGGAACAGAATAGATAACCCAGAAATGAGGCCACACACCTAAATTTGTATGATCTTCAACAAACCTGACAAAAACAAGCAATAAGGAAAGGATACCCTATTCAATAAATGGTGCTGGGATAACTGGGTAGCCATATATAGAAGATTGAAACTAGACCCCTTCCTTACACCAGATACAAAAATTAACTCAAGATGGATTAAAACTTAAAAGTAAAACCCAAAACTATAAAAACCCTGGAAAATGACTTAGGCAATACCATTCTAGGCATAGAAATGGGCAAAAATTTTATAATGAAGATGCCAAAAGCAATTGCAACAAAAGCAAAAATTGACAAATGGGATCTAGTTAAACTAAAGTGCTTTTGCACAACAAAAGAAACTATCAGCAAAGTGAACAGACAACCTATGGAATGGCAGAAAATTTTTGCAAAACTATGCATCTGACAAATGTCTAATATCCAGCTTCTATAAGGAACTTAAACAAATTTACAGGAAAAAAACAAACAACACCATAAAAAGAGTGGACAAAGAACATGAACAGACACTTTTCAAAAGATGTACATGCAACCAACATGCATATGAAAAAAATTCAATATTACTGATCATTAGAGAAATGCAAAACAAAACCAAAATTAGATACCATCTCACACCAAACAGAAAGGCTACTATTAAAAAGTAAAAAAAAAGAGATGCTGGTGAGGCTGCAGAGAAAAGCAAATGCTTATATACTGTTGGTGGCAGTCTAAATAGTTCAGTTATTGTAGAAGACAGTGTGGCAATTCCTTAAAGACCCAATATGAGAAATGGCATTTGACCCAGCAATCCCATTACTGGAATATAAATGGTCTATTACAAAGATACATGAACGCATATGTTCATTTCAGCACTATGCACAGTAGAAAAGGCATGGAATCAACCTAAATGCCCATCAATGATAAACTGCGTAAAGAAAATGTAGTATATATACACCATGGAATGCTACGCAGCAATACAAAAGAAGAACATGTTTTTTGGAGGGACATGGATAGAGCTGGAGGCCATTATCCTTAGAAGAAAACTAATACAGAAACAGAAAACCAAATACCACATGCTCTCACTTATTAGAGGGAGCTAAATGATGAGAACACATGGTCACATAAAGGAGAACAACAAACACTGGGTCTTATTGGAGGGTACAGTGTGGGAGGAGGAAAACGAGAAGGAAAAATAACTAATGGGTTCTAGGCTTCATACCTGAGTGATGAAATAATCTGTATATCAACCCCCCATGGCACAAGTTTACCTATATAATAAACCTGCAATGTACCCATGAACTTAAAATAAAAGTTAAAAAACAAAAAATAAAAATAAAAATGGGCAGATGGCTTGAGTAGACATTTATTAAAAGAACACTTACAAAAAAATTCCAAAATTCTCTAATTCCGTAACAACTTAACTTGGCCATAACAAAAAGCAATGACTGACAAAGTGGCAAAATCAAACAAAAGTTTCAACTGGCAAATTTTTTCTTCAACTATTATATCTATCCTTCCTAAGCATCAACATCTACTGTTGGGGTCATTGGAGGGCCAATCCATTCTAGTGAGCCCTCTGTTCCTTGACTTAGACGATGCATATGTGAATATATTTTGAGGTAGATTATTTTTGGCAATTCTCAAACGTCTTAGTTAAGTGGGGGAGAGTACTATCTCAGTGGATAAAAGTATTAATATGCAGGTTAGCCTTAAATAAGCTCATTGCCCTCAGCCACATTTATGAGACAACAGAGGTTAAATGATATAGAGGACACAAATCAGTGGTCACTATTTTAAAATCTTGATCTCATAAAACACAACTATTACACACAATTTATCCATAGCTGGGTGCTAATGGAGTTAAGTAAATAACAGATAATCCAACACCCCAAATGATGGATTTTGAAGTCAATACCTCAGATCATTTTAATGTTCCAATATCTATATTACAGAACTGAATCTATAAAATAAAACTTTTTTTTTTCCATAAAATGTCTCTGAGTTTAATGCTTACATTTCCCAGGTTCTAGAGTTTTCAAGTTCAGTACTTCAGCCCTCTTTTGGCTGAACTGCAACCTTCCCAGCTGCCCTGACCTTAATCGATGTGGTGTTCTTCAGCTCAGAACCTCTTGTCTTAGAAACACAGCTGCTGCACTCCCCTCATCTTATTTTTACTTCTCTTTGGACCATGTGATGAACCCTTTGAAGTGGGCCATCCACAAGGAAGGATATAACCTTCAAGTAGGAGCTCTTTTTCTGTTACTTTCAATGGGGAGCTATGCTAATATCAAAAGAGAAAAGAGGCTTTTATGGCTGAGAGAGGCCAATAGATTGTGAAGCTAATTTGAAGTACCGCTGCTGATTAGGGATAAAATAAGCCAAGCAGGAGAGAAATGCTCTCTTTTCATTAGGCACCACAGGTCTGCCAGAGTGAGGGTACCCAATATCTCCTTATAATAATTATGAAAGGACTGTGATTTTGCTCTCAGCTTTTAAATTAAACCTCTTCATGGCCTAAATTCACATCGGCTGTTTGATCTTCCTCTTTCTAGGACTCCCGGTTATGACACTCTCAAATTATGTGGCTTCTCTCCTCAGTGTTCTCAAAAACGATTTGAGACTTCAGTGTTGGGAGTCTTTCTCATTACAGGGTTAGCTAAACATATAAGATTTACATAACCTTTGACATTTCAAATTTAGCTCTTGGATACTTGTGAGCTGTAATGTACAATTCATTTTTTTAAAAATAGAATTCATTCAATTCTGCTTCATTCAAATTCCTAATGTAGTCTACTAGCACTGTGGAACTCATCAATGGCAATAATACTCAAGAGCAACACATTTTTTTCTAATATCTTTTTTCATGCTTTCTAGACAGGGATTGAAATTACAAATATACCTTCTCAAACTCTCCAAATTCCATTTTATTGACCAAAGACACATTAGGGCAAAATAGACTTTGAGTCCTGGTCAAGAGGGAAGGCTATCATAAGTAGATCCCAAAATTTGAGGCATTTCTGTTTCAAATGAAGTCATTGTAATTTAATGCGGGGGAAAATGCTGAGTGGTTCATCACAGGCAAAACAGGGAGTTCCTAAAAAGTTAGGGAAGTGCTTTCCATATAAAATCCTCCCAGTGATAAGCAGGAGTGAGAGTAAGGATGTACTGCAGGCACTTGGAAAATTACTTCAAAATAAGAACTTGCAGTTTTTCCTAATCATTTGCATAGTGCAGCTGCACAAGGCAGAATTCAAAAGATGTCCCACAAAATTCCTGCTCCCTGCTGATTTAATCTAACGTGAATCGAGGAACTACTGTGAAGGGTCTTTGCTGGCTTTGAAGCAGGAGGAAGATGCCACCCCAAAAAGAATGTGGGCAGCCTCTAAAACCTGAGAACAACCAACCCTGGGCTGATTGCTGGCAGGGACACCGGACCTGAGTCCTATAATCTCATGGAATTCAATTCTGCCAACAACATGAATGAGCCTGGAAGCGAATTCATCCCCAGAAGCTCTGGAAAAGAACACACCCCGTCCATCACTTTGTGAAACCCAGAGCAGAGAACTGGCCTGCAAAATGGGTGTTGCTTTAACTGCTAACTTTGTGATTATGACAGTAGCAGTAGAAAATCAACATGGCAGCTGACACAGGCTTTATCACAGTGTTCCCTTTGGCTCTAACTATTTACTCAATAAAGTGGAAGACTTGGTACAGGGAGCTCCTAACACAGGTGATGGAGCCAGTAGAAGGGAGGAGAGTGCAATAGTTTCAGTGAGTAGCTGTAATGCTAATGGAACACAGATTCCGCTAGGAGTCGCTCCACTACCCCACATGAAGTGGCAGAGGAAGGAAGATGTGGACATGATAGGGAAAGCCTAGAAAGGAGTGAGTAGAGGATTTGAGGACACAGCCTGAACTCCACATACGCAGCAAGTGGACTTATCATTCTCGTAGGCTAAACTTGGTGGGAATAGCTTTGGAAATGAAGTGAGGTGGCACTAGATTGTCCACCAGTTGCCTGCTTTTCTCTGCTATATCCACGATGATTCACCCTCCTCAGAATCTGCCTCCTGGCATACAGTGGCTTTCACTAGAAGGCAATAGTTACACAATTCTTGCTGGAGTCCACAAGAGCTGCAAATACAGCGTAGACTAGTGCTTCTCAAACTTTGGAGTGCAAGTGGACTGTGACTCCCATCATCCTAAATAACAAACAGAGAGGGAGATGCTTTAAATGGAAATGATATTTATTTGGAAATAGGCATTGCAATGGGAATATGTGTGCCATAGTAAACTAGGTTCTCATTCAGGGTGGTAAAGGAAGACAAAAGTTTTTTAAAGAAAAATGAGGAGAATTACATCATTGTTTTGAGACAATAATCCTTGACTACAAGGGTCAATAACAAGGGTGGAATTAGTCCAAGGTTGAACAAGCAGTTGCTGGGCAGACGTCCTCACAGAATTTTTTTTGTGTGTGTATGTAAGGTTGTGCAGTCTTTGTGTGAGATTTTGGGTTTTGCAATCTTTTGTGATAGTTTTTGTTCTCAGTCATTTGTGCATGAGAAGCTTCCCTTCATGGCCTTTCCTAGCTGTATTTATCTTCCCCAGTTTTTAACACAATTGACTCCATTTTGATTCTGATAACTTTCATGCTCCATTTCAAGATCCAAACAAACCATCATTCATGTGAATGCAAAGGAAAGTTATATTTGGACACGCAAAGATTCAGAAACACCATTCACCATGTACTAGTTCTGAAAAATTTTTTTTTGAAGTATTATAGTCAAACAATGAATGTATCAAAATAAAGAGCTCAAGAAAATTGGAGGAAACATTGATAGACAATGAGGGCATAGAACTTATAGTTAAATCTAATTATGGTTAATTTTGTACATGCAAATTTAAAATAATATTAAGAATGATTTCTAAAAATTGAAGAATCATAATGTGAAATAAAGTTAGTAAAAATCTAGATAAAAAATTCCAGATCAGCAAAATAAAAATAAAGAAAAGCAGAATATGTAAGAAGGGGACAGAGGTAAAAAAGTTTTCTGTTTAAATACTTAGCATAGTCTAGGAGGTGAAAGGGTACAGGCACTATTTAATTTTCATTCTTTATGGTGATGAGGAATAAAAGGTTCAAATGTTTGTAAAAAAATAACAAAAATCATTAGTAGAATGAACATAGAAACAAGTAACATAGAAATAATGACATTAGTTTATTTATTCATTAATATAATAAATAGTTGAGTTCATTCCATTCCTTGTGCTCTATCTTATGATAGGCAAAATAGTCATAGTCCCTGCCCTTTACTATAAGTATGAATGCATATAATGATTATTATGTGAAAGGTAATGTTAGAGGAAGATAATATTTATGCATATGCATGAAACAAAGTGAAAATATTTTTACCATCCCCTAATGGAGGCTATTTTTGTGGAATGGGACTGCAGGTGTGGTAGCTATTAGCAACCATCATCAATTCTTTTTTACTTCCTCTTCCAGGGGAAAGTAAACCATGGCTACCTTTAAGTAAACCACTATACCTTGAAGTTAACCATGGCTGTGTGCCTTAATTTGGCAAATAAAATGTGTCATTTTCAGGCAGAAGATTTGAGGCAGTGCACAATTTGCTAAGTTCATTTTTTCCTTGTTATGATGCTCATGGAAGCTTGCAATGGCATGAAATATCCATCAGTGTGGTTCTAGAGAGATTGATAAGCAGAGGCCCGCAGCATGCCCTAGCCTAATCCGATGGATACAGCTGTTGGTACCAAGAAATGGAGGTGTTGCCTTAAAACAACCTAAAATGTGTGGCTTTGGCTTAATGATTAGTAGGTGGCAAGGGAAGTTTGGAAGTAAGAAGGAGGTTAGCTCGTGTTATTCTGGGATGAGAGCTTAGTTGGTGGTAGGTTAACCTGGGAGGTATATATTTGTACTTCTAGGTAAGTACGTGGCAAACATTTTCTGTAAAGAGAAAGACAGTAAGGATTTTAGGCTTTTCAAACTGTATGAGTCTCTGTTGCACATTCTTCATTGCTTGTTTGTACAATCTTTAGTTCCCCTTTTACACAATCAGGTTGTTGTCTGGATTTGGACTACAGGATTGCCAAACCCTGTTCTAGGGAAGTGCTTAGTTTTTAAAGTGCATTTGAAGTTGATTTTGGTTATTGTTGACTGCATTTGTCAGGGTGCTAATAAGACAATAACGAGCTTACAAAAGAACCGGCCAATTTGTATGTAGGAAGAAAGAGAGTCTAGTTTGGAGGATTTGCAGTAAGGAATCTTACCCTTTTAAAAGATGAAGCTGAGAAGGTCTTTGAGAATTACTCTTGCAGCAAGTATGAATTCTAGGTATGACTGTCACACCTATTGTTAAAATCTTTGACTCAGATCCATGACCTAGTAAAGGCGTGGTGCCTAAATCTTTTTAATTGGACAAAATGGCTCTCTCACCTAAACTGGATAGTCCAACATACCTTAGTTATGTCCAGAGGAAAAGAGACAAGAGATTTGGGTGTTATAAAGCAAAAGTAGCAAATAGAAGTATGTTTGGAAAAGAAATGTAGGTATTGAAGAAATTAAGTAAGGTCTTCAGAGAACTGTACTGTCAAATGAATCACAAGCTGAAACTTAAAGGGACAGAGGCTGTTTGAAATTTTAAAATAAAGAATTATGAATGAGTAGATGTTGAAGTGCATGATCCTTTAATATACATTCCAGATTGAAGGACAGAAGAAACTCAAAGGAAGAACATCTTAGAGGATGGAGTCAAGAATTTTGGAAAACTGGACAAGAGAACCCTTCCAAGACATAAGAACTGCAATTTAATACGGGAACATTCTCTGTGCCTAAGGTAGTAAACCTTCACAATCACTGCCTAGATTCCAGAATTGCTATCAAATGTCTGCCATGTAGCCGATATTCTTCCCTTTTCTGAATGTGAATCTCTTTAGAATTATTATGTATTTATTCTGCAGTTGCATATTGGGTGTGGATGTGTGTTCAGGTGGCAGTTGGGCATGTAAGTCATCTTTCTTTCTTTTTTTTTTTTTTGAGACAGAGTCTCACTTTGTCACCCAGGCTGGAGTGCAGTGACATGATCTTGGCTCACTGCAGCCTCTGCCTCCCAGGTTCAAGCGATTCTCATGCCTCAGCCTCCCGAGTAGCTGGGACTACAGGCGTGTGCCATTATGCCTGGCTAATTTTTTATATTTTTAGTAGAGATGGGGTTTCGCCCTGTTGGCCAGGCTGGTCCTGAACTCCTGACCCTAAGTGAGCCACCCGCCTCAGCCTCCCAAAGTGCTGGGATTATAGGCGTGAGCCACTACGCCTAGCCAAGTCACCTTTTTAGTTCATAGATTTCTGGATGAAGTGAAATCACATCCAAACCTGATACAGAAACCACCACATTATTCTCTGATACAGGGACTAGGATATGTCACCAGGAGATCTTGAACTCAGAGCTGATCCTCCGACTAGTGGGACCTTGGGGTTGTCCCGCTTAGGGAGGGGTTGAATATACAGTACATGGGGAAAGGAGAGGAAATCAAGTATCTGGTGAACAGAAGGGTGACATTAGTCATTAATGCTATACACTTAATATTAGTATTTCCAGTTATCTATCCTTCTAGGCTGGTAGTCCGATTGCATTTCTCTGCCCTTTTAAGTAACCCCCATTAGATTAGCCTTCTTTTAGTTCTCCTACTGTGCTCGCTCTCTTCTTGTTACAAGCTTATGCTGAATATAGTACCCAGAGTGATACTATTATAGTTCAGATCACATATTCCCATTGCACCTAGAATAGAACACAAACCTCTGAACAGACCTGAAATCTCTGGGATCAGATTTCCAGCTGCCTCTCCAGCCCCATCTTAAACCATTCTCCACCCTCCACATGTTTACTGCTGGGCTTCACAAGGATTGTGCTTCCATTACTTTCTCATGCCAAGCTTTTTCTTGTCTCCGGGCCATTGTACTTCTTCTCCCCTGCCCAGCAGGCTCTTTCTCCAGATGTTCAAATGGCTGAGATTTCTCCTTATCCAGGTACCAGGTCACATATCAGCTCCTTGGAGAAGGGAGGCTGTTCCTGACCTGACCACCTCCTTTGAAAGAGCCTTATCATCCCCTGTCTAATCTCTCCAGTCTGTTTCATTTTCTTCTTACTTTTTACCACCATCTGAAATTATTTTTTTGGTTGCTTATTTGCCCAGCTTTCTCTAGAAAAAGAGAAGATTCAGCAGGGTCTTGTCTGGCTAATTTCATCACAGAATCCCCAGAGCCTGGATTAGCTGGACACCTCATAAGCACTCACTGGGTACCAATTGAATGAATCCATTGATGATAGAGTATACCAATTAGGCAGGAGCAAATCACCACCCTATCTCAGAGGCTTAGTATGATGCAGTTTACTGCTCTTTCAAGGCCCATGTTAATTGTAGGTGAATTGACGTTTCTGCTCCAGGTTTCCCGTTGACTGAGCTGTTACTAACTATACACTGCCGATTATCGTGGCAGAAAGGAGAAAGCAGACAAACTATAATGAGTCTTAAAAATCCCACCAGAAGTGACACAGGTCCATTCTGATCATATTCACCTAGCCAGAACTAGTCACTAGGTCAGATCCAGCTTCATGGGGTTAGGGAAGGGCAGTCCTTCAAGATGTCTGGGAAGAGAATTGGAAATATTTCGCAATTAGCAATAATGACTGCCTTATAGAAATGATCATAGTCACTGTGAAGCCCAGCAGTAAACATGCAGAGGGTATAGAAATGATCCCTCTTCTTTTCAGATCTCAACTGAAATATACTATCCACAGTAAAGCAGTTTTCTTTATCCCTTAAGCCAGCTGCTTCTCAAATTTAATGTGAACACCAATTATCTGGGGATCTTATTAAAGTGCAGGTCTAGAAAGGGGCCTGAGATCCTGTGTTCTAAGTAGCTCCCAAGTGATGCTAATGCTGCTGGCTTGTAGACCATGCTCTGTGTAGCCTGTCTACAGGTTTCTCTTAAGTACAGGCATCCTTCTTATTAGCACCTGTCTCCATTTATACATTTGCATGATCCACTTTTCCCTCAGATTCTGAGCTCCATGACATCAGGGACTGTTTTGCTGTCATTCACCCACTCACCATTGTTGCCTCCCTGTGATAAGGGTGTTCAATAAATATTAGCTAGACTCATGAGTTGTTGATTTCCTGGATTTCTAGGACTAGTTGCCTATTTCTGGATATGTGCCCAAAGTCCTGGAACATTACTGGAGCTTGGCATTTAGTGGCCCTGAAATTGGCATGTGCTCTTTGGAAGAGACATTTTTGGCCATGAGCACTCCATTATTTGTTGAATATATATTAGCATATACTATAACAATTGCTTCTTTTGGGTTTGGTTACTAAAGTCTCACAATGCTAGCAAAGAATATTATAATTAAAATTAAGCAGTAACTATTCCATTAATGTAACTGGGTTCTTATCTTCTGCATTCCTGAAGTTCATCTTGTTATTTCCAGTGTAGTCAGTTTACTCACCGTGTTAGCCAGTGTTCTCCAGAGAAACAGAACAAACAGTATGTATGTGCATATATATAAGACAGCTTTATTTTAATGAATTGGCTCATGCAATGATAAAGGCTTGATGAGTCCAAAATCTGATGGAGTTGACCAGCAGGCTGGAGACCCAGGGGTGAGTTGCAGTTTGAGTCCAAAGGCTCTCTGCTGGCAGAATTCCTTCTTCTTGTGGGGTAGGGGGTGGAGAGGTGAGGGGCTGGAGGTCAGTTTTGTTTTATTGAGGCCTTCAACTGATTGTATGAGGCCCATCCACATTATGGAGGGTAATCTGCTTTAGTCAAAGTCCAGTAATTTAAATGCTAATTTCATCTAAAAAACCCCACCACAGAAACATCCAGGATAATGTCTGACCAAATACCTGGGCACTGTGGCCCAATCCAGTTGTCATAAAATTAACCATCACATTCACCTTTCACATTCTTAAGAATGACTCAAATCTCCCTGGTAATGAAAACGACCTTAACAGGCCATGTATAAAACCTCTGCAGTAGGTCAGTTTAATATTCATTTGTGCTTTGAGTTCATTTAACACTGTTATTAGGACTTATTTTAAACAACCAGAGCTGGCTCAGAGGGAAGAGGGTAACTTAATTACCTTCTCATTTTAGTAATATTCATATTTCTTCCTTCCTCTATAGCTGCCTTTAATTCTCTGCTATAATTTATAGCATTATAATTAGGAGTTCTGACGACATACTTGAGCAAAGTGTGTGCTTATGGATAAGTGGGGCCATTAATGGACTAGGAAGTTTGGGTCCTGTCTGTTTCCTTCACATGACTTTGAAAGACAGAGATGCTTAGTTTTTAATACATGAATGACAAGCAGCTGCTATAACTCACTCACTGTTAGCCAGTACTAAAAAGGCCAGCCAGCTGGAGCAAAGCATTTGAAAATAAAGGCAAGGGCAATCTGAACTTCCTCAGTGAGGACAGAGTATTCCCTCCAGTTCAACATTCCGCTTCCTTGAGATATGCTCCTCAGGTGACAGCTGTGAAGGGAAATGCTAATGATCGTGTATGGGCAGTAAAGTTGATGCCTTTTGCCCCTTGAGGGAAATGAAACAGATGCCTGTATCTTCTTAGGCGTCAGTTCTGTGATCTAATTGAGGCTACTGTCCAGCATTAAATCTAGAGTATGCTCTAGTGGGTCTTCCTATGATGCCAAGGGTGAGAGAGTTGTGCCAGTGCTGTAGAATACTGGCCATCATAGTTGTTTTTATAATTCTTCAAAATGACAGCCTGACTTTGTTTAGATTTACACTAACTTTGTGATCTTGGCTGAGCCAATTAATCATGGTTGTTTTCCTCTTTTCTAAAAAGCAACGTATTTCTGAACATTTTAAAATACATTGAAGGGGAGGAAGGAAAGGTTGAGGCTGAAGTGATGGAAGGCAGAATAGCCCAGTGGTGAAGTACATAGGTCTCCTGTCTGTATCAGTCAGGGTACAGATCAGAGAAGCAGAACCAGTAGAAGATACATAGTAAGAGATGTGTTGTAAGAAACTGGATTATACAATTGTGGGGGTTGATCTTCAGGAAGGGCATGCTGGAACTCCTGGGGAAGAGTTGAAGCTGCTGTCCTCAGGCAGAATTTCTTCTCCAGGGAAGCCTCAGCTCTGCTACTAAGGCCTTTCAACTAGTTGAAGCAGGCCAGCCAGATTATCTAGGATAATTACCTTACTTAAAGTCAACACTTATAGAATTGAATCCTATCTATAGAAAACCTTCACAGCAACATCTTAGATTAGTGCTGGATTGAATAACTGCAGACTATGGCCTATCCAATTAGGCACATCAAAAAGACATCACAGTGCCCCAAAAGCTTGATCCTTCACTCTCATGGAGGTAGAGAATAAATGGTGGTTACCAGAGGCTGAGAAGGGGTGAGGGGATGGGGGAATAAAGAGGGGCTGCTTAAAGAAGGGACAAAAATATAATTAAATAGAAGGAATAAGATCTAGTGTTCAGTAGCACCATAGGACGACTACAGTTAACAATAATTTACTGTATACTTCAAAATAACTAGAAGAAAAGATTTGAAATGTTCCAAACATAAAGAAAAGATAAGTATTTGAGGTGGTGGATATCCCAATCACCTTGATTTGATCATTACACACTGTATGACTACCAAACTATCACATGTACCCTATAAATATGTTCAACAGAGCATACATAAAAATTTTAAAAAAGAAAAAAATTAAAGCTTTTATGATTATTGAATAAAAGAAGGCATCATACTGCCCCAAAAGCTTGACCCTTCACTCTCTGTGAAACTTATGCCTTAGTACTCATTCATTCATTTATAAATTAAACAAATCATAGTATCTACCTCATAGGATGCTTGTGTGGATGAGATAGGATTAAATGATCGAATACATGTATGCTGCTTACAATAAGATCTGGCACAAAGTAGCACTCAATAAGCAGTTTATGCTTTTTCATGCATTCTTACATTAAATATTAAATTTCATGGTATCACCAAGTTTTAAGCATGATTTTTTTTAAGGTGAAGAAACTGAAGTAGAGAGAATTGAAATGACTTGTCACCAACGTGTCTACTTTAGTTAATGCAACCAGGGCTAGAAAACATGTTTACTCTGATGCTTTTTATAGCTGAGATGACTGTCACCATCAGTGTGTCTGTCATTACCAACATGATTTTCAGAACTTTAAATCATTTATACATAAAACAAAATAACCTCAAGGTGTAGCTGGGGCCACCTCATCTTTTTAGACTTCAATGCATTTTGATTCAACACCCACAAGCAGTGGTGGCTAATTCGATGTGCTTCCTAATATCATCGGGGATTCTTGGGAAGACATTTCATTCCTGGCTTTGACATCCCTGTCCCCGTTTCCCCCTTTTGTGCCCAAATTTGAAATGTGGCCCTATTTCCTTGTACCCACAAAGATATTTCTTTTTTTTTTCTTTTTCTTTCTTTTTTTTTTTTTTTGAGACGGAGTCTCTCTCTGTCGCCCAGGCCGGAGTGCAGTGGTGCGATCTCGGCTCACTACAAGCTCCGCCTCCCGGATTCACGCCATTCTCCTGCCTCAGCCTCCCGAGTAGCTGGGAATACAGGCGTCCGCCACCACGCCCGGCTAATTTTTTGGTATTTTTAGTAGAGACTGGGTTTCACCATGTTAGCCAGGATGGTCTTGAGCTCCTGACTTCGTGATCCACCCGTCTCGGCCTCCCAAAGTGCTGGGATTACAGGCATGAGCCACTGCACCCGGCCCCACAAAGATATTTCTTTTTTTTTTTTTTTTTTTTGAGACGGAGTCTCGCTCTGTCACCCAGGCTGGAGTGCAGTGGCGGGATCTCGGCTCACTGCAAGCTCCGCCTCCCGGGTTCACGCCATTCTCCTGCCTCAGCCTCCCGAGTAGCTGGGACTACAGGCGCCCGCCACTACGCCCGGCTAATTTTTTGTATTTTTAGTAGAGACGGGGTTTCACCGTTTTAGCCGGGATGGTCTCGATCTCCTGACCTCGTGATCCGCCTGCCTCGGCCTCCCAAAGTGCTGGGATTACAGGCGTGAGCCACGGCGCCCGGCCCCCACAGAGATATTTCTGAGTGTGCCGACCGTTGACTGGTTAGAGAGTGGGTTTATACATAGCCATATCTTCCCTTAACCCCACTTGCCATAGAAATTAATCAGTCACTTTTCCCTCACACTCTTTCCTTTCACACCCTAGTCCACACCCGCAAATTTTACTGACTACTTTTGTAGAGTTACATGTCTTTGAGTGAGGTGAGAGTTGGGTGCTAGTGTGAGTTCACACCCTTCCCTTCATATACCAAATGGCCTGATGGTGTATTTTCTAAGCAAAATCAGTTCTTTTCCTAAGAAACTTTTAAAAAATTCTATCTAATTCTAAGGAAACAAAAAATTTAGTTTTCAGACAATGCCTTATTAAGGTATGAACATTTTCACTATGCCTTTCAAAATAAAAAACAAACTCACAAAGACTGATTGGTAAAAAATAGCTAGCAGCTATGGGCTTATTTTACTTCATGCTTCAACTCTTTGCTGACCTTTAGAAGATGAATTTCTTCTGTATTGCGTAACTGCTGTTCTGCGGAATCATCATTAATTATCGCGAGCCACAAACAAAACCCACCATGATGGATTATCTCACAGCATAATTACTGACTCTAATCATAGACAGCTCAGGCTCAGAGGTGCTAGGTATCCGGACAGTAAGTTTTGTGTGCGTATTTCAAGAAAGTATCATGAAGCTTGAAGAAGAGAAAAGAGAAAGACTATTATTAGTACTAGCAGAGCTCAGTGGCCTATCAGCATGTATTTTTGACTAATGGTTAACAAGTCCACAGTGAAATCAACAATGGTTACAATCTTGCCTCCTCTTTCTCCTCCTCCTTTTCCTTTTTCTCTTACTAATGAAAGGAGGTTATTGCAATTTTGCCAAATAATGAGACCTTAAACCAAATTCCCTACCCTGTGCTCATAACAGAGCAGAAAGAAAAAAAAAATAATGTCCTTCTCATTTAACTCAATAATATTGCATTATAGATATATCTGCTCCTACAAGCAATTCATGTTAAGCAAGCACATTTTTCTTTCCCCAGTAGACTGTGCAAAGCACGTCTGCTCTAGTTTTCAAAAGACGAAATATCTGTGTGCCTCACAGACAAGTTATTTGTTAGAATTAAAGGGAAACTTTAAGGAGTGCTTAGGCTCTCAGGATTGACCTTCAGCCATCTCTTATACAAGGAAATTAATAGTTAATTGGTCACTTTAGTGGCCCATCTGAACTAAGCAGCTTAATAAAGCAGTAAAATATGTGTGTTCCTTTGAGAAACAGAACACCGTGTCATTGCATACATGGGTAAAGAATGATGCTTAGGAGATTGGAAGGCTGTGTCTAGAAAAGGGGTGCTCAGGAATCTTGTCTGTATTCTAAAGAGCTCATTTGTCTCACCAGCACCACTATGTTCATATCGTTTACTCAGTTTCCATGTAGTAAACTGTAGCCACATCAGACCAATCCGGTTCAACTTTTATGTAATAAAACTGTGAGTTGTTTATCAGTTGACATGGATTCCAAGGTTGAAGGTCACATAATCTGAGCATGCCCAGATGAACCTAAGTGTGCTACCACAAGGGGAACTTGAGTGCTCAGACTTAGGAGCAGGGGCTGAATTAAGGAGCAGACACTGCATGGCAGTGTCCAGGATCCAATCAGATTGAACTTCGGCATCACCCAGACCCAACCCTCGCTCAGGGAGACAGATTTGAGCATTTCCTCCTGTCTCCTTGCCACGTGACTTTCAATAATGCTTTTCTTTTCTCGAAAGCTGGTGCCATGGTATTGGCCTCTGTGTACCTTGGGCAGTGAGCCAGTTGATGCTAGGTAACAAAATGACAATGCAATAGCATTAATTATATGGTGCATTTTTAATAATATGTGGCTTATCACATGTGTTTTTGACTAATGTTTATCAAATCCACAGTAAAATCAGCAATGGTTACACTCGTTCTTTCCTTTCATTCTTCATCCTTCTTTTTCTCTTCTTTAATGAAAGGAGGTACTTGCGATTATTTCACTAATAAAATTTGAAACCAAATTCTCTACACTATGCTAGAAAAATGTGGATGATGATACATTTAACTTATCTTATTTTTTGTAAAATAAAATATTTTCAAGAACAGAATTGCCAAAATATGTTTTGGGAATCAAATTTGTTTCCAAGGAAATATAACTCTAAAATTATAATGTAGAAAATTTGACATATATATTTGGGATACTACTCTTGAGGTCACGTCTTTTTATAGGGAGGAAATAAGACGTGCTTTCAGGGCGGAAGACACCTAGGTTTTGTAGTGTCAACTCTGCCCTTTATGAGCTGTGTATATTTGGACAAGTTACTTACCCATTCTAAGCCTCATCTATAAAATGAAGATAATAAAAATGCCTAATCAAACGATGGACGTGGGGCTTAAGGATCAGGTACAGGGCTTATAATAGTGTCTGGTGAATAGTAGGACCTAAATAAGTGCTCACTCTTATATTCTAACGAGACTAGCTTAAAGGAGGAAAAGGCTTTAGATTTGATGGCTGTGAGTGCAAATGATAAAAATTAGTAAGCATAAGTTGGACATATGGCATTAAAAATGATTATCTTAAAGGCACACACACAACAACAACCATCACAAACCTGAAACCTATCAGGATGGTTAAAATGAGCAAAGGATTTTGAAGCTAATGGGAAATAATTTATTTCTGGTAGTATTAAAAGAAATAAAGACATTTTCTTCAAATTCCTAATTTTAAATGGAATTAAATATTATAAAAATCTATGACCTAAAATACACCCATTATAGAATTGTATTGATCCTCATAGCATTATGAACCTGTGCTCTTAAATTTAGACTGCTTGAATTCAAGCTCTGCCCCTTACTAGCTGTTTTACTTGGGCCAATTGCATAACCTCTCAATGTCTCATTTTCTTCATCTGTAAAATAGGTAAAGTTATGATATCTACTAGAACGTCGTGAGGATTAAATGGTTAATACTACAAAGTATTTGCAACAGTAAAATAGCAAACGTTGTTATTATTACTATAATTCTAAGCTAATTTTGCTTCACCATCCTAGGCCAAAGAAGGAAAAAGAAAATGTTGTGGTTTTTCTTTTCTACTTTCCTTCAGAAACAACATGATTGAAGGGTTTGCTTGTTTCTCTTAAGTAAATGACAGCATTGCTTGACATGGTTGGCTGATCAGCAGAGTGAGACAGCAGTGACAGCTTGCATTTATGGGAAGTTCAGCCTGCAGACCAGAATATTTTATTTCCAGATTGCCCGAGGAATTTCTGACGTTCAAAATGGATGACAGTAGAGATTCACCAAGGGAAATTTATCATGTAATTCAATATTTGTAGAACATTTTTTATTACAATGATTTTTGACCTAAGTATGAAAAAAATACTCTAGTAAGATAGCATTTAAAAGAAAAATTAAATAGATCAGCTGGGGCCCTTGGAAAGGATTAGTGAACTAAAGTTAAGGTTGATTTTGACACAAGAAATAGAACTCTAGGAAGTTTTTCTTTGTTTTCTGCAAGAAAATAATGGTTCGGTTGAGAACAAGTGCTTATGCTTGGAAATTAATCATAATTGTACTTACAGTGCACAGCCACGGAGCTACTATGTAAACCAGAATAAAGGAGACATTAAGCAATCTGAGCTCCCGCTTTTAAAAATTTGAATCATATTTTCACTTTTACCATTTGCATGGAGTGAAGTCCACTAATCTGAAGGTTAATTTTCCTTGGTTAATTCTGAAAATATTTCCAACGAAAATGGCTTAATGATGATGAGAACTGTTCTCTTTCTCTCTCTCTGTCTCTGTATGTTTGAGAGAGAGAGAAAGAGAGAAAAGAGTATGTGTGTGTTTTGTTAACACATAAACAAATTTATGCTATCACAAAACACACATCCAACAGATTTAAGATAATACCAGGACAGTTATGCACATTAAAATATATGCTGTCTACTCTGTGGTGGAAAACAAGGTGCCAAGTTTTGTAGATACAATTATGAATAATGCACAGTGTTGATCCTCAAAAAGCACATGGTCTAGTGAGAAAACAAGGAGTCAGAAATTATAATTTGTACAACCTCTCTTGTTAGTCACAAATGCAGATTCTATTCCAGATCATGAAATTATCTATATGTTTTATTCAGGATCTCTGAAATGAAGTCCTAAATGATGGAAGAGAATAATAGAAGAGCACAACATCTTTTAGTAAAGTATGTCTGTTGGGGGGAAGATAGCAAGGTATTTTTTTTTCCTCTTTCTTCGGATATAGAGAAGCAGAATGTTGAACTAAGACAAGGAAAAGAGAGGAAAAAGAAGTAAGGTCATGTAAAAAGAATAAGGCCGGACACAGTGGCTCACGCCTGTAATCCCAGCACTTTGGGAGGCCGAGGCGGGCAGATCACCTGAGGTCAGGAGTTCAAGACCAGCCTGGCTAACATGGTGAAACCCCGTTTCTACTAAAAATACAAAAAATTAGCCAGGTATGGTGGCATAAGCCTATAATCCCAGCTACTCGGGAGGCTGAGGCAGGAGAATCACTTGAATCTGGGAGGTGGAGGTTGCAGTCAGCTGACATCAATGCCATTGCACTCCAGCTTGGGCAAAAAAGTGAAATTTTGTCTCAAAAAAAAAAAAGGAAGAAGAGAAATAGAAAGATAACAAAGTGCAATAGTTTAGCCAACGAAGGACAAAATTTGTTGAAGAAAGTCGCAGGAGATTGTCAACAACATACAAGGTTAAAGCAAGCAGGAGATGAGAGATGAGAGAAAGCCACTGGATCTGGTGGAAAAGCACATTTTGATCTTTGATGAGCAGGTAGTTTCAGAAGAGTTTTAAAGTCAGATGAAAGCTGGCAGAAACTGAGATGATACTGAATCAGGATAGAACTTGGAAGTAAAAGTACACACCAAATATTTGAAAATCGTAGCAACTAAAACAGAAAGAATTTATGGGTGTTAAAAGAAATGGAAGCTGAATCAAGAAAAAAACTTATAATTAGGAAACAGAAAACCTTCTTATATTGGAAAAAGGAAGGAATCCTATCTATTGAATCAAATTGAGAAGTATTGGCTAATTGTGGAGTGAAATTCTGGGGTTAAAGGAAAGAAAGGTGAGTTAAAATTTAGTTCAATACCCATTTCAGAAAGTAGGAGACAATATTTACCCAGATTATAAGGAAAGATGAGAGGACATGTTGAAAATAATGGAAATCCTCTTTTTTCATTCCTGTCATTAAAATTCATGCCCTGGGGATAGAGTCTGTTCTTAAACAAATGTAAAGAATTCTTGCCTGATCTAGGGCATGCCTGTGTCCACAAACTCTTCTTGCAGTGCTATTTCACTTGCTTTTTATTCTAAAGGCACAATGTCTCTCTTTCAACAACTCAGTCAGGCCATGCTTTTCCCACCTCAGGACACCAGCACATGATCTTACCTTCCTTGGAAATAGTTCTGTTCTTTTGGCTTCGACTAATGCAACATATACTCCAAATCTCAGTAAAATATTCCATCCTAAGAGATTTCTTGTTTAAGCCAGAAATTCAGCTTAGGTTTCTCTATTTTACTTTTAAATCACCCTGTTCTTTTTTGAGGAAAAAAAATGGAACTATGAATAACCTCGACACTCCTGAATTTGGAGATTGCAACTGACTGTTGTAAAATGCATGTCACTGGCTACAGATGGACTTTGCTGACAAAGGGAAAACTAATCCCCATTCTTAGCTCCTTAAACATAATCTAGATGACTTTTCCAGTTGTCCAGTGACATATGGGAGTGTTCTAAACACTGCATTTTATGGATTCTAAGACTCATATTAGCAGCTCTGTATTACAGTTTCTCTGAGTCTCGACTGAAGCTGAGTTCTTCCAGATAGGATTTGCCATTTATTTCTTCCATTAGCCAACCTGGGACCTCTTTATGTCTCTGGTCTTTGGGAACATAATGGTGGTATGAATTCGGAGTTGCAGATTGGTGTGAGCACTCTTTATGGTTCAAATTTTCAGAAATTCAAAGGACATTTGTTTTCCCTGCCTCTATTCAGTGACAAGATTGAGACATGCAAATTTAATTTTACTTTCTGTGTTGTAGCTTTAATTATCGTTCATTTTACACTACGATTTTCAGCCTTGTCTGGGGAGGAGGGTATGTCCTATCAGATTCTCCAAACTTGATTTATCTTTTGCATATAAAATAGTAATGTGTCATAATCAATGACAACTTACAATGTATGGTTTGTTATATATGATGAAATAAGGTACTATTTTTCTCCTTGTTCACAAAGGCTACTTGTAGGAGTTTAGCTAACCAATTAGTCAGTAGAAGAATTCCTTTTATGCATTTACTAGTTGAGGAACAATTATTTTTTGAGTGCCTACTATATTCCAGGAAATGTTGTCTGCACTCGGGATTGAAAGTGAAAAAATCAGAGCAAAATCCCTGCCTTCATGAAGTATAATTCTAGTTCCTATGTAATATTGTGAAACTTGAAGTTGTTTGACTGCAATAAAATTGCATTCACAGCACTAATCACCAGTGTGACCTGAGTAATTCCTGTTGCAATATCATTTCCCTTTTATAGAACTCATTACAAGTATAATTAAGTCAAAGTCCAACAGTTGGCTTGTTGTCTTTTCTCACTGTAAACTCCATGGCTTCAGGTCCTACTGTTTTTGTTTGGGCCAGAAGTCCCTGTACCTAAAGCAGGCCTGGAATCCAGTGGATGGACAATACACATGGACTAATAAGACAGTGTGGTGTACAACATTTGCCTAAAAATTGACTAAGTTCTAATCATCAAGTAAAAGTCTTTCATCAGTTTATATATTAAACATGAATACAGTAAATCTGACTATAGTAAATAGGATACAGTAATTTGAAACCCTCTCTTTCCCCACTTCTTGAAAAAATACTGAATTACTCATATTACAGTTCACACTAAGAATTATGATATCATGCTTTCTTACATGCTGTAGTCTTTAGGAAAACTTTTCAGCCTCATATATGCAATTTTTTAGACATTATCAAAACTTATTTGCTTAGGCCCTTTTATTTTATTTTACATTTTGATGATCAGTTCTCATTATTTTGTGTTATTTTCTTTTTTGGAAATACTGTTATTCAAAGTCAATTCTTTACATTCTGTTCCCAAAGTCCATTGTCATCTGTGACATTAACAGACATCTCTTTCCATTTCTTCCACATTATAGATATGTATTCATATTTATTTTCTGTAGCACTCTGGCAGTATTGGGCCAGGTTTTTAAGGCTTATCATTATTTGTTATTGATTCGATTAACTTGGTTCTTTGAATTCTCTGTTTATTCTGACCTATTACTGTTAAATAGATGTAATGGCCTTTGATCTCACTAATGCTAAGTAGAAATTCTCTATTTTTTTCCTGACTCATTAAGAAAATATTTTCTGAAGAAGATTATATTTCCTAGGCCCTTAGATATCTCTTCTCTTCTGTTATGCTTTTTTATTTTAAATAGTGACATTGCGACTTTTATCTATTTATTTATATATGAATTCACTTTGGTTGCTATTTCTTCTTATACAAAACTCAAGATACTGCTGAATAATATGGTACCGCTGTTCTTTTTAAAAACACAGTACCTTCCTGGACTCTGGCTTGCGGTGCAAAGGCAGGTTAGAGGGCGACCCACTCCTGACACTGCGATCCTCAATCTCATCACCAGATGGACATCCCAAAAGGATCCTGGGATGAAGACCAAGAGGATTGGGCCTCTTTCTATACCATGAAAATCGTTTGTTTGCAGGCAACTTTGAGATATAATCATGGGAATTTTGGGGATATTTCTACCATAAGCTTTCTTCTGCTGAATACCTCTGTACCTAGGATGCTTAATAAAACACAAATTTTCTAGAAATGCTGTGACCTCCTTGGCTACATCTGAAGCCAAATAAACACAAAATATGTTTGAGTGCTTTGTACTAAATGAGATTTGTGCCTAGTAAAGCAATTTAACAAAACTTCCTCAATTTATAAGAAAAATAACATACATAATATGTACAAGTATAAGGTCACTTTGATAATAAGACAGTCTTCTGTTTTGTAAAATAAATGTTTCATTTTATTAACTTGAAAGTAAACATTTTTAGCAATAAATGTGAAATAATCACAATCTACACTTCGTACTTAATTAACTTATTATATATACATGTACAAACCATTTATCATAGAAAATAATACTTCAGAATAATTGCTGTGCTTCTTAGATATTCAGGAGATAATTTTATAAAAATTCTTTATACACACATTTAATTCAGTTATTTGTTATCACTAAAAAAAGCCACTTTGTGATTATTCTAACACAGAAGAGAGCACATCATCATGGGATAATTAAGCCATTAATAGAAATACAGGCAGTTTCTTTTAAAAATTCATTTTGTGTCTGTTATTTCCTCACCATAATCGGTTAGTGTAACACTTGGAAAGTTGTCCTTAAAGACTTTATTTACAGTAACATTCAATACTTGGAGCTGAGAAGCTGCACACTCAGCAATAATGACTACAATCTATGCAAAGTTTGTCTGCCCCCTCCCTGTTTTTTAAACAAATTTCTTTGGGTGACATCTGAGCATTCTAAACTAGCAGTGGCTGAGGTTGCTTCAGGCTAATGTATTGTTCTTGTTTGCTCAAAATAAACTGAGAATGTGACTCGTAATATATAAAAAAAAGTCATATGGATTTGAATATAAGGCAACTACTTCTGCTTTGTTTTTTGAGAAAAATTTCACCTTACGTTGAAGTATGGGGTAAAAATAAACTTAGTTTGGATGCCTCAAAAATGGGCACAAAATTACTCTAATAAAATTGTTAACTATTAAATTAGAACTTGAAGGTATGATTTTAATCTCCTTCAGCCATCTGAACTAAGTGTAGTTGTCAAATGCAAATCTGATTTTTCAGAGGTAAGGTAAAGAGTAAGGGACAGCCCCATTCACAGGAAAAAAGTTAAGATTTTGGTGAAGTATTGGGCAAAGGACTTATACAAAAATGACCTAATCCAGGGAGAATTATTTACCAGGTGACATCTTGAAGCTGGCAGGAGAAAAGGCCTAGAATGCAAATATCAGCAAAAGATAGCAAAGGCGTCAGTTGGAGGAAGACAGATTTTGTGTGTTTTGTGTAAGTTGGTATTCTCAATGCTTACAGCTACACCTGGCTTCCTGATGACTCAGCATGTATTATACTGTTCACTGAATGAATGTAGACTCAGTCTTTGGGTATGTCCTGATTTTTTTGGACTTAAAATTGTTTTGAATCGTGTTTCTTCCATTTATGAGTCATGTGACTTTGGGCAAGATAAGCCTTAGTTTTCTTATGAATAAAATGGAAATTCTAATAATTCATATTCATAAAGGATTTTCTGAAAAGTAAATTGTGTAACATCTATAAACTGACTACTAACTAATATTAACATTGAGTATCATCAGAGTAAAAGATTCTTGTGTTCCCAGGAAAAGACTGTGTTTTGGACATCCTAACAAGCAATCATCAGAAACAGCTTTAAACCCTTCTTAATGACAAATGACAACTTACTTTAGAAGCTTTAGGAGCTGTATTTCTGAAGCCTGGCCAATGAGTTAAGTCTTTGGCTTCCAAACGTCAGTCAGTGAGCAACAATCTCACTTCAGTAGCCCAGCTCATGGAAGCCAGCAGATAGCCAGTCTGGCTCCAGTAATCCAGTAAGCCAATCTGACACAGCTAAAGGTCAACCAATCCCTAGTCCCACCCAATTCTAAAAATCTACCCATGCCGGAGCCCACACCTCCATAAACCCAGTAAAATGAGTTCTCTGCTATTCTCAGAGAGACTGTTTTACAAGCACATGTCTCCCTCGCATAGCCAGCAACAAACTCAGCCTTGTTAGTTTGTTTCAGATATTGAATAGTGGGTGGCTTCCTTGACAAGTGTCTGACATACAAGAAACAGTTAATAAATTTAATGACAGTATTGTGGCTGTTTCCACTGTTATTACCCTTAATCAATGCATTACCATTGTAGGGTGCACTGGGAGATTGACCTACCTCCTTTGGCAATCATGAAAAAAATTAATTATAAAAATAAGAATTAGGGAGAAATGATTGAAGATTTTTCATCAGTCAATTTGGGATAACTTTTTTATGTAATGCAGAGCTGTGGTGGGAGGAGGGGTGTTCAGCATTATTACTTCTCAGGAAATCCATGCAAAGTTAAATAGCAGAACTATGAAGCTATGGGCAGATCAGACAGTGGTTCTTGAAAAATTAATCTGTAAAATATGAGGAATGCTAAATTTTCAACATAGTATTAGAAGAGCGTGCCTCAGCCTGGGCCCTGGAATAGAAGAAACCACCATTTTTACTCTGGGGTAGAGAAAGGTTTATGTACCTTTACTCTTACCCTGCTCTCACCTATCCCAACCTTTCAGCAATACATTGAAGAAGAGTATTAGAAATTTTAGTGATCTTTGCTTTGTACTTTCATTCTACGTGATATAATACATGAAGACTGATGAGTCGAGGCCTGAGCTGTGTCCTCCATATTACCTTTTGGGGAACATATTGAAAAGCCAGATATAATTTCTAAAGTTTGCTTTACTCTGTGAAGCTCCTCACCAAACCTATTCTCCTAAAGTCTACCTGGCATTTTCTATCTGGGTGAAAGGGAATGAGGATGGGCTTAACTGACAATAATTAACTGACCTTGAAGGCCTAGAGTTTTCCTTAAGGACATCTTGTGTGGTGAATAACAAAAGTTAGGACCTAATTTTTCCCTACCTAGGAAACCTCTACAGGGTGGGTTTATAGCTCTTACTTCATCTTTACATATAATTATGTTATTAAGAAATCACTCCAAGTCTTGATTTTCATTGTCATCCTTACTTCCAAAGGGACAAATTAACTTGAATTAATTTGAGTAAATGCTGATGAAGAATAATTGTTCCTTGTAATTTTCTAATGTCAAGATTTGTATTGACTAGAAAAAATTCTTTTTCAGGAGTCTAAAAATGGTAATTTGAGCTCCTAAATATTAACATCATGTTGTTAAACAATATGATTGATTGAAGCTATCAGCATAGTATTTCACAGCTTTACTTGAAGAACGATTTTAAGAATTTCTTTCTATTCCAAAAGAATAGTTGTTCTGATATTTGAAAGTCTTTATAAAGAAAATTTGTAAAACAAAAATGGCGTTATTACAAGGGATTAGTGTAAATGTAGTAAAATCAACTATAGTGTCAAATACTGTATTATACAAAAGTAAATATACAGACTATGTAGTACTAACCATTATAAAAAACAAGGGCTGGATACAAGGGTTATGTATAAAAATTAATTGTATTTCCATATAGTAGCAACAAACTAATAGAAAATAAAAACAACATTCACAATATTTTTAGAATATTAATACCTAGAAATAAATCTACAACAGTTGTGAAGTTGTCTACATTCATAACTATAAAACTTTGCTAAGAAAAAGTAAAGAAGGCATAAATAGAGAAATATACCATGTTCATAGACTGGAAAACTTGATATTGTTAAAATGCTGATTAATCCCCAAAGCTATCTATAGATTTAATACAATGCCAGTCAAAACCCCAATCTTTTCTAGGAGGGAGGAATTCAAGAGCTGATTCTAAAACTTACATGGTAATACAAAATGCCTAGAATGGACCTGACAATCTTTTAGAAGAAGAACAAAGTTGGATAGCATATAGTACAAAATATAAATACTTTCTATACAGCTATGGTAATTAAGACAGCATGGTATTGGAGGGATGGACATGCCACTCCCAAATATGACACCTTGGCATGTGAGCAAACAGCAGAAGTAGAAAAGCCATCTCATTTTCCTGTTGATTTTTCCCTTGAAACTGGTCATAAGACCCTCATGGAAGAGGTGTTCTCCCTATATCCTGAGAAAGGAATATCCTTATCTCTGAAGACTCAGAGACTTAGGGAATAATCTAAACAAACAGGCCTTGATAAGTCCTGTTTATTAACTCTCCCTGCCCCAACCCTGGTGAGATTATTAGCATTAGATCATACCCTTAGTTTAATCATACATCTTCATGACTATCCATCTCTTCATCAAACCTAAGCATAAAAAATATACATTTACCTATTTTGGAGGGACCTTCATTTTCTTATTAAGAATTCCATGTCATGTAAAACACATATTAAATTTGTATGCTTTTTTTTCTATTAATCTGAATTTTGTTATAGAGGGCTTAATCACAAACCTAGTGATGAGATAGAAAATGTTTCTTTGCTCCTATAGGGAACAAAGAAAAATCTTTCCAATGGATACCACTGGAACTGATTGGGGTCCAAAAGTATTCCCACACATACACACTCATTTTCTAAAACAAGTGCCACTGCAACTTGGTGGGGCATGGATAATCTTCTCAATACATGTTCCTGGATCAATTAGATAAATTTGTGGAAAGGAATGAAACTTGATTTCTACTTTATACCATATACAAAAATTATTTATGGATCATAGTCCTAAGTGGAAAAGGCAGAAAAAATAAAACTTCTTGATGAAATTATAAGACAATATCTTCATGATCTTTTGGTGATTTTTTTTCTTAAATACAGACATTCAAGAGAATTAATAAAGAAATAAAAGATGAATAAATTCACCTTTATTAAATTTATTATCTTCTATTTATCAGAAGACACTATTATAATAATGAAAAGTCAAAGACTGGGAGAAAATATTTGTAATAGACAAATCCAACAAAGGACTGGACTTCTGTCTAGAACTTATAGAGTACTTCTACAAATCAATGAGATAAAAACAGAAAATCCAATTAAAAATGGTCAAAAGGGTTGAACAGACACATTACAACAGAGTACTTAAACATTCATTATGCATATGAAAAGTTGTTCAATATCATTAGTCATTATGAAATGCAAATAAGAATGTGATGCTACCATCCACCCACCACAATGGCAGTTGTGATGCTGATGACCTCGTAGAGACTGGAACTCTCATACATTGCTGCTGGTAGTGTAAATTGACAAAGATCTTTGGAAACTAACAGTATCTTGTAAGCCTAAACAAATGCCTACCATAGGACCTAGCAATATCACCCACCCCCTTTTTGTTTCTTTCGCTCCATATACAGACACATATATCTGGAAGAAATAATTACAACAAATATCAAGTACAAAATATTCATTACAGCTTTACTCAACCCAAACATTTATCAATGGAATGGACAAGTACATTGTGGTATATTTATATATTTAATATTACAAAGCAATAAAAATGACTGCTACATGCAATACATGAATGACTCTCCATGTATTGGCGAGTCTGTGTGTCTGTGGATACTCAAAGACACAAGAGAGTATGATTCTGTTTATTTGAAAGTCAAGAAAAAAGAAAATTAATTTACAATGGGAAAAGTCAAAATAGTAACCTCTTAGAGGTTGTTGAAAGTGGAAGGGAGATCTTTCTGGGGTGCTGAGTATGTTCTATATCTTGTTCTAGATGGTGGTTACCATAGGTTTGTGTGTGTGTGTATGTGTGTATGTGTATATGTATATGTATATGTGTGTGTTCACTCATACATTCATACACACATATACATATACACACATACACACCTACACTGTATATGTGTGTATGTACATACACATATACATATAAATTTATCAAGCTCAATAAAGATGTGTGCATTTTACTGTACATATAAAATTTCAAAACCACACAAATGCATAGAAATCAAACCAATATGATACCATTACACATACCCCAAAATAACTAAAATAAGATAGAAAATACTAAATTTTGAAGAAGGCAAGAAACAACTGAAACTGTCATATATTGAAGGTAGGAATATAATTGGAAAAACCAGTTTGGGAAACCATTTGGTAATATTTACTAAGATTGAACATAAGCATACTTCATGACCAGTAGTGATCCTTGAAAATATATACTCAAGAGAAATGTTCATCAAATAACATATACAAAAAGCAGCACTACTATTGTAGTTATAAACTAGAAACAACCCAAAATATCCATCAGCAGTATAAAAAATCAACTGGGTATATTAATACACTGGAGGATTATAGATTAAGAAGAATGAATGAATTACAACTGTGCATAATGATGCAAATAAATATTACAGAAAATGGTTAACAAAAATTGCCAGACACTAGGATTACTCAGTGTGTGATTATATTTATAGAACATTGAAACCCAGACAAAACTAATCTATGAAGTTAGATATCAGGATAGTGGGAATTGTTGGAAGCTGGGGAGTCAGTGGCTAGTTGGGGACTTTAGGGAGACATCTGGTGTGCTGGTAATATTCTAGCAATATTCTGATTCTTGATCTGAATAATAGTTACATGAATACATTCACTTTGTGATAATTCACCAAACAAGGAATGCATGATTTGTACACTTTTATGTCTGTATTTATTCCTTAATAAAAAGTTTACTTTTAAAACCTCTCCTGAGGTACCACATTCAATTTAAATTCTGTTACTGATTTTAGCTTGATTAATGCAACAGATGTGGCCTTATAATTAATTAAATCATAGTTGTAATCAAAGTCATTTGCTTATTGATTTATGTGATCATTTTGAAGGTATTTTATCTTCATTTGCCTTTGACGTACAGTTGTCAGAGACCTCATCTACTTCAGCTGAGGTGACTATTCTTCCCCATTTCTGTGTCAAAGACTCCCAATGAATGTATAATGCATTAGCAGTAATTTTTTTTTTACAAAAGAATCTTCAAAAAACATTTAAAATAACCAAATTTATCTGTTGGGTAAAGGTGAGTTTCTATATATCTATTTTTTTTTCTAAGTAAGATCTATAGTATCATAAAATCAAATGCTGGTGGTTAGAATAGACAACAGAAATTATATAATTTAACCTTTGTAATTATGAAAATAAGGGGTCTGAGGCTCAATAAGTGACATGCATGAGGCTTGTCATTCATCCATTCATTCATACATTCAAATTTTTTAAAATTTAATTCACAAATAAAAATGGAATATATTTATGGTGTATATAATGATGTTTTTAAATGTTTATACATAGTGAAATGGGTAAAACTAGCTAATTAACATATGCATTACCTCACATATAGGTCATTTTTTTGTGGTGAGAACACTTAAAAGCTACTTTCAGCCATTTTCAAATATATAATACATTGTTATTAACTTTAGTGACCATGTTTTAAAGTAAATCTCTTGAACTTATTCCTCCTAACTGAAATTTTGTATTCAATGATCACATCTCTCCCTGTCTCCCACCACCCCTGGTAACTACCATTCTATTTTTTACTTCTATAAATTTGACTTTTTAAGATTCCACATAAGTGAGATCATGTAGTATTTGTCTCTCTACACCTGGCTTATTTCACATAATGTCCTCCAGGCTTATCTATTTTGTTGCAAATGACAGGATTTCTTTCTTTTTTAAGGCTGAATCATACTCAATTGTGTATATATATAATGACCATTTTATTTATCCATTTATTTTTTGATAGACACTTAGGTTGATTCCACACCTTAGTTATTGTGAATAATGCTGCAACGAATATGGAAGTGCAGATATCTCTTTGACACATGAATTTCATTTCCTTTGAATATATACCCAGTGTTGCAATTGCTGGATCATATGATAGTTTTTTTTAAAAATTTTTTGAGGAAGCTTCATACTGTTTTCTACAATGGTTGTACTAATTTACATTCCCACAAACAGTATTCAAGGGTCCCCTTTTCTTCACATACTTGCCAACACTTACTTTTTGTATTTTTGATAATAACCATTCTAATAGATGTAGGATGATATTTCACTGTAGTTTTAATTTTCATTTCCCTGATGATTAGTGTTGTTGAGCACTCTTTCATATACCTGTTGGCCCTTTGTATATCTTCTTTTGCAAAAGTTAATTCAGGTCCTCCGCCCATTTTTTCAATCACATTATTTGTTTTCTTGCTATTTAAAGAGCACCTATAAAGTCCTGGACACTTCCTTAGGAATTTGAATATATCAGGGAAGAAAATGAATAAAGATTCCTGCACTAGAGCACTTAAATTCCTATTTTGGAAGACAGATAAAAAAACAATAAAAATAAATATAATGAATAAGTAAATTTGATAATATGTTACATAAATGGTAAGTAATGTCATGAATAAAGAAAACGTCCAGGTTGAGGGTGGTGGGATAGGGTGGGCAGGGCTTAGGAGCAGTAGCCAATTGTCAGTGAAGGTGTATTGGTAAGGTTCAGATTTAAACCAAGTCTTGAAGAAGGTGAAGGAGCGAGCCATGCAGTTAGCAGTTTGTCCAGAAGAATGATCGAGTAGTAGCCAGAACAAAGGCTCTAAAGCAGGAGCATGACTGGTGTGTTTTAGGATAGGAGGAGGTCAGTTTGGCTGAAGTGTAGTAAGCTGATGTGAGAAGCACAGGAGTAGGTCAGAGCGTTAAGGGGATAGGGAGTTGGGCCCAGAACTGGCAGGGCCTTGTAATTCCTTGTAAGGACTTTTCATTTTACTCCAAGTGAAACGTCAAGCCATTGAAGGATTTTGAATAGAAGAGTAATATAGTCTGACTTATGTCTTAAAAAGATCACTTATGGGTTCTGTTTTGAGAATGGACTACAAAGAAGCAAGAGGAAGACCTGGGAAACTATTGCAGAAATCCAGGCAAAAGATGATGTTGACTTAGTTCATTGTGATTGCAGTGAAGAGAATGATAAAGGATCAGATTTTAAATATATTTTGCAGGTAGAGTGACATGACTTTCTAGTGGATTGTATGTGAGCAGTTAGAGAAGAGAGGGTCAAGGAGGATTCTAAGGTTTTTTGACCAGGATCACGAAAGGATGGTAAAATGGAGTTACTGAGACCCAAGACAGAGATGGCTGTGGGGAGAGTGGATTTCCAGGATAAAATTCATGAGAGATGTTAAAACTATCATATATATGAATCTGAATTTGGGGAGGAAGGTCTGAGTTGGCAGTATAAAATTTGGAATTGTCATATATTATTGCCTGAATTGTGTCTTCCCCAAATTGATATATTGAAGTGGAGAAACTCACAGTTCCTCAGAATATGACTACCTTTGGAGGCAGGGCCTTCAAAAAGGTGTTTAGCTTAAAATGAGGTCTTTAGGGAGGACCTTAAACCAATCTGATTTGTTCTTTGAAGAAGAGGAAATTTGGACACATAGAGTGACATCAAGGGTGCACACACATGGAGAAAAGACCATTTGAAGTCACAGCGAGAAGCTGACCTCTGCAAGCCACGGAGAGTGGCTTCAGGAGAAACCAGCTCTGGTGACCCCTTGATCTGGGACTTCCAGCCTTAAGAACTTTGAGAAATAAATTTCTCTTTTTAAAGACATCTAGTCTATGGTATTTTGTTATGGCAGCCCAAGCCGACTAATATACCATATAAATGGCATTTAAAGACATGAGATTAAATGAGATCATCAGAATGAGTAAAACCTGGGACACTTCAACATATGAAGGCTTGAATGAGTAAAAGGTATGGAGGCAGAACATCCGGTCAAACAGAAGAAACACACAGAATGTTTCCTTTGGTAGTAAGTGAACACACTGTGACACGTGGGAGGGAATGTTCAGCTGTGATGAGTGCCACTACTAGGTGAAGCAAAAAGAGTACTCAGAACTAACTGTGCATTTGTAATGTAATGGTTTTTTGATGACTTTTATAAGATCAGTTTCAGTGAACAATAGAGGCAAATATCTGAATGAAATAGATTTGAGTGAATAGAAGGAGAGGAATTGGGGACAGTAACCATTGAAAACAATTTCTGAAGAGTTTTGCTATAAAGAGGAGCAAAGTAATGGGGTGGTAACATGTGGGAAAAGTGGAATGAAAGATTTTTTTTAAAAAAGACAGGAATAATAAAATGTAAGCTGTTGGCATGATCTAATATAGAGAAAACTTTGATGATGCAAAAGTGAGAGAAACTGCTGGAGCAATGTGCTTGAGTAGATGAAAAAGGATAAGCTTTTATACATGGTATTAAAACATAGAAATTTCACCTATGGTAACAGTGGGAGCCAGTGTGAGTGCAGATGCCAGCAAGTAGATATTATGGTGGGAGCTGGTTCAAAGTCTGATTAGGTTGATTCATATTTTTCTCAGAAAATATGAAACAAGGACATCAGCTGAGAGGGGAAATGGATAAGGAGGTACAGGGAGCTGGAGGAGAGAGAAGAAGGTGTGAAGAGTTGTAAAGTAATAATGAACTAGAAAGACATAGTATAATTACCTGACAATATTAGGGATTCTCTAGGGGTAATGAACATTGTTTGAAAAGAAACCAGTTAATTTGCTTATGTATTTTTTAATCAGCAAATCTCAAGTCCATAGTTCTAGGCAAAGAGTAGGTGAAGAGCTGTGGTTTTAACGAGAAATACAGTGAAACAAGTGAAGAGAAAATGAGTTGAGGATATAGGCAAGGGGTAATTATAATGATGGAGAATTGAATTTAAGCTACACATAGAGGGAAGTGAGGAAACGAAAATGCTGAGGATAGAGTAACATCGGAAAGATCAACGGAATGGAGGTCCCAGTAGGGTTGAGAGTTTTGGATCACCAGTTGGCAAACGTTACAGTAACAATTGTTACAGGCAAGAATCATCGATGAATGCTAAACTTAGTTGACAAAATATGATGAGATGTGGAATATTTATAGTCTCCCTCCCTACCAGATACATATTAGTTACACAGAGAAAACTAACTTTGCAGTGGAGAAATCTGCATGTAACACCTTGACCAAATGATCAAAGTTAATACCAGCAATAATGGGACAAACCAACATCATGTAGCACCTCATATGATGCATTGAGAAGGGCGCGCCACTTCTGTGGTATTATTTTGAAAAATGCACAACTTGATTTTAATCATGATGAAATACTGACAAACCCAATTGAAGGACATTTGACAAAATAAATGGTCAGTACTCTTCAAAAGTGTTAAGTTCATCAAAGTCAAAGAAAGAATGAAGAACTGTCCCAAATTAGAGGCAAGATGACAATTAAATTAATTATGGGATCCTAGATTAAATTCCATAGTAAAAAATAAAAATATTAGTGAGACAACTCATGAAATTTGAATAAGGTTTATTTTTGTCAATGGTGTTGCACCAATCTTAATTTCCTAGCTTTCATAACTATATTTCGATAATTATACTGGCTTTGTAGGATGTTAACATTTAAGGAAGCTGAGTGAAGAAGACATGGGAACTGTGTTTACTATTTCTGCAACTTTTTATGAGTCTGAAATTGTTTTAAAATGAGAAGCTAAAAACTAAAATGTGTCATTGAGGTACCAGAGAGAGGGGAGAGAAAACGCAGGAGGTGGTGGTCAGAGAGTGGGATGCATGCAATTGTGGGGTCTTCATGGAACTAATGAGGCTTGAATTCTAGCTCCCCTGCCCCACCCCACTTCCTTACAGGAGCTTATTTCCTGGGAGGGGCTTTACCAATATGTTCACAGGGATATGTGCTTTTGACATATTTACAGAAGTAAACTATTTTGACCACAACCAGTTAAGATCACTCTCTGCCAATCTAGCTTCTTGTCTGCAATACTTGTCTCCTTGTTGGACAGCAATGGAGAGAGGCCATAGGTATTTTTGAGATCTTACAAAGTCATGTCAAGGATACACTGAGTTTACTTTTTGTGATGTGATTTGTGTGCATGTGTGTGTGGTTTTCAGTCACTTCTGCGAATAGTGAAGTTATTGCAACAATGACTATGGGAGACATGAGCCACTGCTTGGAAAATGAAGGAAAGCCAGTTATATTAAAGAAAGAAAGTGAAGAGAATATTCATAGACTAATTTTAGGATATAAGGCATTCTTCTGATGATGGTTCCTGAAGGACACAATAGAAAAGGTTTAGGAATCAGGGATGGGTAATAAAAGAGGACAAAAATCAAGTATGCGTAGGGTCCAATAGGAGATTAAAGCATGGGAAACTAAGGTGACTTGAGAGTCCTTGTGGTGATTAATGAAAACAGAGTCAAGGTTAGAAGTAGATTATTTTCAGTGGATTTAAGAAGTGTTGTTAGTGACAGAGCTAGATGTAGAACTTAAGAACTTTACCCAATAAGTTATTTGCTTTTTGATTTATCATTAAGATTAATGTTTATACAATTCATGGGAATATTCAATTATGTTAAATGATTTTATTGTTTCACCACACTTTGTAGAATTTATTGTGTTGTTTGTAATTTGACAGGCAGTCTTATTGAATACTTGGGAAAATGAATACTTATGCTTTCAATAATAAACTTGAAATTGCTTAAGGATAATCAACGTGATTAATATTTTTGACTAGTGGCACAGTTACATTCATGTTAATGAAAGGTAAATACAGCAATTCTGTCTGATTTCACAAATCAATTTTATTTCATAAATCTTAAAATGTTCCATGACAGGAATGGTTGAAACCTCCAGCTTATTGATTTTCTATTCCTGTCTAAAGCATTGTACAATTATTTAGAACTGTGTTAGCTTGATAAATAATGCCTTAAATATTTTTAGTATAAATTTTACAGTTTCTAAACATTGGAATTGTGTGATTCTGATTCTGATTTGGTATCATTTTATTATTCTAAACCAAGTTTTAATTTTTTATCCTTACCCAAATTTACCTTTAAGTCCACAAGTTATCACTTAGCAATACCTAATAATCTGTGTATTTCTGAATTAGTAATTGATTAATGAGTTAGCAATTAATATAAAGAATGATGAGTCTTTTTAATACCATTTTAGTTTGGCTGTTTACCCAGTTTTTGGTGTTAGAAACTAATGATTGTTTGGAAATATGTTTTACTGTTCAAATACTCTTGACAAATCTGTAGAAAATTAGACTCATTGTACCAATTTCTTCCCATATAATATATGTAAAGTGTAGCAGAGTTGAAAAAAAATCAAACTATTAAAGCCACTATTAGGAAGAAGAAAAAAGCCTTATGTTCTTTAATATCTGTCAGGATAAATAGAAGTTGTGTTTTATTCCACCCCCAGCAAAGTCTAATTAGATGAGTGCAGTTTTTACCAGGAGCCTTTGATTAAGAAGCATATCAGTTTCCTATTGCTGCTGTTACAAATTACCACACTTACTGACTTAAAGCAACACACATTTGTTCTGGAGGTCAGAAATCCAAAATGGGCAAGCAGGGCTGTACTCCTTTTGAAGGCTGTGGGTAAGAATCTATTTTCTTGCTTTTTCCAGCTCTAGAGGCTGCCTGTGTTTCTTGTCTTGTGGCCCCATTTCACTCTGACCTCTGCTTCCATTGTCACATGGCCTTCTCTGCCCTGACCCTCCTCTCTGCTTTTAAGGACTCTTGTGAGTACACCGGGCCTGCCCAAGTAATGTAGAGGAATCCTCTGATCTGAAGATCCTTAACTAAATCACACCTGTAAAGTCCCTTTTGCCATGTAAGGAAACATTTGGAGGTCTGGGAATTAGGACATGGACATCTTTGGGACACCAGTATTCAGTCTACTACAAGCTTTAAGAAATGTTTATTTTCAGTTATTTACAGTATAAAGTGGTATGCAGTTATCAATAAGATAAACAATGACATGTCATTATTTGGATTTTCCTCTCTGACATCAGACTAATGACCATTATCTTAGTAACTTCCAACAATAGGGTAATTTCTATAATAGTGAATCTGACTTTTGGTTAAAACAATATCATAAAGTTGTATGGTAGAGCAAATGATTGGGTGATGAGATTACATATGATTCCAGGACTCCTTGGTCCTTAGGGACTCTATACCATGAAAAGTATCCTGTACTGAGTGAGTGTTATACTCAATGAAGACAGTGCTTGAAAGGTGGACTGAAAATTTATTTCAAGGAATCTGAAATCCATAGCTTTTACAGAAATGTTGTCATTAGAACTATAGGTTTATCATATGTACCAAATAATTATCATATGGTTTAGTGGATGAAGCCAAATATGGCACTCAGAAGAAACAAATGAATAATTTAAGTTCAATGTGCATCTGAAGTATGATATGCTACCAGAAATGTTATTGGATATAAAGCTTGCTCAAAAATAATATTGTCTACATCAAGAAAAATAATTGTGCCAAACTTGGATCTGATCATCCACAATCTAGAATACTTCATTTGTTTCTAAGTGCTATGTTTTACAAGGAATGTTTAAAAACAGGGCAACATTTGAGAAGAAAGTTCGCAGAAAAATAATAGAGCCATATGAGTAATCTAAACAGGAAATTATTGAATAAGTATATTTGTGAGGAAGGTATGATAGCTCTTTTCAAATATGCAAAATTTGAAAGGGTGTGGTTAAGGGGGGAAGACAGATTAATGGGTCAAATTCAGGGGGAGATTGATCTTGCCTTGATAAAAAACCCAAAACTAAAGCTCAGAATTGTCTTTAGATTAATATGAGTTTGAATTGTAATAATTCCTACTTTTAAATTCCTTCAAGTTACCATAAAGTTCCAGAAATTTAACCTGAGACAGTTCAAAATACATCTTATTTGAATTAAATTTGAAATAAACAGTCGCACTATATTTGAAAAATATCCAAAACACTGATGCCTGTAGCAACTGATTTATATAACATTTATCAAGCAGATACTTAACTCAAACATCCAAGATATTTCTTTAAGATAGGCAGGTAAATAATAGGTTAGGAATAAAAAGTTTAGTTATATTCTAAAGTGTGATACTGATTTCTTAGTGCTTCATGATTACTGAAGCAGACATTTTACAAGTCATGCAAAATTACAATTATGACTTTGAGTAGTTTGCAGTCCTCAATTATGACACAGGTGTTTATATTCCTCTTGTAAAAACTAAATTGATGTAAGCCATCAAATCTGTCATCTATTCATTAATAACATCTATGGATAAGTTGGCTCTTTGAATATAATACAGCTGATGCTCAGATATTTTCTTTTAGTGCCTTTTGTATATATCTCTGTTATTGCATTGTATTAAAATACCTTGTTTAAAATGATTTCTGTTATATTGACTACATGATTAATTATGGGAAGGCAGAAATATACTTTACTCTGCTCTTTGTCCACATTTCCTCATCTAATTCTTGGTACAAAACAGGATTCAATAAATGTTGAATAAGTTGTAGTAATAAAGTTTATTAAACATAAATAAATTTGTGGTTGACTTTATTTAGATTAGGTACTGCTATAATAATGTTGAAACTTTCCCTTGTGAATGAGTGTTCAAAGATTTTCTACTCTTTGCTATATAATTTCATTCTTGCATGTCAGAGATCAAAAGTTGAAGTGCCTATAGGGACCCAGGCTAAGAAATAAGAAGAAATGAAAACTGGGCTAGACCAAGGAGTACATACACTGCCCCACCAAGAAGGTTCCAGAGCTGCTTAGCTCCAGCCAACTATTGCCACGGGGGACAGTGCAACCACATGTTCTAGGTGTTCAGGTAAAGATGAAAATCTGGATTTTTATATAAAAATTTTCAGTTTTTAAGTTATTGGCTACTGTGTGGACCATAAAAAACATGTCTTTGAGCCATGTTTCATTTGCAGGCAGACTGTTTTTGTCACCTCTGCTTTTAGGCCTTGAACACTGCTATGGACTGGAGAGAAAACACTCCAGATGAGAAGCATAACATGAATAATTTATACCTCATAAGTGATGTCCTAAATACAGAGAATAGACACTTCTTTTTGAGAAGGATGGGACATATTGGAAACAGATGGAGGTGAATATGGAGTGTGGTGGTTAGTCATACTGGGGAGAGCTACATTAGATAAGTTATGAAGTTTAGGACTATGTATTAGCCTGTTCCCAGAGACTGGGTAATTTATAAAGGAAAGAGGTTTAATTGACTCCCAGTTCCACACATCTGCAGAAGCCTCACAATCATGCCAGAAGGCGAATGATGAGCAAAGTTACATCTTATATGGCAGCAGGCAAGAGAGCTTATGCAGGGGAACTCCCATTTATAAAACCATCAGATCTCATGAAACTGACTACCACGAGAACAGTATGGGCAAAACTGCCCTCATGATTCAATCATCTCCACCCGGCCCTGTCCTTGACACATGGGGATAATTACAATTCAAAGTGAGATTTGGGTGTGGACATAGCCAAAGCACATATCATTCCACCCCTGGCCCCTCCAAGATCTCAGGTCCTCACATTCGAAAACCAATCATGCCTTCCCAATAGATCCCCAAAGTCTTAACTCATTTCAGCATCAACTCAGAGGTCCACAGTTTAAAGTCTTATCTGAGACAAGGCAAGTCCCTCCCACCTATAAGCCTGTAAAATCAAAAGCAAGTTAGTTACTTCCTAGATACAATGGGGGTACAGGCATTGGGATAAATACACCCATTCCAAATGGGAGAAATTGGCCAAAATGAAGGGGCTACCAGCCCCATGCAACTTCAAAATCCAGCAGGGCAGTCAAATCTTAAAGCTCCAAAATGATTGTCTTTGACTCCATGTCTTACATCCAGGTCATACTGATGCAAGAGGTGGGTTCCCATGGTCTTGTGCAGCTCTGCCCTGTGGCTTTGCAGGGTATAGCCCCCCTCTCAGCTGCTGGTGTTGAGTGTCTGTGGCTTTTCCAGGTGCACTGTCCAAGCTATCGGTGGATCTATCATTCTGGGGTCTGGAGGATGGTGGCCCTCTTTTCAGAGTTCTAGTAGGCAGTTCTTCAGTGGGGACTCTGTGTGGGGGCTTCAACCCCACATTTCCCTTCCACACTGCCCTAGCAGAAGCTCCCATGAGGGCCCTGACCTTGAAGCAAACATCTGCCTGGACATCCAGGCATTTCCACGCATCCTATGAAATCTAGGCAGAGGTTCCCAAACCTCAATTCTTGACTTCTGTGTACCAGCATGCCCAAAACCACGTGTAAGCCACCAAGGCTTGGGGCTTGCATTCTCTGAAGCAATGGCCTGAGCTGTATGTTCGCCCCTTTTAGCCATAGCTGGAGCTGAAGCAGCTGGGATGCAGGGCACCATGCCCCAAGGCTGCATGGAGCAGGAGTCCCTGGGCTCAGCCCATGGAGCCATTTTTCCCTACTAGGCCTCTAGGCATGTGATGGAAGGGGCTGCCATAAAGGTCTGTAACATGCTCTGGAGACATTTTCCCCATTGTCTTGGTGATTAACATTTGGCTCCTTGTTACTTATGCAAATTTTTGCAGCTGGCTTGAATTTCTACTCAGAAAATGGATTTTTCTTTTTTTTTTTATTGCATAGTCAGATTTTTATTCTCTGCTTCCTCTTGAATATTTTGCCACTTAGAAATCTGTTATGCCAGATACCTTAAATTATCTCTCTCAAGTTCAAAGTTCCACAGACCTCTAGGGCAGAGGCAAAATATCACCAGTCTTTTTGCATAACAAGAGTGACCTTTACTCCAGTACCCAGCAAGTTCCTCATCTCCATCCTAGACCGCCTCAACCTAGATTTCTTGTCCATATCACTATCAGCATTTTGGTCAAAGCCATTCAAAAAGTCTCTAGGACGTTCCAAACTTTCCCACATGTTCCCGTCCTCTTCTGAGCTTCCAAACTGTTCCAGCCTCTGCCTGTTACCCAGTTCCAAAGTGGCTTCCACAATTTTGGCTGTCTTTACAGCAGCACCCCACTCTATTGGTAACAATTCACTGTATTAGTCTGTTCTTATGCTGCTAATAAAGACATACCTGAGACTATGTAATTTATAAAGAAAAGTGGTTTAATTGATTCACAGTTCCACATAGCTGGGGAGGCCTCACAATCATGCTAGAGGGCAAAAGAGGAACAAAGTCACATCTTATATGGCAGCAGGCAAGAGAGCTTGTGAAGGGGAACTCCCATTTATAAAACCATCAGGTTTCATGAGACTTATTCACTACCACATATTCACCATATATTTCTAGGTACTGAAAATATTTAAAACATTGATGTAGACTTACAGTGTTAATTCCATTATGAATTATGGCTTCAGATATGTTTGGTTTTATCAGTGTGATATTTTCAAAACTTTTCAGTACTTTATTAAAGATGTACTTCTTTCTTAAATTACCTATCCCTTTTATATTCAGACACATTCATTACTTGTATGGCAAAACAACAAAAACAGAACCCGCTGGAGGGAATCTTGAAAGCAAATCACACTGGTTTTGCTTCACAAAAACATTGTCCACACATGAGTTTTACAAGAATAATATTCCTGAAATTTTACTTTGATGATTGAAATGGTTGAATAGATACTGTTTGTTCTTAGCAGGTTGAATAGAACTATGAGATCGAGTGAAGAAAAGAAAGTAGTTAAATAATGATATTGACAGTCGGAAAAACATTAACAACTGATATTATTGTAATGAAAATTTTGTTTTTTAGTAGAACTTCAAACATCAAAAAATTACTGGCCAGGTACAGTGGCTCACGCCTGTAATCCCAGCACTTTGGGAGGCTGAGGCAGGTGGACTACCTGAGCTCAGGAGTTTGAGATCAGCCTGGGCAACATGGTGAAACCCAGTCTCTGCTAAAATACAAAAAATCAGCCAGGCATGGTGGTGTGTGCCTGTAGTCTCAGCTACTCGGGAGTCTGAAGAAGAAGAATTGCTAGAACCCGGGAGGCGGAGGAGGTTGCAGTGAGCCGAGATCATGCCACTGCACTCCAGCCTGGGCAACAGGGTGAGACTCCATTTAAAAAAAAAAATTACTACATATTCAAAAAAGTTAAAAAAAAACAACCCTGTGTTTTGTTGCAATCAGTACTTGTTAAATGTCTAAAGAATTTTATGTTTTTCATTGGTTGATGTTTCATTTACATAATGACTCTATGCAATTGTCAATTACATTTTTCATACAGTTTATATATATTGCATCTCTATATATTATTGTAACCACTACTTGTTAGTTTTCTTAAGAATTTTATTTTCTGTTGGCCAATTTTCTTTTACATACTTACTCAAATATCAGTTATATTTTCTATGCAGTATATATATATGTATATAACATATATGCTTTTCCACAAAGCTATCTTGTTTTTATATAATTAGAGGGAATCAGAAAGATAAGTTCCCTCTAATTATATAAAAACAAGATAGCTTTGTGGAAATGCATATACGTTATTTATATATGTATTATATATATATATGTTGAGTTGGAGGAATAAAGGAAAAGTAATTAAAGAAAATATTTTTCAGAATGAAGCTGTATGAAAGCTTAAAAGTAAACTGTAAAAAAGAAAAGATGAGGATTGGATGGCTGTCTTAAATACAGATTGCCATGGAGATAATGGCTATTTCACAGGCTCAGAGATAGAACTCTTGAGCAGCAGATTTTTCCCCTCCAGTTTCTGTGGCAATGTGATTGGTAGAGATGCAGGTGCATTATCAGCTTGCCGATACTGCCCTGGAGCGACTGATGGAGATAATTACGATTTCTAGTAGGAAAATTTCCCTAGAGATGATTTGTTATAAAAAGATAAAATGTATATTAATGTCCTTCCACACCATGACCTTGGTTTTGAATTTTAGATTTCCAAGTATTTCACTGGAAAACTCCAGTCTTACTTGGGTTTGATTCTTTGACCTCAGGTCTCAAGGTTTTACTTTTTACTTTGGTTTATTGAGTCTTTTTAGGTTTGTAATGGTTATGTTTTCTCTTTTTAGGTGTGGTGAAAACCTGCAGAAGACTGACAGTAATGAAAGTGGCTTGAGAAAAAGTGAGGATATTTGCAGATTGAAAAAAGAAAAACAACTTCCTATTTGGGGGAAAATCTCAGTGATGAAAAAAATTGTCTCAGGAGGATTTCCCAGCATCATAATCTTCCTGAACACTGAATTCTCTAGTTAACTACAGAAATCATGTGTTACATAAAGATAAGATGGTCAAGGAAGGAAAAGATCTTACAATATATTGCTAATAATAATCCCTGAGGGAATAATTTTAAATGATCTCTTAATGTGACAAGCAGATTTTTAATGATTTTCTTATCTTGAATCCATAAAACACAAGTCCTAGGGTGTCATAATAAATACAACTGAGCTAAAATTTGATTTCCCAGGTGCACAGGATTTTATTTAATATGGAATGTTCTACATCATCATTGGAATTCCCATTGCTCAGCCTTCATTTCTATCTATACCTATGGGGATCATAAACAATCTTTTAATTGAAGTGATAATCCATAATAGCATTGATGGTTGGTGTATAAGCAGCAGAAACTGTAATGTGAAAATGCTTCAAATTTAATAGTGGTAACTGTTGAATTTTAAATTTTGTACTTTTTATCATAGATAAAAATGTAATTAGAAATTTTAATTAAATGCAAAAGTAATAAAAGTTGCTTGTCACATAGAGGGTAAAGTCTCAAAATATATTTAAATATTCCTTTTCACCAAAAGAGTATTAATAATTAATAATTTCATAATCTCATACCAAAATTCAATTCCGATTCTCACATGAGAAATTCTGCATTTTTAAAGCATTATAAGACTAACAAAATTTGTTCTTTTTTAATGATATAAAATGCTTGTCCATAAATAATAAATTTATTATCTTAGGAACCTTCAAAAATCCTTCAAATCTGACTCTTGGAAAAAAGTAAATGAGTTATTTTCTTCCGTGTACTGAACAATTTGTTCCTCTTGATGAACCACAAATTAAAACAGAAGAAAACACACAGACACACACCACACACAGAGACATACACAAAGGCACACACAAGACACAGATAGACAAACACAACTTTACTAACAGCATTGCTGTACATAAAAGTGATTTTTTGGAAGAGTGGATGTCTTTGTGTGTTTAGATAAGGATTTGGTAAATCAAGAAGGCTGTGACTCCCAGAGTGTAAATCAGAATCTTTGTGGCATATACGAGGTCAGGGGAAAATTATCGTGTGCACTCCAGTTCAGTAACAACAGAAAAGTGGATTACAAAGTAGGTACTTTTTTTTTTAAATGAAGGATCTTGAAAATCTTTTAATATTCATCAAAAATTACCAAGAAAGGTTACATTTTCTTCTTAGGAAAATATAAAAAAGTTTACTTTGCTATGAAATCTTTGTTTTTAAGAAAGTCTTCTAGCACTAGCATTCCAAAAACTTCACTTTGGAAGTCACTATCTGCAACAAAGAACAATATCAATTGTGAGCCCTTGAATAATGGCATTCACAGAGAGACACTGACAATACGCATATTCAGAGATATACCATCTCTGCTTGCCAGCACCTATGGGCACAAAGAAGCTGAAGTTTGGTTAAAGAAACGGCCAGGGCAAGGAATGAAGTTTTTGTAATTATGTTTCCAAGAGAATAGGCTGGTCTTGAATGCCTGAGCTCAAGAGATCTACCCACCTCTGCCTCCCAAAGTGCTGGGATTATAGGCATGAGTCATCGTGCCCAGCCTACCTGCAGCAGAGTTTAAATACTTGATAAAAAATTTAATCCAAGGTTAAATATTTTGAAAAAAGAGACATCAGTAGGACTTGAGATTGTGACTGATTTATTTACATTCAGATGTATGCTTGTATGCTTTCTCATTTCGAAAAAGATTTGAAGCAGTTGCTATAAACACTAACAGACAAGATGTTATCAGCAAAAGTGAATGGAAAATGTACATATAAAAGAATACTGATGTTGATTTGATTATAATAATAAACCAACTAAGTAGTCACAAGAAAGTGATTAAGAGGTCAAGGGTAGTAAAAGAGTCAGACAATATAAGAAATATATAGAGTGATGAGGGTGCATGACAGTTTTTTTATATTCCTATAATGTAGCAGCATGTAGTGAGTATATTTTTCTTTATTTCATAGAGCACTGCACAATACTAAAAACTCACAGAGCAGAACTGAGAGAAATTGAGACCCCGAAATCCATACAAAGAATCACCAAAACCAAAAGTAGTTTTTTTTTTGAAAGGATAAACAAGATCAATATACTGCTAGCTAGATTAACAAAGAAAAAGAATATCCAAATAAGCACAATCAGGAATGACAAAGATAACATTATAACCAATCTTACAGAAATACAAAAAATTCTCAGAGACTATTATAGAACTCCTGTATGCACATGAAGTAGAAAATCTAGGGAAAATGGATAAACTCCCAGAAACACACAACCTCCCAAGATTGAAACAGGAAGAAACTGGAACCCTAAGCAAACCAGTATCAAGTTTCAAAATTGAATAAATAAATTAGTAATAAAAAACCTACCAACGCAAAAAGCTCCTGACCAGATGGATTCACAGCTGAATTCTACCAGACATACAAAGAAGAGCTGATACGAATTCCACTGAAACTATTCGAAAAAAAAAAAACAAGGAAGAGGCATTTCTTCCCAACTCATTCTATGAAGCCAGCATCACTTTCATACCAAAACCTGGCAAAGATACTATGAAAAATGAAAACACAGGCCAACATCCCGATAAACATAAATGCAAAAATCCTCAACAAAACACTTGCAAGTTGAATCCACAGCGCATCAAAAAGTTAATTCACTAAGATCAAGAATGCTTGATTACTGGGATGCTGGGTTGGTTCGACAAATGCAAATCAATGAATGTGATCACTGCATAAAGAGAATTAAAAACAAAAGCCATATGATCATCTGAATAAATGCAGAAACAGCCTTTGATGAAATTCAACATCCCTTCATGATAAAAACCTTCACCAAACTAGGCATTGAAGAAACGTACCTCAGAATAATGAGTCATCTATGACAAACTCACAGCCAACATCATATTGAATGGACAAAAGCTGGAATCATTCCCCTTGAGAACTGGAACAAGACAAGTATGCCCACTCTCACCACTCCTATTCAAGATAGCATTGAAAGTCCTAGCCAAAGCAATCAGGCAAGAGATATAAATATAAGGCATCTAAATAGGAAAAGAAGAAATCAAGTTGTCTCTCTTCACTGACAATATGATTCTACATCTAGAAAGCTCTAATGATACTGCCAAAAGGCTCCTGAAACTGATAAAAATGATTTCAATAAAGTTTCAAGATACAAAATAAATTTATAAAAATTAGTGCCATTTCTATGCAACAATAATGTTCAAGCTGAGGGCCAAATCAAGAATGCAATGCCATTTACAATAGTCACACAAAAATTACCTAGGAATACAGCTCACCAAAAAGGTGAAAGATGTCTACAAAGAGAACTACAAAACACTGCTGCAAGAAATCAGAGATGACACAAATAAATGGAAAAACATTTCATACTCATCAGTATTGTTAAAATGGTCATAATGCCCAAAGCAACCTACATATTCAACACCATTCCTATCAAACTACTAATGCAATTTTTCACAGAATTAGAAAAAAACTATTCTAAAATTCATGTGGCACCAAAAAAAGACCTGAAGAGCCAAAGCAATCCTAAACAGAAAGAACAAGCCATGAGACATCATGTTACCAGACTTCCAAGTATACTATAAGGCTACAGTAACCAAAACAGCATGGTTAAAAACAGACACACAGACCAATGAGACAGGATAGAGAACCCAGAAATGAAGCCCCACACCTGCAGCCATCTGATCTGCAACTAAGTCTACAAAAATAAGCAAGTGGAAAGGACTTTCTATTCAATATATGTTGCTGGGATAGCTGGCTAGCCATATGCAGTAGAATGAAACTGACCCCTACGTTTCATCATACATAAAATTGAACTCAAGATCGATTAAAGATTTTAATATAAGACCACAGACTATGAGGATGCTAGACAAAAACCTAGGAAACACCATTCTGGACATCAACCTTGGCAAATAATTTATGATTAAGTCCTCAAGAGCAATTCCAACAAAAACTAAAATTGACAAGTGAGATCTAATTAAACTAAAGGGCTTCTGTACAGCCAAAGAAACTATCAACAGAGTAAACAGACAACCTACAGAGTGGGAGAAAATATTTGCAAACTATGCATCCAACAAAGGTCTAATGTCTAGAATCTATAAGGAACTTAAATAATTTAACAAGAAAAAAAATCCCATTAAAAGGTAGTCAAAAGACATGAACAGATACTTCTCAAAAGAAGACATACAAGCAACCAACAAACATATGAAAAAACACTCAACATCACTAATCATAAGATAATTGTAAATCGAAGCCACAATGAGATACTATCTCACACCAGTCAGAATAGCTATTATTAAAAAGTCAATACACAACAGACATTGGTGAGGCTGAGGAGACAAGGGAACGCTTATACATTTGGTGGGAATGTAAGTTAGCTTAGCCACTGTGGAAAGCAGTTTGGAGATTTCTCAAATAACTTAAAATAGAACTACCATTTAACCCAGCAATCTTATTACTGGGTATATATCCAAAAGAAAATAAATCATTCTACTGAAAAGACACATGTAGTCTTTTGTTCATCGTGATGCTATTCACAATAGCAAAGACACGTAGAATCAACGGCAGATTGGATAAAGAAAATGTGGTACATACACAGCATGGAATACTACACAGCCATAAAAATAATGAAACCATGTCCTCTGCAGCGACCTGGATGCAGCTCAAGGGCATTATTCTAAGCAAATTAATCAGGAAATATTGCATTTTCTCACTTATAAGTGGGAGTTAAACATTGGGTATGTACGGACATAAAGATGGGAACAGTAGATAATGAGAAATGAGGTCAAGGGTAGTAAAAGAGTCAAACAATATAAGAAATATATAGAGTGATGAGGGTGCTTGAAAGTTTTTTTTATGTCCCTATAATGTAGGCAGCATGTAGTGAGTATATTTTTCTTTATTTCATAGAGCACTGCACAATACTAAAAACTCACAGAGAAGAACTGAGAGAAATTGAGACCCCGAAATCCATACAAAGAATCAACGAAACCAAAAGTAGTTCTTTTTTTGGTTGAGAAATACTGGAGGACAGAGGATGGCGTAAAGGGTTGAAAAACTTACTACTGGATACTATGCTCACTACCTGGGTGACAGGATCAGTGGTACTCCAAAACCTCAGCATCAGACAATATACCCAGGTTACAAACTGGCACATGTACTCACTGAATATAAAATAAAAGTTGAAATAAAAGAAAAAAAAGACCTGGTAAGAAAAAACAAAAAAATAAAAAAAAAACTACCAAGGAAAACAAGGTGATGAATACAGACCAACATTGTCAATAATGAATTAGAAAGTACTAAAACACATTGTATGATCTAATTGCATTTATTTACTGCAGAGCAGTAGATACTTGTTAGTCTCCTCAATGTTTGTCTTCCCTCTGTAAAAAATGCCTTTTCATACGCCAGTAATAAACTTTAGAGGTCAATGTTTAGACTCCATGGATTTCAGATTCAATCTGATTCAGATTCTCTCTTCTAGGAACTTGAAATTGGGGTTTGCAGAAGTAATGAGTCTCTTCAGACTACCTGTACGCTGGTTGCTCAAAAACTGTAGGAGAGCATTTTTTTTTTCTAGGTGGATGGTTGGAAAAGCAGAGAAAGATGGATCTATCCAATAACAAGAACCAAAAACCACACAATTGTAACCTGAGAGGTGGAAATAAGAAATTATGAGATCCTAGAGAAAAATAAAGCAGCTTTAAAACAAAAACAAACAAACAAACAAAAAACAAAAACAACAACAAAAAAGCACTCCTGTTAAGTTCTGCATTTGATCATACAACTCAATTTTGGGTCCAAAGAAAAAAGAACTTAAATTAATTTTTGCTTAAGCTAGAAGAGTTTATGTTCTTGTAAGAAAAAGTGTGCTGATCAACACAGTGATATATGCAAATTCCTAAGATGGATATCACATTTTAAATTATATTGGATGATCCATATAGTTGTCAAGTACAGGCTTCTGTTAATTTAGAAATTTTGGAAACATTATCCTAAACTGTATAGGTTCCATGATTAATTCTAAATGGAAGTAATTTATACTGGATGAATTAAAGTAAAATGCATGCAAAATATAATTGATGTGTAAAATATCTCATGAATAAAATTTGAGACATAATGGTAAAGCAAAAATTAACAAAATGAAAAACTGGCCTAAGATGGACCAAGGCCCAAACTGAAATAATGAAAAAATTGCCTTCCAGACCAAAACCTAGTTCACACACAATGTTAGAACAATAAAAAGGCTATCTGAATGGACAAGACTGGAAGATAGTGTCTTGCATTCTGGCCATGGTAGAATGTCAGCCAAGAATTAAATTTATTGCAAGAAAGCTGGAAAATTAGTTGAGTTTTTCCATAGAAAAGAAATAAAGGAGCTGAATGGAAGGATATTGATTGGCTAGATTACAAAACACAACTGTAACTTGGTTCTTTTTAGTAGGTACCTTATGTAATTTGGTGTTCTGATTGATGCCTTTAATATTAAAATTCCTATTTAATAAAAACATGGTCCTTCTGGCTTTTGGATAGTTTCTATTTTATCTTATCTCATTATCCATCTTTTCCTCCTTTTCTTCCTCCATTCTACTTTACTTTCTTCTTTCATCTTTCTTCTAATTTTTTATTTAAAATTATATACATATGATCACATAATCGACATCTGTAGTTTAAAGAGCACATAGTTCTATAAGATTTGTTAAGAAATACATCAGTTCAGAGCATTCACGTTTCTTTTTCCCTGAAGCACTCCTTTTTAACTTTTTTAGTTGATTCTTCGGGTATTTATCTTCATAGCTCAGTAAAACTTGCTTGCATTGTTACTTAGTTTTTCAGTTTCGTGCATTGATTTTTGACAATAAAGGATAAGGATTTAGCCTTTATCCTTCTTGCCTCTCCTCTACTGCCACCCACACTTCTTATTGTTGTCTTATTGTATCCTTTTTAATTATGTTGCAGCCTAGGTTTAGTTGGAGCCCTTAGTGTTTACATCATTATCATGCTCTAACTTAAATCTCTTAGTGAACTAGGATTATTACATTTTCTCTCTTAAAAAACACAAATTTTTTTGGTATGGACTTAATTTTTGTTCATTTAGTTTTCTAGATACATTTTACTGTTCAACCTTAAACGCTTTGTCAATTATTCACATCTCCTCATCATCAAATTAATATTAAAGAAACCTCTTCTAGATCCTCAGACCTGGATCACCCTGGGCTAGGTCGGTTTCTACTGTACCTGGCACACAACAGTCCTCTGGACACATCTTTTCATGCTCATCCTGGGGATTCCTTTGGACTGTTTTCTCAGTGAGTTCTCCTATTCCTATCAGCCTCTCATGCATTCCTTTTTTCTTTTCTTCCTAGTTTCAGAGGAGCATATTATCTAGCAGATTTCTGGAAAAGTGTCTGTGGAAGGTGAAATTGCTGAGAACTTGGAGGTCTGAAAATGTCTTCACCTTTCCATTGGACAGATAATTGATATAGATTTTAAGTGGGACATAATTTTTCTTTAGCGTAAATAATTTTCTAGCTTCTAATGCTGTTGAGAAATCTGAAAATACCTCTTTGTCTTTTTAATGTGATCCATTGTTTTTCTTCTATGAAATCTTACATAATTTTTTTCTGTTCCTTGTTTCTAAAATGTTAAGATTATGTGTCTTGGAGTGGGTCTACTTTTATCCATTGTGTTGGGCATCAAATGAGATCTTTTGAGTTGGAAACTTTAGTTGTGACAAATTCTCTTGAATTATTTTATTTATGATTTGTTTTTCTCTCTATTTTCTGTTTCTTGAGTTCCTATTAACAGGATGTTGGGAAAACTGGACTATTTTTCATAACTATCTTTCTTTTTCTTATTTTCTTGTTTTTACTTGCTCCAATTTCATATGAGATTTTATCTTTAAAACAAAAAACTTTCCATTGAGTTTGATAGGTAGGGAGGACCATGACCCTAGTGTGAGGACCAGGGATGGCAAATCGAGGAAGAGCTTGACGTTGGGCAGCATATGGAGGAGTGGGACCCTGGATAACACAGAAACCTCGGTCCCATGAATGCCGTTAGATTGGTAAGAAGACACACATCCAAGCAAACCTTGGTATTATTCTTAAATTCTAAGATTAAAGAGAAATATAAGCTTCTAGGAAGAAAAAAACATTAGCTACAAAGAATATATAATATCGGCAGAGTATTGAACTTCTTTATGCAACAGTGGAATTGCATATCAAGGCTATTGTGAGGAAGTAGAAACCTAAAACCTAGGATTCCTATATTAATCTCAGATTAAAGTTATTTGTCAGAGCAAATGAAAATTAGTTTAGAATATCCAGAATATCAGAAAGTATATCATGTTTCACATACTTCTAAGAAAAATACTTTAAAACTGTATTACAAACAAAAGCAAATAAACCAGAAAAATCTCTTTTTAGAGGAATAAACAAAATAATATTTTAGCCATAAACTGACGAGGTTGTAAAGGACAAAAAATTGGAAGTTGGAAGTAGATTAATTGTTGATAACAGAATTAGGGGACCCTGGAAAGTAATTCCCCAACTAGCAATTGTGAAAGACAAGAACTAACCTGCAGAATCTTTAAAAGTCTCAGAAAATTGAGGCTACTGTTATCTCCAGAAACAGTGGTAAAATAGGGTGGGCACATTGGCTTATGCCTGTAATCCCAGTGCTTTAGGAGGCTGAGATGGGATTATTGCTTGAGGCCAGGAGTTTGAGAACAGCCTGGGCAACATAGCAAGATCCCATGTTTACAAAATAAAAATTTAAAAATTAGCTGGGCATGCTAGCTACTTAGGAGGCTGAGGTGGAAGGATCACTTATTTTTCAGAAATAAACCAAAATGAAATTCTGCATTTCTCCTATCCCAAGTCTTCTTAATTTATGCCTTCATAATGATATTTTATTCCTTACAAGCTTTAATCAATAAAAAGAAAGCCGAGCTTCTCAGTTCACAAGAGCTTCCCCTGACAGAGGGCATCTTATTAATGCTAGGTCACAAAAAGAGAGTTTTCCACCCAAAGATGCATCTCTTCAGTATCAGCCATAAGGCTAAACAGAGGGAATGCGTTATGAAAACTCTAAATGGAACCAGAGTTTGGTTCAGGAACACAAAGTAGAGGATCAAGACTTTAGATAAGGGGAATAAGGACTGTGGAAAATACCTTGAAATATCCATGGATATTTGCAGCTAACTTCAATTTGCTAACAACTCAGGGAACTCTCTGTGTAAAGAATCCTCAATTAAAGAGGCAGAAATGGGACAGACCCTCTCTGCAACACTCGAAGTCTTTAATTTGGTGCCATTATGTAACAAATGAAGAAAAGTTAGGTGGAAAATTTAGGAATGCTTATAGTTTCTGTAACAACCTTTAAAGTAATATTAAATTTTGTTTGATGGATAAAGTCATTGATATAATTCTGTCTTCGGTGCTTGCAAGACGGTGTTTGTATATAAGAGTGTATTTGTGCTTTGTGTTAGAACAATTGATATTTCTAGATTACTAAATAAAGCACTATAGCAATAACATTTATAATCAGGAACAAAACAGAATGAAATAATAGAAACATTTAAAAATTTTTCTATGAGTGCTATACATGGTTATTCATTTACTATAATCTTCACCCTTTTAAAATGTACTATAGGGACCTCCAAGTTTGACCTGTTTAAATAAATTCTTACCTACAGAACAGAAACAAGCACAATTCACGTTCATGAATAATTCTGCACGGTAAAAAATAACAAACCAGACTACACCCTTTTTATATTGGAGATTTCTCCCTTCCTCTCCCTTTCTTTAAACTCCTCTGTGTTGTGCATACATTACTATATCATGTAGTTATTCTTAGCAAAGTTTACATAAGCTCGAACCATCTTGGCAACTTTTCTTTAGTAAATGCAGACTAAAAACATGAAAACTGTGACAGTGCTGTTGGAAAAAAAATAGGTCCCAAATAGTGCATGTCATAATGAAAGGAAAGGTAGCTTTGAAGAGGCATGTGACATGTTTGCAACTACAGCTCAGATATGCCTCTTGGAAAGTAATAATAATTGCCTATACACAGGAGAAAGGTTTCTTTGCAGCTTCAATGACATAGGCCTTTGAAGAAAAGATTTCTTCTGACATATGCATTTCATAGTACTTACGAATAAAAAGAAAGGTGAAACTCATGTGGCTATTCTTATCCAAGGTATATATACACACTCCGGGATATTGTTATGTTATCTGACAGTCATTAAATCTCAAAACTTCAATTCAGGGATCAAATAACCAGACACTTAAAAAACAAAGCTGACAGAAAAAACACAAAGCAACCTCAAAAAGGTCATGCCTCAATAACTAGGTTAAGTTTTTGAGATACTGTACTGTTGCATTCAACTTAGACCTGAATCTTACATAGTTTGAAAGCATATGACAAAGTTCCAAATCAGTGATTCTTGCTGAAGCTATGAAGGCATACTGCAAAAACATAAAATTAGTTTGTTGTTCTGAAAAAGTGACTAAGAGAGAGGGAATCAATATTAACACAAGAGTCATAATGTTGGGGAAAAACCTCTCGTTTTGTTATCTGAGAAAGAGTGAATGAATTGGCAGAATGAAAAGACATTTATTTGTGCAAATAAATGACTAGGATGAAGAGTAAAGGTTTTCTAGTATGGTATTGCATGTGCACTCATGCATATTTTCAGACATGATTCAGAAGTGGAGAGACGTGATTGGCTGTCGATCTGGCATCAAGGCTAGAGGATGAAGGGCGCGTAGGAATCTTTTCCTTCCCACCAGATTATTGAAGGAAAAAAATGCTGTTATAATTTGGCCCCAATTTATGTCTACCTCAAAATCCTTTTCAGATCTCTAATATTAAAAATAAAAAAAAGACTCTTCTCCCAGGCTTGCTTTTCCTGACCTCTTATTTAAGCCAAGAAGAGAGAGGGAGACACTGGGCCACTAAAAAAAATTAGTGATTGGTCGGGTGCTGTGGCTCATGCCTGTAATCCCAGCACCTTGGAAGGCCGAGGCAGGCGGATCATGAGGTCAGGAGATCCAGACCATCCTGGCCAACATGGTGAAACCCCGTCTTTATTAAAAATACAACAATTAGCCAGGTGTGATGGTGCGCACCCTTAATCGCAGCTACTTGGGAGGCTAAGGCAAGAGAATTGCTTGAACCCGGGAGGCAGAGATTGCAGTGAACCGTGATTGCACCACTGCACTCCAGCCTTGCAACAAAGTGAGACTCCCTCTCAAAAAAAGAAACAAAAACAGTGATTTTGTTATTATTAAGTAATAAATCATGAGAGAGAATAAACACATCATCTCTAGGTACAGAATTTTTTAAAAAAACAATAGAATGTATAGATGCAAGTGATAACATTTCTAAGACTCTTATATCTGATTGTGTTAAGTGATGTCCAGGTGTTTGGGAAGGTCCATTTCCCATGATTTTCATTGTCCCATAGATAAAGTGCAGAAGAATTTCTCTCTTTACTAAATTTATTACCAAAGAAAGCAGATGAGTTGGGTCTGGGGCATTCATTGGGCTGTGTTACTAGGGAGTAGAATATTAGTGAGAGGAGTATAATGATGTTTTTACGGAAGCACTCTGTGCCTTGGTTTCTTGGAGTGTTTTCTGTGGAATTGCCTTTTACCAACAGCATCCTCAATGTTTTACCTATCATATTATGGCAGAAAATGACACAATTTTCTGGGCACTTAGTGTTAATGAAGGAGATTGCTTTCAGCTCCATATGACCAGTCCAGGGGCACAAGCTGCCCAAAACCAAGCCCTTTTGCTGCCAGGGCTAATCACCATATCCTTATATTAGTAACTCTTGCCGACTACACCAGTGTGACAGGGAAAGCAGAAAAAAGGCTGCCTAACTCACTGAGAGAATACATTGAAATTTGGTATAAAATAACAATAAAGAATTTGCATTTTCCACTGCATTCCTTTGTGCATTTATGCCATATTTGAGAATCTTTTGGAGAAGGAGGGACAGAGGCAAGACAGGGTTCCAGATGGAGGAATTAATAATTTATCCTAGAGGTGCATGTTGGAGCAACTGATTCAGGCAATGTACATTGTCACATTATAATAGCAGCAAAGGGGTGGTTATGTAAAGATGAAATCATTCACTCCATTTGGTATTTTGTATTTATCTTTTGAAGGTTACACCCACTTTGGAGGTTTTATTTAAATAAAGTTAAGGCTGGGCACGGTGGCTCACGCCTGTAATCCCAGTACTTAGGGAGGCCGAGGCGGGTAGATCATGAGGTCAGGAGATTGAGACCATCCTGGCTAACACGGTGGAACCCCGTCTCTACTAAAAATACAAAAAAAAAAATTAGCTGGGCGTGGTGGCGGGCGCCTGTAGTCCTAGCTACTCGGGAGGCTGAGGCAGGAGAATGGCGTGAACCCAGGAGGTGGAGCTTGCAGTGAGCTGAGATCGTGCCACTACTCTCCAGCCTGGGCGACAGAGCGAGAATCGGTCTCAAAAAAATAAAATAAAATAAAAACACATAAAATAAATAAATAAATAAATAAAGTTAACATGCATTTTCTTTTCTTCTTTTTTTTTTTTTTTGAGTGTCTTTCATATTCTGGGTCCCAAGATAGGGTCTAAAGGAAATTAAGGGTAAATAATAAGGCAGTCAGCCTGACTTTAAAGCTCACATGATAGTATCCTCAATAGCTAGTTTATCTCATTCCTGAGATGCTGTTATTACAAAAGAACTTCTCATTTTTAAAAATATGCACCATATTTTTCTGTCTTTTCATCAAGGACAGAATGTACAGCTATATATATCCTACACCCAAAATGCCTTATAATTACGCACACACACAAACAAACACACTACTTATCTTTCTACCTACTTATGCAGGAGAAGCCGTCCAGAAAATGTGTCTATTTTTGGCTGTAGGATTACCATACAAAAAAAAAATGCGAAACATTTTACCTTCTCCTCTGCTAAAAAACCAAGAGCTTTGAGACCTGGAAACCCAGATTACTTTTTATCTGGGAATAAAGGTAAGAGGTCCCTCCACTGAAATTCTAGACTCTTGGAAAGGGGAATAGCTCTTCTTGAGGTAAAAGTGATTTTATGGCAGGGTGTGTGGGTTCCTTGAAAGGTGGAGACCTGTGTTTTTCTTCATGAAAAGAAACTCATGAAGATTCAGCCCACTGAGGGACGTGGTGCCTGGTTTTCAGGAGAACTGGATCCCAAGACCCTTAGCCTGGGTTGTTCACAGAAGCTTCCTTGGAGATCATGTTTGGCTTGGAGCACATGGATGTCATAATTTCAGAGCTGCTTACCTGCAAATAGAACACTCAGGTTCTGGCAAGAACAAATAGACCAAGCCTTCTTTTCCCACTCTTTCTACACTGTGATTCTCTAGATCTAATATAATCCCAAGAACAACAGGAAAAAAAAACTTTGCAAAAAAAAAAAAAAAAAGAGTATGGATTTTCTGCCAACTTTGCTGCTTGGGAGTGGAGTTGAATATAATTTGATTTTAAAAAAATTATTTTTCTCATACCAAAGTATCATGAAACAAATGTGTACCAATTAGACAAACATAAATACATATGTTATAGAAATGTCTCCCTCTGCAGATGTTCAGCAACATTCTGAAGAAGTCAGTTAGGACCAAATAAGACAAAAAAAGGGGTGTTATAAAAAACAAAAAACCAAACAACTGCTATTTGGTTACAATAGACGATTGAGCATTGAGGTTAAATAAAGAACATTCTCTCAACTGCCTGTGGAGCACAGTAGATCTCATTTTTGAAATGTTAACTTTTCAAATGAGATCCATTGTGCTCTCTCTTATGGGGGCTTTGCCATGTTTCCAGATCTTTATGAAGGGACAGAAATATATGTTATCAGTTACAGGCAGAGGATGGTAGCAGAGAGCTCTTTTCACATTTAAAGTTTGACCCATATTCAGCCAAAAACTTAGGCATTTCATGTTTTTAGCTGTTTCTGATGTATTAACTCTTTTCGCATTATCACAACATTTTAATACTTCATTTACTTAAAGAAAAGAAATAAAAGCAAGAGAGTCAGGTGTTAGCTGGTGGTATTGTGTGGTTGTATTAAAGCATCAGAAATTGTCTGATCTTACTAAATTGATTGTCTTACCTTTGGGGACCAGATTATTTTAGATCACTGTATCTAATTAAAAGGTCTGCAAAAATGAATTTGAATGTAAGGGGCTAAATAGCTTTGCAATTTAGATTATAAATTAAACTGAGTTGTTATATACTGTATTTTCAGTTCTACTCAATGGATTCATAACTATCACTAGATATGTAAGAGTTATAGACTCGATTTATAGTATACACATTCTTGCCATACATCATAAAACTAATTGTGAAGAGCAGTGTAATAAACAGAATGAAGCTCATTGCTTTCACTTTGAGGAGAACTTAATAGAAAGAGCATTTTCAGTTTATAAAATTAGCTTAATTTGTGTGGGGTGATAAACTCCAGGGAGTAAGGGGGCAATGGTTAAGGAAAAAACAAAGTATGGTCTCATTTTGGCAAGTAAAGCAAAATCTTTTCCTTGGTGTATTATCCCAGCCTGTCTTCATGGAATCATTGAGAGGAGAGCTATTATAATACAGAAGTAAAAATGCACTGCTGAAAACAGCAGAAGAGATTCATTTTTAATAAAAAGGAAAAACAATAAGAGGTATATAATGTCAAAAGAACAGGAGCATGTTTCACCCTCTCTAATGACAGAGAAGAATTTTTTCTCACTGTGAGATATTAGACTAGTCTTTTTTTTTTTTTTTAAACTACCTGCCTTATTAACAGCATGTGTTTGGGGACTTTGTATTACCTAGATTAACACCGTTTCAGCAGGTGTGCTAATACCCTAGCCTCAGAAGTCACGTTCCTGTAACTGAAAGGCAAATAAGCAGGGTGGCTAAAAGTCTCCTTTGAGGTCAACTTAGTAGAACACATGGTTTCATTGATTAGAACATGCCTAAGGAATGAACTTCTCATTTGCAATTTGGGAAGCACACGTTTCTTCTGGAATACATTTTTTTTAAACTTTCTGCTCACGGTTGACCTCACCTTTTTTGTTTAACCAAACCCATTAATCAAACATATCCCAGAGGTGGCTAATGATCTTTTAGAATTCTAATATAAGCAGAAAGTCAAGGACAGTACAAATTGATTCACAACACCCACCTTATTAGGCTTACGATGCTGTAAGTGCTTCCCTCATCTTTTAAGAATAACAGCCAATCTGGTCAGCAGGGCTGCTGTTACAACGATAAGGATTTTACGCACCTGTCTACAGATTCAACAATCAAAAATGCCTCTGCATTTCTTACAAAGTAGTTTGATGAAAATCTCTTCAGAATAAGTTATCATCAAATTATCCTTTCTAATATCTGAAGATGCTTATACACATAAAACTACCCAATACAAGATACTTATATCATTGTGAAAAACACTTTTCTTCTGCAATACTTCAATTTGAAAAAAATTCATGTCCCTTTTCTGTATTAAACTTATATAGAACAATTACTAAACATAGGAAAAAGAATAAAAATATAAATTGTTAGAATTGACTGGTGAATCTGTAAGCTGCTCTGATGAATTAGTGGCCTTAGTTCAGCTTTGCAGATGCACGTTTGGATCCTCAACAGCTATTTCTTCAAGAAATCAAAAAATAATTAGTTTTTCTGTGAAATAGAGAGACAATTTTTTTCTATAGGCCATTTTATTGACAGCCTCTGTTATCTACCTATCACTCTATTACATAAACAGAACACAAGAGCGATTGAGAGAGAGGGATAGAGATAGATAGATGATAGACAGAATGACAGATAGATGATAGATAGATAGATAGATAAAGACAGAGTGAGAGAAAGACAGAGAAAGACAGCTGTGGGAGGGGAGAGAGATTCAGTGGATTCAGTGATCTTAGAAGAGATAGGCCATCTAGGTTTCCCCAGTATAAGACTATAAATGAATATAATTCATTTTTAGTTCAAATCTAATCAAAGGGTAATACTTGGAAGAAATCTTTTCTTTGTAGCTAGAACAAAATGCCTTTAGCAAGAAGCCAGCTTAGTTGAAAATAAACTCTGATACACTTGCTGCAGAGACAAAGGGGTTTCAGGCTTGATCCCAGTTTTTCAGTAAGAGAGAAAAGTTGCTATTCAAAGTAAATAGCAGAGGAAGGAAAAACAGAGCCAAGATGAAGTTTATAGCTAGGGCTACATTATGTCATTTTCAGCATAATGTTTAAGTATTCAAAAAATATGGTATTTTTGACTTTAAAGATGTTTTTCAACTATAACGATGTGGCATAATATTTATAAATTCCAAAAAACACATTTTGCTGAAATATTAATCATAGGTTTTTCCTTTTTTAAATATTTCTATGATCTTCTTTAAATGTAAATTAGATCATGTCTTATGCTTCCCTTCAAAATTATCTTCTGAGGCTTTCTATGACATCTCGAATAAAGTCCCAGTCTCTGCCTATGGTTTTCAAGGCTTTATAGGCCCTAGCACTTGCTCTCAAACACATCTAGTAGCCCTTGCTTCCTAGTATTTGAACTTGCAGTTCTTTCCGATAAGACCTCCCTCTCCCTTACTCTTCACAGGCCTAGGTCCTTCTTCTCCAAGTCTCTGCCTTAGAAGGCCCTTCTGTGATCACTGTGTCCAAGCCAGCAGCCTTCCAGTTATGCTTTATCTGTACTCCTTAGTTCTTTTTCCTACAGAAATTATCTGTCTTGGACATTTTAAAATTCAACTTTCATTTTACTTATTATCCTCCCTTCCCCCAGCATCTATATGTCTATCTCTTATCCTGGGAAATAAGCCCTATAAAGGCTGAGGCCTTATCTACCTTTTAAGTTGATTCCAGTGTCTAGCACAATGCCTGGTACATGTGGAAGCTGAATGAATGTGGACTATCATAAGGACTGTATTCTAGGTAGGGTTGGAGCACATTCAGTGACTGCAGGGAGAGGGGTAATGTTAGACAGCAGGAGGCCAAATATTAATAGAATAAATAGGCCAGGGCTCTGGGGCCCCCAAACCTTCTTCTAGAGAGGCTCTGTTCTTTTTTCATTTTACATGTTGGGCTTCATTGCAATATTTAAGCAAAACAAAATATGCTGAAGCTTAACAATATTTGAAAGCACTGAAGTAGATCAGGAATTCTCTTTTGCATTTGTTTAGGCCTTAATAACAACCAACATTTTAGGATAAGTATATCCTCAACTAAGGGGAAAACAAAAAAAGAAGGAAAAATAAATTTTAGGAGAATTTTTACATTACATGTCTCCTGTATAATTGTGCAAGACTCTTCTGATTGGCTACCCAACAGCCATTCCAAGTCATCTCTCATAGGGCTGAAAAAATGAGAACACCCATTTCCCTGGAAGTTCCTTTCCAGGGAAGGATGACCACGTGACTTAATTCTGCCCAGTGTGACTCAAGAGTAGGTTTGTGAGGAAACATCTGGAGAACTTTTGCTCTGCTGCTGTAACTAGTGACACTATCTCCCCATGTCTTTCATGTTATTCTGTTGCCTAGTGTCCTGGCTTTAATGTGCTCCAAGACTATACCTGTATTTCTTCTATTCTTTGTGTATGTGACATAAATCCATCTTTTCCTAGGTCCTTCTTTATCAGATCATCTGCATCATAATACCGATTCATATTTGACATAATATCTATTTTGACAACACTGTACATTTGATTTGTTTTCAACTTACTGGTCAAGAAACTGAAGCCCAAAGAAGTTAAACATTTTGGATACCCCACCCCCAACTTTAAAAATTCTTCCTGCTATCTTCCCATAACATCACCATCATTCATGAGAGACTATTATTAGCCAGGCATTTTACATACATTCTGGATCCTTATCCTTTATGATTTATCCTATACCTTTATGCTTTATCTTCCTCCTACTTTTTCAAAAAATAGATGACGAGACTGAGACAATGGGATTATGCAATTTTACCAAAATAGCTCTGTTGATAAATAGAAGAAGTCAAGGTTTAAAATCCTGTTGGTCTGGGACCTAAATACATGCACTTTACATTTAACTTCCTGTGCCTTATAAATCATGAGGCATTAATATGAACTACAATTGTCTGCATTATGTGTAAACAATCAGAATCTCCATCTTCTTGATATATACCCTTGAAAACTTCACAGGGAATAAAAGATGGCAAAACGCCTTCATGAGATAAGAGTAGACTGATTACATGAAAATTTCCCCAAACTCACTAGAGAGGCTAATATTCAAATTCAGGAAATGCAGAGAACCCCTGTGAGATACTGTAGCAGATGACCAGCCTCAGGATACATAGTCATCAGATTCCTCAAGGTCAACATGAAAGAAAAAATTTCAAAGATAACTAGAGAGAAGAGGCAGATTACCTACAAAGAAAACTCCAACAGGTGAACAGTGGACCTTTTGGCAGAACCCTACAAGCCAGAAGAGATTGAGAGCCTATATTCAGCATTCTTAAAGAGAAGAAACTGAAACCAAGAATTTCATATCCAGCCAAACTAAGCTTCCTAAGCAAAGGAGAAAAACTATCCCTTTCCAGATAAGCAAATAGTAAGAGTATTCATTACTTTCTTATGAGAGGTCCTTAAGGTAATGCTAACTGTGGAAATGAAAGACCATTACTTGCCACCACAAAACACACTTAAGTACATAGACCACTGATACTATAAAGCACCTATGCAATCAAGTCTGCATTATAACCAGCTAACATCATAATGACAAGATCAAATCTGCACATATCAATATTAATCTTGAATGTAAACATGCTAAATGCCCCACTTAATAGGCACAGAGTGGCAATATGGATAAAAAAACGAGATGCAATGATATGCTGTTTTCAATAGTCCTAGCTCATGGAATGACATCCATAGGCTCAAAGTAAAGGGATGGAGAAAAATCTACCAAGCAAATGAAAAACAGAAAGAAGCAGGGATTGCTATTCTAATTTCAGACAAAACAGACTTTAAATGAACAATGATCCAAAAAGACAAGGCCATTACATAATTGTAAAGGGTTTAATTCAACAAGAATACCCAACTATCCTACATATATATGCACACAACACAGGAACATCCAGATTCATAAAACAAGTTCTTAGAGACCTATAAAAAGCCTTAGACTCCCACACAATAATAGTGGGAGACTTCACCACCTCATTGACAGTATTAGACAGATCATCAATGCAGAATATTAACAAAGATATTCAGGACATAAACTCAACACTTGACCAAATGGACCTGACAGACATCTAAAGAACACTTCACTCAACAACAACAGAATATACAGTCTAATCACCTGCATATACATAATCTAAAATTGACCATATGCTCAGCCATAAAGCAATTCCCAACAGTTCAATAAAATCAAAATCATACCAAGCACACTCTCAAGCCACAGAACAATAAAAATAGAAACAAATACCAAGAAGGTCACTCAAAATTATACAATTGTATGGAAATTAAGTAACCTGCTCCTAATGACTTTTGGGTAAATAATGCAATTAAGGCAGAAATTATTTGAAACTAATTAAAACTAAGATACAACATACCAGAATCTCTAGGTCACAGGTAAGCAGTGTTAAGAGAAAAGTTTATAGCACTAAGTGCCCATATCAAAAAGGTAGAAAGATCCCAATTTAACAACCTAACATCACACTCTAGGTGTTCCTAGAGGACCTAGATAAACAACAGCAGACCAACTCCAAAGCTAGCAGAAGACAAGAAATAATCAAAATCAGAGCTGAACTGGAGATTAAGACATGAAAAACCACACAAAAAATCAATGAACTCAGAAGTTGGTTTTTTGAAAAAATTAATAGAATAGACTGCTAGATAGACTAATGAAGAAGGAAAGAGAAAAGATCCAAATAAACACAATTAGAAATGACGAAGGGGACATTACCACTGACCTCAAAGAAATACAACTAACCATAAGAGAATATTATGAATACCTCTATGCACACAAACCATAAAATCTAGAATAAATTGATAAATTCCTGGACACATTCACCCTCCCAAGATTGAGCCAGGAAAAAAATTGAATCCCTGAACAGACCAATAACAAGCTGCAAAATTGAATCAATAATAAATATTCTACAACCAAAAAAAAAATCCAGGACCAGACGGATTCATAGACAAATTCTACCAGGTGTACAAAGAAGAGCTGGTATAATTCCTACTGAAATTATTCCAAAAAATTTGAAGAGGAGGAACACCTCCTTAACTTATTCCATGAGGCCAGCATCATATCCTGATACCAAAACCTGGCAGACACACACACACACACACACACACACACACACACACACACAGAGAGAGAGAGAGAGAGAGAGAGAAAACTTCAGGCCAATATCCTTGATGAACATCCAGGCAAAAATCCTCAATAAAACACTGGCAAACTGAATCTGGCAGCACATCAAAAGGCTTCTGCGCCATGATCAAGTAGGTTTTATCCCTGGGATGCAAGTTCGGTTCTACATATGCAAATCAATAAATGTGATTCATCTCATAAACAAAACTAAAACCAAAACCACATGATTATCTCAATAGATGCAGAAAAGGCTTTTGATAAAATTCAACATACTACATGTCTAAAATTCTCAACAAAGTAGGCATTGAAGAAATTTGCTTCAGAATAATAAGAGCCATCTATGACAAACCTACAGTTAACATCATAATGAATGGGCAAAATCTAGAAATATTCCCTATGAGAACTGGAACAAGACAAGGATGCCCACTCTCACTACTCCTATTCAACATGAATAATAGTACTAGAAATTCTAGCCCGAGCAATCAGGCAAGAGAAAGAAATAAAAAGGCAACAAAATAGGAAGACAGCAAGTCAAACTATTTGTTTGCAGATGATTTAATTTCATACCTAGGAAACTCCAGAGTCTCTGCACAAAAGCTCCTTGATCTGATAAACTTCCTGATCTGAAACTTCAGCAGAGTTTCAGGATACAAAATTAACATACAAAAATTAGTAGCATTTCTATACACCAACAACATCCAAGCTGAGAGCCAAATTAAGAATGCAATCTCATCTATACTAGCTACAAAAAATAAAATATGTAGGAATACATCTAAGCAGGGAGTTGAAAGATTTCTACAGCAAGAATTACAAAACACTGCTGAAAGAAATCAGAGACAACACAAACAAATGGAAAAATATTCCATGCTAAATCAGTATTATTAAAATGGCCTCAAGGCCCAAAGCAATCTACCAATTCAGTGCTATTCCTATCAAACAAACAATGACATTTTTCACAGAATTAGAAAAAAACTATTCCAAAATTCATATAAAACCAAAAAAAAGAGAAAAATCCCAAATAGCCAAAGCAATCTTAATCAAAAAGAAATAAACTAGAGGCATCACATTACCTAACTTTAAACTATACTATAAAGCTACAGTAACTAAAACAGCATGGCAATGGTACAAAAACAGACATATAGACCAATGGAACAGAATAGAGAACCCAAGAACAAAGCAACTCACCTACAACCACCTGATCTTTGACAAAGTTGACAAAAACAATCAATGGGAAAAGAATTCTCTATTCAATAAATGATACGGGGATAACTGGCTAGCCATAGGCCCAAGATTGAAATTTGACCCTTTTCTTTTACCATATAAAAAAATAACTCAAGGTGCATAGTGACCTAAATGTAAAACCTAAAATCATAAAAAGTCCAAGAAGAAAACCTAGAAAATACCATTCTGGACATAAGCCTTGGAAAAGAGTTCATGATGAAGATGCCAAAAGCAATTGCAACACAAATGAAAATCGAGAAATGGGACCTAATTAAACTAGAGAGTTTCTGCACAGCAAAAGAAACATCAAAAGAGTAAATAGAACAGAATGGGAGAAATTATTTGCAAACTATTTATTAAACAAAGATCTAATATCTAGGATCCAGAAGGAACTTACAAGTTGATTTTTTGAAAAAATTAATAAATATCATTTATACACCAAATTCACATGCAAAGAACAAATGACACCATTATAAAGTGGGGAAAGACATAGACACTCACTTTTCAAAAGAAGACATACATGTGGCCAACAAGCATATGAAAAAAATGCTCAACATCACTAATCATTGGAGAAATGCAAATCAAAACCACAGTGAGATACCATCTCACACCAGTTAGAATGGCTATTTTTAAAAAGTAAAAAAATAACAGATGCTGATGAGGCTATAAAGGAAAGGGAACATTTACACACTGCTGGTGGGAATGTAAATTAGTTCAGCCACTGTGGAAAGTAGTTTGGAAATTTCTGAAAGAACTTAGGACCACCATTCAGGTCAACAACCCCATTATTGGCTATACACCCAAAGGAATAGAAATCATTCTACCATAAAGACACATGCACATGTATGTTCAATGCACCACCATTCACAATGGTGAAGGCATGGAATCAACCTAGATGCCCATAGGAATACTACACAGCCATAAAAAGAATGAAATCATGTCCTTGCAGCAACCTGGATGCAGCTGGGGGCCATCATCCTAAGTGAACTAACACAGGAATAGAAAACCAAATACCGTATGTTTTCACTTATATGTGGGAGCTAAACATTGAGTACACATGAACACAAAGAACGGAAAAATAGACACCAGGGTCTACTTGAGGGTGGAGGTTGGAGGAAGGTGAGGATTGGAAAAACTATCTATCAGATACTGTGCTTATTACCTGGGTGATAAAATAATCTGTACACCAAACCCTCATGAGAGTAGAGGGATTAAAGTATAGGTCCATAAATGGGTTGTTTATATTTTGACAAATTGTTTACTTTTTTCTCTTATTTTTTTTGGGGGGTGACCAGAAATACTTCCAAGACTTCAAATATCATTTATACATCAATATTTCTCAAGTCCAAATATCTACTCATGACGTTCCTCTTTAGTTACAGACCCATACATTCCCACTGACTACTAGACACCTGCAGCAGAGTAACCACAGTTTCTTCATCTCAATGTAGACAAAATGGCACTCTATTTAAATCTGCCCCTCCACTGACATTTCCTAAAGGAATTAATAGCATCGTAATCATGCTGCTGACCAAGGTAAATTCCTCTTCCAACTTCTAAGACTGATCAATTCAATTACAATATCTTCTGAAGCTCGATACTCCTCTCCCATCAGCAAGATTGCCAATTAGTTCAGATCCTTGCCATCATTCACCATTCTTCACTACTGCAATAGTAGTATATATATATACTATATATATACACACTATATATATATACTATATATATAGTATATATATATAGTATATATATACTATATATATAGTATATATATAGTATATATATACTATATATGTATATATGTATATATGTGTATATATATACATATACTATGTATATGTATATATATATATATACACTTCCTTCTTATATCCATGTTCTGCTCACTCATTTTACCTTCTGTACTCTTATTAGCTATTTTTTTTTGTTTTCTTTGTTTTTTTTTTGTTTTGAGACAGAGTTTCGCTCCTGTTGCCCACGCTGGAATGCAATGGCGCGATTTTGGCTCACCACAACCTCTGCCTCCTGGGTTCAAGCGATTCTCCTGCCTCAGCCTCCTGAGTAGCTGGGATTACAGGCATGCGCCACCATGCCCATCTAATTTTGTATTTTTAGTAGAGACGGGGTTTCTCCATGTTGGTCAGGCCGGTCTGGAACTCCCGACCTCTAAAATTGCTAAAATTATCATTTTTACCTTAAAATTGTATTAATTTCTCATCCTTTATAGTGCTATTATATGTTCAAACATATATTATGGCTCACAAGGCTCTTCACAATCTGGTCTTTCTCAGTCTCATTGCCTGAATTCTCATTTCCCTTTATGATAGACGCAGAAGGCAGATAAGGGAACCTGCACAGGGTCTTGGCTAGGACTGCCCACAATGGACTGGGGGCCCACATACACACTGGGAGAATGGGGTGGAGCCACCAGGAATTCACACCTTATGCAAGGGGAGGAGCCTGGCCTCTTCAGCTCCTGTATGGTGGCCTGGTATTCGATCTGTGAGATGGTATCCTATTTGCAGGATCCCCTCTTTCTGTGCTGAGAGCTTTTTTTTTCACTTAATAAATCCATCCTCATTTGCTTCACGTATTAAATCCAGCCTCCTCACTCTTCAATGTGTCCACATGCCTAATGTTTTCTGGTTGTGAGATAAGAACCCAGATTTTATCTGAACTATGGGGTGAAAAAATCTGCATCATTTATATCTTATATTCTAGCCATACCAAACCGCATACTTTTTCCTGAACCCTGTCTCCCTGTTCATGCCCTGTGGCTTTGTACATGTTGTTTCCTCTGCCTGGAATGTCCTGGATTCTCTTTCATATCTAGAGACCTCCTAGAAGTTCTTAATATGTTTAAATTATTTCTCCCCAAACTGTTCAGATTTCCTATATCATTTTGTTGTTATCTTTTATTATGGCACCATTTCATTCTGTTGAAAATATGTATATGCCCACTTATCTCCCCATGTCTATCTCCCCCATTAATCTGATTCCTCATCAAGATTGTGACTTTTTCTTCTTTGTTATGAACCCAAAATGATTATCACCATGCACAGCACCAGTCAGAGAGTTAATAAAGATTTTTGGGTATTGATGTGGGTTTAGGGAGATACAAGAATAGAAAATCGTAGAGGGATGAAATCCTCATACTTTTCCTATATTTTAGCAGCACACTTTACAGACCTATGTTTAAGTTCACCAGGCATAGAAACAAGAAAGGCAACTGCTGAAGACTAACCCACAGATATTGAGGTTACTGTCAGTGGCTTTGATGTAATTCATTTTGTCTATAAAATGCTTTTAGCCAATTTTCTCCAATTCGTCCGTGGTATCTTCTATTTTTTATTTCAAATGCTAATATCTGTGCTTTCACAGTTACAAAAGTGTCTGAGGTGCTCCTTCAATGTCAGTGAGTTTCCTGAGGAGAATTATTTGGAAACAAAGGGATAAAAGAGCAACTGCTCTGTGGTCACACTGGGAGCCCTTCAGAAAGAGCAAAATCTGTTTGCTTCTCAGAAATCACTAGTGAAGACTGATGTATGAAGTCCATGGTGGAAATGCTATTTCAACTTTCAAATATCTTAACAACTACAGCTATTCATTCACATGGCCACTGAAGCTTCCAAGGACTCACAAATGCTAAAGATTTGACAAAAGATACTAAACTGTTAAACTAGAGTGTAGAGAAGATAAGGAAAATGTTACCTAGGAAATATTAAGAACTGTTTAGAAAATCGTTCTTATTTTCAAAGGTGATGGTATATGCAGCTAGTGTTTAATCATATTTTAATTTTGTTACCTTTAAATTTAAAATCTAGTTGTTATCATTCAATAAAACATTTTCAAGTTTCAAAGACTTTGAGATCGCCATTTTATACAGAACATAATTTTTCTTTATGCATTTTGACAAATGTCTATCACACTGGTGCTTAAAGTCTTTTGAGATTATGAAGTTTGTTCCATTAGCCTAACCAAGTCTATTTGCTCTCTGGACAGCTCTCACTAGTATTTAGTTTTTTAATACTAAGCCAGAATATTCCTCTTTGATACTTCTGCATCTTTTTAAAAAAATTCATTTTGTCATATACAAGCATATAACAGAGACACCTAGATATGTAATATATACTCATAAGTACATATATTGAAGCAACTTACAGCTAGTCTGCTCTTTTCCCTCTGTCTCTGGAATTTTGACAGAAATGTATCCTATCTCCCATCGATCTTCTCTTCTCCAGTTTACACACTTTTCATCACATAGCAGCATAAAGAATGATAAAAAATCATATTATGAAAATCTTTCTTGACATAGCATGATGTTACTAATGCACCGCTCAGCAGGGCAAGAGTTTTGCTTCTATTTATAGTACTAATAACGCACTTATACTGACCGTCTACAATATCTGCTTATTCTTGTAAAGAATGGCATATATTTACAAGATTTTCAGTGAGTTTGGGATGCTTTCTGAGGCTGTGGAACACAGAAAAACTAGCTGGTGCAAAATATCTGAAGACTGCCTCTTAACTTTATTCATGTTCCTGGTTTGTTCTCATAGGCAATCTAAGTCACCATAGTGTGTGCTAATTAGAAAGAGATGAATAATGAGTCATGCCACTAAGATTAACCTGCCTGCCATGGAATCAAGCATTGACATATAGAAATCAGTTAAATGTTATAAATGATGCATTCACAGTAAAATGAAAAAGAAGGAAAGTTTTAAAGGTTTTGTCTTCTAGTGCACAGGAAGACAAAATCCTATAGATACCATTAAGTTTTATTTATTTATTTTTTAATCTATGGTTTCATTAAGATTTTTTTTGTTCCTGAAGTGAAATTTCCCATTTAGTATTTTCATATTTGTTTTTATTATTGCTTATTTATTTGTGATATTACAGAGATCTTAACAACTGCAGTGTTGTTCAAAAGAAAATGATTGGTTTTAACAATGACTATTTACTGGTTTGGGCAAATGCACTTGGCCAATGGCCTTGGTAAAATGGCCTGCCTGTGGGACGGTATGGCCTCACATGTGACATGCTGCTTCTGTTAGCTGGCTTGCCATACAAAAATATTTGAACTTGTAAGAGCTAAAGAATTTTGTTTAGACTTGTTAACAAGTGAAAGCTTAGGATATGTGTATTTATGTATACACATAACATTTTTAAAATCAACTCTATTTAAGTATAATTTGCATACGATGAATTGTTCCCCATTTTAAATGAAAGCCTGTATAACTACTGTCAAACAAAGATGATAAACATTTCCATCATTCTAGAAAAATCCCTGTGCCCTTTGCCATCAACAATCCTGCCTCTGACCCCTGGTTCAACATTCCTGACACTTGACAACCACTGGTATGCTTTCTGACACCATATTAGTTCTGTCTATTTAGAATCTTATCTAAATGGAATGAAACATTATGAGTAACTCCTTTTGCTCAGCACAATGGCATAATCTTTTTTTGGTATTCACCCATATTGTTCTGTGTATCAGCAGTTTGTTCCTTTTTATTACTGACTAGTGGCCTATTGTATGAATATAATTTGTTTTTCTCACATCTTGATAGGCCATTGGATTGTCTCCAGTTTGAGGCTATTATGAACAAAGCTGTGATAAACATTAATGTATAAGCATTTGTGTATATACATTTTCATATTTCTTGGGTAAATACCTGTAAGTTTAATTGGTATGTCACAAAGCAAGCATATATTTAAAGAAGCTGCCAATCTTTTCCCCCAAGTGGCTGAAAAATTTAATATTCGAATGGTCAATGTATGAGAATTCTTTTTTTCTATCTTCTTTTGGATTAACTGAGCATTTTCATATTCCATTTTATCTCCTCTGTTGACTTATAAACTCTTCCACTTTGTTTTGTGACAGTTGTTTTAAGGTTTAAAATAATTTAAACCTAATTTAAATAATGTTTTACACTACCTATAAGGTAAGACATTTATAACAGTATATTTTCACTTTCCCTCCTTTACCTTTATAGTACTGTTATACATATTATGCAATAAACCCCATAATATGTACTAATATTTTTGTTTTAAAGTTTTGTTTTACAGATGAAAAATGAGAAAAAAGTCATCTGTTATGTTTATCCACATAGCTACGATTCCCTATCTTCTTCACTTCTTTCTGTAGATGTAGATTACTGTATGGTGTCATTTTCACCCATCCTAAAGAATTTCCATTAAAATTTCTTGCAGTGAAATGCTAGTGATGAACACTCTTTGTTTCTTTTGTCTGAAAATATTTTTATTTTGCATTCATATTTAAAATATATTCTCACTAGATATAAAATCCTAAGTTATGAATATTTTCTCTTTTCTTTATATTAGAAGTTTCATTTTATTGTCTTCAGTATTGGTTTTTTCTGATGACGTCTTCTATCCTTCTTGCCCCACTTATAAGAAGTGTCCCCCAGCCCCAGAGTGATTAAAAACATTTTTCCTATTAATTTGGCTATTAAGTTCTTTTGAGTAATTTTCTTTGTGCTTATCATATTTGTAGTACTTTTTGCTTCTTGGATTTTTGCTTTAACAGGTTTTCATTAAATTTGGTAAATTTCAGCCACTATTTCTTTGAATATTTTTCCTATAGATCTTAACCCCCTTTTCTGGGACTCTATAAGCGTATTAGACTGCTTGCTGTTGTTTCAGAGGTCTCTAATGTATTAGTTCATTTTGTGTTGTTATAAAAGAATACCTGAAACTGGGTAGTTTATAAAGAAAAAATGTTTATTAAATTCATAATTCTGCAGTCTGGGAAGTTCAAGAGCATAGAGCTGCATCTGGATGGCTTCTGGAGAGGGGCATATGCTGGGTCAAAACCACTGTGAGAAAGCAGAAAAGCCAGTTGGCACATACAAAGTGATCCATCGTGAGAGAGGAAGCAAGAGAGGGTCTAGGAAGCCGAACTGCCTTTTATAACAACCTATTTTCAGTGATTTATCCAGTCATGTGAGAGCAAGCACTTACTGCAGCAGGAGGGCATTAATGTATGGATGAGTGATCTGCCCCATTACCCAAATACCTTCCACTAGGCCCTACCTCCCAACACTACCACATTAGTGATCAAATTTCAACATGAGTTTCAAAGGAAACAAACTACCATAGTAACTGAGCTTATGTTCATTTTCTCTGAACTTCAGATTAGTTTCTATTGCTATGTTGTTAAGTTGACCTTTCCATCTGCATTGTCTAATCTGGTATTAGGTTCATCTAGTGAGTTTTTATTTCAAATATTTAATATTTCAACACTATACTTCTCACTTAGTTTTTAAAAAATACATTTTATTTCTCTCCTCATTATATTCATATTTTCTGTAAGTCCTTCAGCATATTTTTAATAGCTGCCTGAAAGTTCTTTGCCAATTTCATCTTCCAATCATTTCTGGTTTTGTTCCTATTGATTTTTTTTTGTTTTTGTTTTTGGGTTATGGTTCAGATTTTTCTGCCTCTTCACACTTTTATGTTTTTATTGGACACTAGATATGATGTATTTCATGTTTTCAAGGTCTGGATTTTTGTTATCTTCTATTATAGAGTAGCAACTTTTGTTATGGCCAGTATTTAGGTTACTTTAGGATCATCTTGACCTTTCCAGGCTGGTTTTCAAGTTTTGTTTGTGTAGGTCTAGAATGGTCTTTACTCTCAAATTTGATACTTCTAGGGCTTACTGACTGCCCAAATTTTTAATGAGGTCTGTTCACTCCAGCTGAGGAAACTCAAATGTCTCTATACTCTTGGAAATTATTCAGCCTACTATCCTCCAGTAGTATCTCTCTGCCTAGACTTACGTAGTTTTACTCCAGGCACATCAGCTTAGTATCGGGCAAAATCCTTAGAGGGATCCCTGTGTAGATTTTGGAGATTTTTCTCTGTATAGTTACCTCCTCTCCAGTATTCTACTACTCAAATACCAGTCACCATAATCTTCCGGAACTCGAGTTTATCTCTTTTCAATTCAGCAAGTCTTCTCTGCTGTGTTTGAGTCTTGCTGTTCCTGCACTGTGGTTTTAAATATGTCTCTAGGCAGAGAGAAGGATGATAGGCCTTACTCCATTTTTCTTTTTCTCAGGAGTCACAGCTCTATGCTGCTTAGTTTTCAGTTGTTGAAATCTTTTGTTAAAGATTTTTTTTTAAGTTTTCTAGGTTTTGGTTTCCAATGGCAGGAAGGCAAATATGGTGCTAGTTATTCTCTGATGGCTACAGAGCTGATGTAATTCAACGTTAAAAATTACAACTATTTGCTATTCCCCATTATACACCATTTTATAATGAAAAAAAGAGTGTCCGAATCCTACACTGGTCAAATTATTTAAAACCTCTACTATGACACTGGAACAAGGTCAGGATTTAGAAATTTACCTGTTAACTTTTTTGTCGTTTCATTTTCAAAATTTGCATTGTGTTACCCAGTATTTTCATAAAAAATTTCTTCTTTCTTACAGTAAAAGAAGAAGAGATTGTCTTTTTTGCTGTTGTTTTTTTAAAGGCACATTATACACTCTCATCAGCTGGCAATCTGGATGAGAGTGGGGGAATCCATTATAAGCAATGTGACTAAGTAGCATTTTCTATGACTCGTTGGTACAAAAGTCATTGAAGGTTTTCCCCTTACTTTTAATGTCAAAAAACGCAATGACTTTTGCACCAACCTACATCTTAGTGATGTCATGGCTCAGACGTAGCACACCAGCACTTCTGAGACCGGCAGAGTTAATGATCCTCCTTGGCACAATATATAACTGCCAGGTGGTAGAGTTATAGCAAATTTTACTTAAGAGAAATAATGAAAATGGTAAGAAATTTTTTCCTTTCTCAAAAAGATAAAGCCATACCTTTAAATCGTTAAGGGCATCATGTAATTGGGTTAATATTTAGATTATTAGAACCAGTGGCTGTTTGTTAATAACAACTGGCAAGTAGGGTCTCAGATTTTATTCTTAACTCAGCAATACATTAAAATATTTTTCCCAAGTTAGACCAATCAAGTCGTTTTTTTCTTTATTTTTGGCATATGAGAGTCCTTTTTAAATGCCCCCCATGATCATAGTTGTACATTTTTAACAGTTATACATAACGACAAAATGAGGTTTTCAAATATGTATTAATTACATAAAATCTATAAGCCTTTATAGAGGAGCAGGACATACTTGGTCTGATAACATATACAGAGTCACAGATTCATTGCAACTAGCATACTGGCTTTCTAGACCTGCATGCGCATTTATTTGATGTACACAGGATTAAGAAACCACATGAATAGTTTTAAAGGAATAATTTCTAGAACTTCAAACTCTATATGTACTTACTTTCTTCAGTCAATCTGCCTAGGAATGTACTGCAGCTGACAGGCTCTCCTTTCCAATTTCTCCTTCCCATACCTTTCTCCTACTTTATGAAGGAAAGACTCGTTTCCTCCATAATCTTACTATGATACATTTTCCTGGAAGAGAAGAAACTTCTGGTACAAACTGTACCAGTTTGTTCTTTCTGAACAAGAAAGAAATAAAGAACAATTTGAAATATTGATGATATAGTTGATAAAGTGAGTGGCATTAATTACTGGGTAACATTTATGCTGCAAATAATAGAATAAATGTCAAGTCTCACAAAATATTTTATAAGGATAATGGAATCAAAGTGTGAGTTCAAGGAGAAGAAATATCATAACATTTCTGACTGTTTCAAAAAGAATTTGTTTATGTGTTTGGATGATAGGTACCAAAATTGCATGATTTAAAACTTTTAAAATCCATCATGGAACTGTAGACGTAAATTTAGAAATGTTTGTAGAGCAAAGGCATGAATGAGGGGTGGGAGGGAGAGGGTTTATTTGTTAATTGCTCCTTTCTATTAGTCTTACAACTGGAAATGTCAAACTGGCACTGGGCTCTGCAACTGGTCTTCTGGATATTTATGGTTGTAATCAAGAGCCTGGCATGTACTGATACATTTCATGACATGTTTCTAATGGCAGTTATCTCGAAGGTCCTCATTATATTTTGCTGTTATGAATGAGCCACTTGGCATTTAAGAAGCAAGAAATAATTATGAGAGGTATGCAGAGGTCACTCGCCTCAAACTTCTAAAGAAAAATGACAGGTTCTCTTATTTGATTTTCCAAGAAAAAAAATCACTGCCAATATGTTTGGATCATGTATTTTAGGATTTTGCTGTGTTTTCAGATACTGCACACAGAAAAGGCAGATGGCCTATGTATAATAAAGAAGCTTTTTAAGTTGTTGTTGATCAAATTATATATTGTGCAGCCAGAGATCATTTTGTCATGCAATAAGACCAGGGAATTTGCCTTAGGTTCCTAAATACCAAAGGTGGTGATGTCGTGACAGATCCAGTTATTTGACAGTGGAAGAAAATGCCATGGATAGAGAAGATCTGAAGCAGCAGAATTCTCTCTAATATTCACAATTGAAATCTGAGCCAAATATCTTACCTTAAAAAAAAAAAAAGAAATGAAAAGGCAGAAGCATTCAAACTAGGACTCTGTCTGCCTGGGGCTTTTTCAAATTTTGTGGAGGAAGGACTCTTAGAACAATAGTGAATAAGCATATACTTTTTGTGTGATTTAATGTCCCCACACTCAAATAATCCTATTGATGTTGCCAGTATTTTCTGAATATATGCTGGGAGTCTTCAAAGTCCTCTCTAAATGCTAGAATGTATTGACAACAAATTAAACTTGGCTGAATGTAGAGATTTTCTCATTATGAAGTCTCTAAGGATATGGAATGTCAGTCACTGGTCTATTTAGATTATCAAATCCTACCTGACTAGAATTTCACTTCTTAGAAAACTCAAACTCTAGCATTTACTGTAATTGTTACATACCTCTCCCCACAGCAAAATAATGTAGACTCTTTTCTACATATGGCAAAGCAAAAATAACTATTATTTAATGACACAAAAGATGCTGAGCCTGAAGTATTTCCTAACGTATTTCTCCAGTGGTTAGTAAGAAACAAGAAAAATAACTATCTATATTAACCCAAGTGTAGAGAAAACAAAGATTTTAATTAGTGAGAGTATCATATCACAGGCTCCACTATAGTAATTTGATAGAATGCAATTTATAGAATCAAATGAAAAGTAATCATGTTATAATAAAGACAGTAGAATAGGGCGTGCAGAGAACTGAGGCAGTGTCATATCCAATTGATGTCCCCTGGGTAGCAAATCCATTAGTTTTGTGACTCCAGCTCATAAGAATGCATGCTAATGGGGCAATATTTAAGGACATTAATTACATCTGGCAATATTTGGATAGCTAATATTCTCACTTATATTGTTAAATAATAGGATTTATGTAACCAATTAATTTTTGGAGTTTTCATGCAAGGTTAAAAGAATGTAATTTTGCTATTTATACATTTCCCTCAAATTACTGTATTTTCCTTTTACAAAAGAACCATTTCAGTGTTAATATGCCTGATTTTAAAATCCTTGATTCAGTGATAAATATGTAAATGTCTCCTTGTCTAGAATTACTCAAGTGAATAAAAAATTCTACATAGTAAGTTTGAATAATGATATCCTATATATATTCATTTGCTTTTCCCAAAACTGATAGTGTGTAAGTCTATAAAATATACATGTATATATGTGTATATACAATATTGTACAAACAAGAAAGTGAAATAATACTGTCCTTAGATTAAACTATTGCAATTTTAAAATTGAAGTGTTTTATAGAGTGAAATTTAGTATAATTAAAGAGAAACAGAGTGTTTGTAAAGAGAGTGTTGTTTTCTGTTAACTACACAGGATCACAGAACCTGAGAGTCTTCAATGATTATTCATGCAGGCTCTGAATAAACATTTGAATTCAGGTGTAAACAACTCCTAGGATAGAAAAATAAATCATTCTTTTGGGTGAAACCCCTTCTTGATCTTGGTCACACTTTTTTTTTTTTCTTTTTTTTTTTTTGAGAGACAATGTCTCCCTCTGTTGCCCAGGCAGGAGCGTGGTGGTATGATCACAGCACACGGCAACCTCTGCCTCCCGGGCTCAAGCAATTCTCCCACCTCCCAAGTAGCAGGGACTACAGGCCACCACGCCTAGCTAACTTTTTGTATTTTATGTAGAGATGGGGTTTCACCATGTTGCCTAGGCTGGTCTCAAACTCCTGAGCTCAAGTGATTCATCTGTCTCAACCTCCCAAAGTGCTGGGATTACAGGCATAAGCCACCACACCTGGCCAGTCACACTCTTTAACACATTCTATTATATTTACATAACTCTTAAATAGCATCATCCAGGATTCAAGAAAATGTTAAGGAATAAATTAGTAAAAAGAAAAGTCGTATTTAAAATGTAATAGTAATTCTTTCAAAAACTGCATAACACTTATATGTTTATATATTTATATGTTTTTATATATGTATATGTTTTATATAAGTTTATATGCTTATTTTTCAAGTATAGGTCCTAAAATTATTTGATCTGCAACTGTACTTACAAAGTTGGATACTTAGATATATTTGTCCCTCTTAAGTGTTCTCCCATTTGATTTGGACAATTGTTCCAATTTGTCAGGGCTTTTTTGGATCCCAAGTTTGTCATTCAGTGTTAACTGGTCCAGGGATAAATTATTTGTAATTTTCAGAAGCATGTTATCTATTAATTCTTTTATATCCAAGATAATAATGCTGATTAGAATAAGGTGATACTCTGATGAAATTGGAAAAAAAATAGTTTGCCATTGAAATTACTCATCACCGAAGGCATTTGTGAATTTCACTTTGTTACCTTCCCCTCATTTATTCTATTAACCCTAAGATATACTTTAAATATAACAATACGTAAGATTTCTCTCATTAACAATGTTAGAATGTTTCCCTCTATTGCTCTGGATTAGAGGAATATATGGGTGGAAAGTGTTTAAGTAAAATATTTTTATTGTGATCTCTCTTAACACTAGATGGGTTCAATAGCTTCTATTCATGTGCCTGAGTATAAAGCATTATTGTGATATCAGGATATCCAGAGATTGGAGTTAGAAGAAGAAGATAAGCCTAGTTCGTAATGACTCAGGTCTCTTAAAATTCTCACTTAAAAGGTATTAAAATAGGTATTTCTAACACTATTCTATGATGTTTTAAAAGCACTCTCCTTGTAATATTTTTTTTACTCAAACCCACAAATACTCCAGTTGCAATGAACTAAATGTTTGTGCTCCCCCACAAATTCATATGTTGAAATCCTAACCTCCAATGTGATGATATTAGGAGGTAGAGCTTTTAGGAGATAATTAGATCATGGAGGTGAAACTCTCATGAATGGGATTAGTGCACTTATAAAAGAGACCCAAAAAGTTCTCTACTCCTCTTCTTCTCATGTAAGGATATAAGAAGATGGTAGTCTGCAACCTGGAAGAGGGCCCTCATCAGAACTCAACCACGGGGCCACCCTGACCTCTTATTCTTAACCTCTAAAAATGTGAGAACTACAGTTCTGTTGTTTATAAGCCATTCAGCCTATGGTACTTTGTTATAGCAGCTAGAACAGACTGAGACATCCAATAAGGATATTTCCCAAGAGGCATAATTATATAGGCATGTTTAGATTTGTACTATAAATACAATTTTTAAAAATCGGACAGTACTAAATTGGACAACATTAAAACATAATATAAAAACATGCTTTTAAAAATAAGTATGTGTTGAGATCCTTTTTCAAATTAAAATTATTCTTTAATATGTAAGAGGATATACTAAATAAAATAGGACTGTGAAAAAGGCATAAAATTGAAATGTATAATATTCTGGAACTTATGTCGAGAGTAAATGTGTTTTTTAAAAAACAAGATATAACTATGATTTAACATTTGCATTGAAAAAACTGTAGTTTTGAGCCAAAGGAAAGGAATTATAAAGCTGAATTTTCCATACTTTATGGAAATATTACTATAAAAGTGATACAGATTTAATGGATACATTTATCACATAAGAGTTCAAATAAATGTGGAGAAAGATATAGAAATGGGTATTAATAGAAGTTGAAATGTCTCATTTCTTTTTACTTTTTTTGAGACAGAGTTTCGCTCTGTCACCCAGGCTGGAGTGCAGTGGCATGATCTTGGCTCACTGCAACCTCCACCTCCTGGGTTCAAGCAGTTCTCTGCCTCAGCCTCCCGAGTAGCTGGGATTTCAGGCGCCCACCACTAGGCCTGGCTAATTTTTTGTATTTTTAGTAGAGATGGGGTTTCACCATCTTGGCCAGGCTGATCTTGAACTCCTGACCTCGTGATCCACCCGCCTCGGCCTCCCAAAGTGCTGAGATTACAGGCATGAGCCACCGCGCCCAGCCAAAATGTCTTATTTCTAACATTAAACACTTAAAGTTATCTCATGGAGGAAAATCAGATGTTCCATAATATACTGTTTGGTGGCATAATGGAGGGGATACTTGCTTAAGCTGGAATAGTAATTTTTTCAGCTCCTTTAAAGATACCCTATCTCTACTAAAAATACAAAATTAGCTGGGTGTGGTGGCACATGCCTATAATCCTAGCTACTTGGGAGACTGAGGAAGGAGAATCACTGGAACCTGGGAGGCGGAGGTTGCAGTGAGTTGAGATCACACTATTACACTCCAGCCTGGGCAACAAGAGCGAAACTCCGTCTCAAAAAACAAAACAAACAAAAAACAAACAAAAACCCACCACCACAACAAAAAAGCATCTATTCCAAGTGTGGTGAAAAAAAAAAAACAAGTCATGCTTAATGAGTAATCAGTGTTTCTGCCTTTTGATTGATAACATAGGTTAATATCCACTAAGAGTCTCACAGTACATTATCATTACATATACTATGTAATACTGATAGTTAATTTTGGCCACCAATAGAGTGGTCGGTGAAGAAATAATTTTCTCTCTCCATATTTGTCATAGGTGGAATTTAGGCAGCATTACCGATGATCCTAACATGTCCATTGTATATTCTATGCCATTAGTCAGCTGGTGAGCACAAAGAATATATCCAGTTAAAGAAACTATTGACCTAAGAGCTAACAAATGTGTATATTCCTCAGTACAGGGAAATTCAGCATTTAATATGAGAGAACAGGCTGTGTTCATGATGGAGCTGACAAATTTGGAAAATAATACAAGGTAACAAACAAGATTATGGAGAAATAAAAGCATAAAGTTCTATTGTAAGTTATGTTTGAGAAGTCTATAAATGATCCAAGTTGAGATAATGGAGATATCCAGCAGGCCATTATAAAGATCAGAGGAAAGGAAAAGGAGAAGCATTTTATATTACTCTGTTTTTTAGAATATAAACAGCCTGTGGGTGGTGGGTTGTCTTTTTTCCAATTTAGTACCATTTGTCACACAACCCGGGGGAAGCACTTAATGAGTATTATTTTAATTAGAATTGAATTAGACTCAAGGTGCTCATATTTCAAATCCTAGGATAAAAAAAAGCTAGCCATAAAAATGAATTGTGCTTCTGGAGCCATTTGTCATTCATTTATTATATGGGAGGAAATGCATAGGAAATTAGCCATACATACTCATTTTGCATTAATCATAAAGAAATATCAAAATGTCAAACTCAATAGCAAACAAAGCTCCTTGGGAAGTTTTGTATCAGCTAAGGAAGAGGTGAAAACTGGCATGAGAAGATCCCAGGATCCTCTCATAGTCTCTCTCGATAGATAGATAGATAGATAGATAGATAGATAGATAGATAGATAGACAGACAGACAGACAGATATAGATTTGAGTATTCTAATGTGTTATTTCTTCTAAAATGGCTCTCAAACTTTAGTGCTAAAAATAACAAAGGAGTTTGTTAAAATTCAGAATCCTTGGAGCTTCCCTCTAACATTCAGGTTTAGTGGATCAGATGTGGGGCTCCAGAATATGAAAGTAGGTGTTGTGGTTTTGATATGGCCTGTTTATCCCCACCAAATCTCATGTTGAAATTTGATCCCCAGTGTGGGGATGGTGGGAGGTAGGACCTAGTGGGAGAGTGGGAGATGTTTGGGTCATGGTGGCAAACTCCTCAAGAATTTCTTGGTGCTATTTCTCAGGTAGTAAAAGGCTTCTCCCTCTCAGGAGACTGGATTAGTTCTTGTGGGAATACATTAGTTCCCTTGAAAGCGAGTTGTTATAAAGCCTCAGGTTTTCCCTCTTTTCCTTTGCCCACTTCCCCTTTGACCTTCTCTGCCATGTTTTGATGCCACACAAAAGTCCTCACTAGAAGCTGAGCAGATGCTGGCACCATGCTTCTTGTTCAGACCGCAGAACTGTGAGCTAAATAAACCTCTTTTTAAAACAAATTACCCAGCCTTAGATATTTCTTTAAAGCAACACAAAATGGAGTAAGACAGTAGGCAAGCTCATCAGCTGCTTTTAATGCAGATGGAGACCATACTTGGAGAATCAGTACTCTTAGTGGTCTATGCTAATTGGCCTCCAAAGAGTTTTGCTCCTCCTTGTGCAGTGTAGGGTTTTTCTAGGAATTGATAGCCAAGGTCAAAACTACATTTTCCAGCCATTTTGCACCAATACCTACATGAACCCATATAACTACTTCTCAATTTTGACGACTTTTCTTATTTTGTTGGCAAAATAAGACTGAACTCGCTTTGTTTAATTTCTGTGGCAAAGATTTTACGAAATGAGAGATGATGAAGATGATGGAGTCACAAGACAGAAGCGGCATCAGTTCCCATAAGCCAAACATTTGCCAGGGGAAAGTGAGTTTTCTACCAATCAGGAAAGCCTGTTTAGGACTTTCATGAATGAGAAATAAACTTTTAAAAGTTTAACCATTATCCATTTTGGAATTTTAAAAATAGCAGTAAAATAATATTACCATAAATAACACATTCATTTTTCAGAAACTAAAAGAGAATTATTTAAACAAAGATGGTTAGGTTTTTATGGTCTTGCTCTATTAAATAGGTAGAACAATACTTTAAATTAAAATCTGTGAAATACTAATTATGCGTTTCAAAAGAAACTTACTAATGGGAACATATCTGGTTGAGTTTCAATGCTAGTAATTTTAATGAAGGCGGATTGTATGAAATATCCATCTTAACATTTTATTTACAGGCCTAACAATTTTTAATCTCTGTACATTAATAATAATTTATAGAATGGTCTGTCATTGTAAGTGATCCTTTATGAAGTCATGAACTGAGAAGAATTAATTGCCTAAAAGTAAACTTTAATTTCTCAAAGTTAAAACAAAAACAAAAACAGAATGAGGCTAAATTGTGGCAAAAAGCTATTACAGCAAAATTTTACCTACACCTTGGTGCTCCATGAGTTACAATGGAAACTATCTTTTTTAAAATCCTGTTTAGTTTCCTAAATCTGTTAGTTGTTCCTATAAGCCAAGGCATCCTAAAATTGGTATAGCTGACTATTTGCAAAGTACTTTGCTAATTTGAATATCCTTCCTTTCCTCAAATTTATGAAGCATTTCACGACGCAGTAATAACAAACAAGAGACCATAGATTTCCCCATACACATATCATGCACTATTGGATCTAATATCATTTATAATATTATTGGATTTTACAGGAGCTATTATTACTCCCTTTTGTCAGAAAAGTGTTGAATTTTCCCAAGCAGAAATAAGTCTTGTAGCTCTTCATTTGCATTTCAGAAGCCACATTTCCAGGCATTTACTCTTTGTATGTAAACAGATGGATTTTAAGTATTAAAAACCCATTTGGTATGACTGAAAACTTAACCGCCTACATTCCCCCATTACAGAATCCTTGGGTGTGAAATTGAAAAGTGAATTATACTATGTTCATTCTGAAGCGAGTTCATCTAAAGCTTTGTCTTTGTTAAATTGAGGGGGAGGTTTATTTATGGACAAAGATTACAAAAGGAACTGCTGGAAGGCTGGATACTGATCCCAAACTATGAAGTGGTAACTGCAGTTGATTTCCAAAGGTGTGGTTTGGGTATATCTGAGATGGCATTTTTTTTTCAATTGCCTAATGAATATATCACAGACAAGTAAATTGTAATAAGACAGAACAAATAAAAGTGGGATTCACTTTCCTGAGGTTCCCCCAGTTTGCATGTCCATCAACACCCCGCCTACTAATGTTGCTCCCTGTTGCATTCCAACAAAAGTTTGTCCAAAAGGTTTAGATTGAAAGTCAGTCAATATTAATGCTCTATCTCCTTATTACAAAGCAACACATGGACAACTGGATTATAATATTTTCCCCATAAAGCAACTGATATTTTGGAAAACAGAGGAGAGTGACTTGAGGTGAAGGAGAATAAGCAGCAGGAGTTGAGGCAGGTTTTGAATAAAATATCTGTTTTGTACAAAGATGCATTAACAAGTAATAGTAAAGACAAGTACCATGGGCCTCTGAGTCCCCTTCCTCTAATGCTATTTTCCCTAGCAGGGCAGATTTGATTGCTCTATTAACTGTAGACATTTCATCTAGAGTTACAAAGAGTAAAAAATTGGTCCATTATGCTCATTCTCAGAAGTAGTAAATTTTCCAAAAAAGACAGTACAACTACAGAGAGAGAGACAGAGAGAGAGAGAGACTGCATGCACTAACACACAGTCATTCAGAGTTAATAAAACAGAACAGGACACATAATGTTGTACTATGCCATTCATTTAAAGTGACTGAAAAATATTTAGAAAAATAGCTGGGAGATGTAGGAAAATATTCTGTGTTGCACACAATAAGAATCAAAAGTGGCATGTGTTTAATTTTTAAGGCTGCAGAATTTAGACTCAAGAATAAACAGTTACATTTCCAGTGAGATCCACCATTGTTCCTTTCGGGAGGTAAAAGCACGGACTATGACATTAGATCAATTGGTGGCTAGCTCAGTTACTTAACTTCTCAGAGCCTCATCATGTTAGTCTTAATGCTTGCCTTCTTCTTACAGGTGTGGTAAGGTATCCAAGAGGTAATAGGAATCAAACTGAGATCCAATACTTCTTTACCTAGGAAATGACTATAAATCAATAAAAGATTCTCAAGTTCAAAAAGAAATTTTAAACTAGAAGCTCCAAGTTTTTCAGTTTTTAAGTGTTGGTAAAATTCATATATACATGTAAGTGAAAACATGTTTTTCTAAGTTATACTTAATTTCTGGGATTAATCACTCAAATAGTGCTGGCTTGTCTAGTCTTGATGATTAAGAAATGTGTCATTTTCTTCTCAGGTTAGTAGGGCTTTATTATTATACATTATATCCCTAAATACAAAGCAAACACAAGGTGTTTCTCCTATTTTCCCATTATGGAACTGATGTTCCATACATATTTTTCTTAAAATTGGCCATATAAAATGTTTAACTTTTACAAATTAGATACAATAGCCAAATGTCTAGATATAATATTTAATCGACTAATGTAGTTAATTAATTTGAGCACATAAAATATTTTATTTGCTTAGAAATAATTATTTTCCCCATCTAAATCCCAATGAACATTTTTAAGCCATTTTTCTCCACATAAACCTTCTGCACCATTGCCTTCATTATGGTTAGAGCTATTTCTAGAGTGATCCAGTGGTTTTCCAGAGCTGCGGATCTGTTTCAGTTGCTTGAGATACAGCATGCTCACGTCATATCGATATGTGATTGCATAACTGGAAACTGTATGCCCATATATTTGGACTTCAGTCTTTTAAACTGTATTCTGTAGCATTTATCTGTGGTTAGAACCACTTACCATGTTGCTTTCTAAAGTGACCTCTGAGAAGATCATTTACAAAGATGTCCAAAACCAAGATGTTCTTAGTTTTGAGTGAGTATTAAATAGCCACTTTTAGGCATCTATCACTATCCACGATTGGGAGGATTTTTTTTTCTTTTTTTTTTTTTTGAGACAGGGTCCCCGGGCTCAGGTGATTCCTGCACCTTAGACTCCCAAGTAGCTGGGGCAACAGGTACACGCCACCACGCTCAGCTAAGTTTTGTATTTTTTGCTGAGACAGGGTTTCATCATGTTGGCCAAGCTGGTCTCGAAATCCTGGCCTCAAGTGATCTGCTCGCTTCGGCCTCTCAAAGTGCTGGGATTGCAGGCATGAGCCACTACGCCTTGTCTGGGAGATCTTTTTTAATGTGTCTTCTGCCACATGATATTTTGTTTTTAAAAATAAAATAATTGTAAAAGTGTGCTATAATTTAAGACCCATGGTAAAAACTACAATACACATAAACTTCCTTTTTCAGGGGGAAGTGGACAAATGTTTTACATTTGGATCTATAGTGTGCTGGGAAGCTTTAAAACCTTCTTCTTTTTCCCATAAGCATTCTCATTATGCTACGTTGCTTAATTTGCTAGTCTACTAATATCAACCATATCTTCAGTTCCTTAGTTGGTCTGTTACTCACTTAAGTAGTCAGTGAATATTTTTCGAGGGCCTACTATGGGCAAAATGAAATGAAAAAGCCTCAAGTAGTTTATGATCTGCAGGAAAATAGAAAATTGGATAATTATAATTTTCAAAGATAAATGCCATGGCCAGCCTTGGGCTTGGGGTGTTTGGGAGTAAAGCACAGCTCATGTGTGAATATGTGTGTACATGCACACACACACAGACACACACACTTCTGCACATGCACTTGCATCACCCAGACACACACACTAGTCTAGTGGTGAGGGTGGTGATGGTTCACAAAAAGCTTCTGGGAGGAGGCATTGCTAGAGCCGATCCTGGAAGGATGTATAAGAATCTGTGAGCTGCAGAAAAGCAGGCGTGGAAGGTATAGAGGGGAATCATAGGCTACTGAGGAAATGCAAACAATGCTTTTATGTTTGAGTGTACGGTGCATATTGAATGGTGATGAGAGATTACATTGGAAAGGTTGGTGGGAGACACACTGTGGAAAGCCCTGCTTACAAATCCAAGGAGTTCTGATTTTATTCTAAAGGGAAGACAAGCCATCACAATATGTGATACGACAAGGGGTGACATGATCGGGTTCATGTTGAACAAAGATCCCTCCAGCAACACTGCAAAGCAAGGATAGGACAAAATGAAACTGGAGATAGGGAGATTATCTAATGGGTGGGGAATAATGTGGCTTTCAGTAATAGCAATCAAGTCCATTTTGCTATTCTTTGTAGACATGCCAAAGCAAGGGTCTTTTAGACTTCATTTTCTATGTATTTTCTGTACATATCAGCACAAGGTCTAGAAGTCTATGGTTTCCTTCATATCTGTTAGTGTTCTTTCTAACCAGAACAGGTGAACAGGGGATCGTACATTTTTTCTACACAATTTTCTTAGAACCCCAATATTTTCACATGTGCACACACATAGGCATTCTTCACATTCATTTCCTTAACCTCTAAACTTCTGGATATTACAATAATTTTATGCTTGTAAGCAATAACCTTGTAGCGTATCAAAATCAATACATTTCTTTGCTGTACCTTACACTGTTAAAAGACTTCATTAATTTTTACACAAGTTGCTGTGAAGTCTGTTTTCCAAATTAGAAGGTCAAGTTTGGCACAAGGAATCAGGAGACGTTTTTAGGCCAACACTTGCTCTACTCCCCAAAGTGGAAGCCTACTTACACAATAGGAGGACAAATTAGCTTTCACGTTCAAGTACTGTCTGTTATTAGAATCATAAATCATAAAACATTCTGCAGAACAGCAAATACTATAAATGCTCTTTCAAAACAATCATTAAAACTTAATAATGCATTCTTCTTGTCTAAGCCAAGAATTTAGAATGAATTAGAAAGTTTGAAGATGGTCTTGTGCTAATCTCACTGGTTTATTCACCATTCCCTGCATCCAGATATAGTCCTCCACAGCCTACATTTTGTTCATGTCTCACTCCCCACCGCCCGGGATATTTTCTTAGCAATTCTGAGAAATGCCGTAATGCTTTCATCTTGAAATGTCCTTTTTTTTTTTTTTTTCTGAATTCCCAGAGCAACTACTGTTGGTAAGTATTTCATTGGCAATAAATCATAAACTGTCTTGGACACCTTTTCTATTTTAGTCTTGAATTGTTGCAATCCAGAATTAATAGCAACAATCATCCCTTCTGTAGGTTTTACAGCTTACAACTGTTTCATGTAAACTGTGATCCTGAAAAATATCCTGTGACATATAAAAGGAGAAGGTATTCTCTTTCCTTTATAGGTAAGAAAATTAGCACTTATTTATTAATTCCTTTAATATGTGGCAAGGGATATAAAGAATAAGAAGACACATTTTCTCAAGGAGTTTAAAGTCTAGTTGGAAATTGCTGGGTCAAATAGTATTTCTGGTTCTAGATCCTTAAGGAATCACGGCACTGTCTTTCACAATGGTCGAACTAATTTAGACTCCTACCAACAGTGTAAAAGTGTTAGTGTTTCTCCATAGCCTCACCAGCATCTATTTTTCCTGACTTTTTCATAATCACCATTCTGACTGGAGTGAGATGGTGTCTCATTGTCGTTTTGATTTGGATTTCTCTAATGCTCTGTAATGATGAGCTTTTTTTTCATATGTTTGTTGGTCACATAAATGTCTTCTTTGGAAAAGTGTCTGTTCATATCTTTTGCCCATTTTTTGATGGGGTTCTTTGTTTTTTTCTTGTAAATTTGTTTAAGTTCCTTGTAGATTCTGGATATTAGACCTTTTACCCAAAGGATTATCAATCATTCTAGTATAAAGACACATGCACATGTATGCTTATTGCAGCACTATTTACAATAGCAAAGACTTGGAACCAACTCAAATGCCCATCAATGATAGACTGGATAAAGAAAATGTGGCACGTATACACCATGGAATACTACCCAGCCATAAAAAAGAGTGGGATTATGTCCTCTGCAGGGACATGAATGAAGCTGGAAACCATCATTCTCAGCAAACTAATACAGGAACAGAAAACCAAACACCACATGTTCTCACTCATAAGAGGGGGTTGAACAATGAGAACACATGGACACAGGGAGGGGAACATCACACACTGGGGCGTGTCAGGAGGTGGAGGGCAAGGGGATGGAGAGTGTTAGGACAAATGCCTAATGCATGCGGGGCATAAAACCTAGATGACAGGTTGATAGGTGCAGCAAACCACCATGGCACATGTATACCTATGTAACAAACCTGCATGTTCTGCACGTGTATCCTGAAACTTAAAGTAAAATTTAAAAAAAAAAGTCTAGTAGGAGAGACAATGAAGACTTTAAGTTCCCAAAGGATATAAAACAGATAATACATTTATTTTTAAAAACCCCAAGATTTAACACATCCCCTCTCCACCAGACTTCATTAGACTGTTTTTTTTTTCTAGTTCATGAAATATTTCCGTATTGGTCAATTCAGCAGATGCTTTTAAGTACTTATCTTGCTGACTTCTTGGCAGTACTAGAAACAGTGCATTTTATGTCATCACATTCTCTTGCATAACTGCCTCCTTTTTAATTCAGTACTGCTCAGGCATTTAGTAGCATCTTTCTTCTTATCTAACCATTACATGTTGGTGTTCCTCAGAGTTCACTCTACAGCCCTTTCATTTCACTCCACATACTCTACCTGGACAATGTTGTTCACTTTTATGACGTGATTCAAATCTCAATGAGAAGAATTCCCAAACCTCTATTCACAGCCGAAATATACCCTCTCACTACCACCACATATATCCAGCTACAGACTGTACTTGGATGTCCTCAATCTTAATTAGTTCAAAACTGAATTCATTCTTCCTCCTCCCAAATCAGTTTCACTATGATGTTCCTTATTTTAATAAAAATAGCTCCACAACCACCTACTATTTAAAACCTGAAACTTGGAAGTCTTCCTAATAAGAAGCATGTCCATTTAATCACAACGTTTAATTTCTTGGTATTTCTTAAATCTATCTATCCCCTTCTCTTCAAATGTAGTCTCTATTCTCTTGTCCTTGAGTCCTTAGTGTCTCTCATTGCCCATTCCAATCAATGTCACCTGACTTTATTAGCTCTCTGAGATCTGACCCCTGCCAGCTCTCTAGCTATATCTCTATTTTTTGTTTTGTTTTTAAATAAATCTCTATGCTTTGGTCAAATAAATTTGTTTCTTAAACCTTCTTTCTCTCACATGTAATTTTGCTCAGACCTTACCACTTCCTTAGGAATACACTTTTCCACCTCTTTACTTGGCTAGCCCTCAAACATCATTCTGCTTCCTTTGGGAAGTCTTTTCTAATCCCCTAAACAAGCTGAAATGTCTTGGTTGTGCTTCCATAGAGCCTTCACATTTTATTGCACTCTCCATTTTTTTTTTTGCAATTACTTATTTGTCCCTGTTCTTCATTGGCTTTGTCTATATTTTATATCATTGTTGCCTTGTTTTGTCTTATACCATAGTGCCTTACACAAATTAGATCTTCAAAAAATGTTCTTTAAATTAATACATGAATGGTTGAGTGAATGAATTTTGAACCAGAAGATTTTGAATCCTATACAGTTTACATTGCGTTCTACTGCCCAGCATCTGATTTTTTTTTTTTTTTTTTTTTTTTTTTGAGACAGAGTCTCGCTCTGTCGGCCCAGGCTGGAGTGCGGTGGTGTGATCTCGGCTGCAACCTCCACCTCCTGGGTTCAAGTGTTTCTCCTGCCTCAGCCTCCTGAGTAGCTGGGATTACAGGCGTGTGCCACCCCCGGATAATTTTTGTATTTTTAGTAGAGATGGGGTTTCACCATGTTGGTCAGGCTGGTCTCGAACTCCTGACATCGTGATCCACCCGCCTCGACCTCCCAAAGTGCTGGGATTATAGGCGTGAGCCACCTCGCCCAGCCGCATCCGATATTTTTAGAACTTACACTGTTCAGTACAGGAGTTAGCAGTGGTTAAAACACAAACTTTGGAAAGAGTTATGATTTCAAATTTACGCTTCCAAATTTGCTAGCTCTGTAACTTTAGATATTAAAATTTAAAATGGAATAATATTAGCTGCCTCATAGAGACCTGAAAATTATGTCAGATACTTTCTTAATTTTTGAATCATCTGTTTCTAGCACAAAGCCTGGTACACAAAAACTGCTCAATGTTTATTAAAAAATAAATACCTCTGTTAACAAAGGGAAATATACAGTATTACTAAGAATCAGCATGTTTATTATAAGAGGTAGAAATATTATAAGATACATTGGGGTTCTTTAATTTTGGTTCCACTTTAACTTGGGTACTTCTTGTACCCTGAAACCTAGTGAGTATTTTCTCACATGTTTTCTTTACAGGAAGTGTGAATGTGTGTGAGTGTGTTTGTGTGTGTGTGTATGTGTGAATTGGGGGCAGGGAGGTTTTGTTAGGAAGTCCTTATAGGAGAATTAATTTTACAGATTACAGGCCCAGTGATATGTTTTTCCCAGTGAAGAAGATGTTAAAAAATAAATAACTTCTCTATGGCATTGATGTAGTCCCTGTACTTTCTCAATTTCAAGTGAAGGTCTAATTACTGGGATGACAAGATTTCTTAGAGAAAGGGATAGACATAATCTATCAAACATAGATATTTGAAGGATGCAGACTTTTTAATGCATGTTCAGAATAAAAGTGAAAGGGTATTCAATCATAAACATAACCTTAATTATAGAGTCAGAAAGTAAAAACAAAGGAATTTGAATGGAGAACGTTGAGTGTGTGTGTGTGTGTGTGTGTGTGTGTGTGTCTGTGTGTGTGTGATTTCCCAATGAGTACTGGAATTCTCTGAGAGTGTTTTGCAAAATTTAGTGATGCCTTTTTATCTTCACCATCTGTAACAACAACACAAACTAGTAGTAAATCTTTACATAATGCTTACCATGAAGCAGGCAATGTTTTTAGTGCATTATACATATTAACTCTTTTAATCTTTATAAAAGGGTCATGGAGTAATTACAGTCAGCTTTAATATCTTCAGGTTCCCCATCAGTAAATTTGACATCGTTGGTTGAATCCATCCATGTGGAACCCATGGATACCAAGGGTGGCCTGTGAGGGACTTGAAATTCACAGATTATGGTATCTGTGGGGATCCTAGAACCAATCCTCGGATACCAAGATACCAAGGGATAGCCATACTATTATTGTTAACTCCATTTTACAGATGGAGAAACTAAGGCTCAGAAAGTTTAAATAACCTGCCCAAGGCCACATAGTTATTAAGTGAGCATAGCTACGATTCGAAAGCCAGTATTCAGGCTTCAGGGTCCATGTCCTTAACCACTGTGGTATCTGCTCCCCCACGGTCAAGCCCCTGATGCTTACCTTGTGTTGTCATCACAAGGCCCATCAAGGGCCACACACAGGCCTTTTTGTGCACTTCTGGGTCAAATTTTCTAAATCAAGAGCTCATGCTCTAGCTGACAGCCAGTTCTAAGAAAAATGTTACCAAACCATCAGACTCCCTCAACCTATGGATGTAGCTCAGCAGTGCTATGTGAGTACAGACATCCAAGAACAAAACGCTGATATGATCACAGGGAGGGAAGTCACAAAGAAGCCAAGAAAAAAAGGCAAGTCTTCCCAGTTCCAGATCTATCCTGACCTGGTCTGAAGATCAAAGACTTTTACCTCCTTCAGAGGGCAAGCAACAGTTCCTTTATTTCTTCAGGCTACAGGAGAGGTGGGATTCCAAAGCTTATGTCTACCTGTTGGGAACAATTTTCCTAGATCATCTCTCAAGCCAATCAGAGAGCAGGCAGGAAGGATGAGGCTCAGAGGACAGAGAGGTAATGCGTGGAGAAAGGTGTGATACCACGCTGAGGATGGAAAATCACTGGAGGGTCTATAAAAAGAACAGGAAAGACTTGGGTGACATGTGGTTGGGTCCAGGAAGGAGATATACAAATCTGAAAAGAGAAGCATATTGGGACAGAGGGAAAGAATAGAATAGGGGGATTGGGTAAATGTAGAAGAGAAGAGCTGATGGATTGAGAAAGGCCTTTTGTGGAGTCCTGGGGGCTGTCTACATGGGGAGTAACAAGGGCAGGCTGCCATGATGAACTCGAAGACTGGGCTTCAGAGAAAACACAGGTCAGATAACTTCATACAGGTGAAGAGGAGAGTCTATAAGTGAAGCTACTACCAAGGATTCAGGTTCACAGGAAGGTGCCAAAATGACTCCATCAAGGCAGAATGGACTTAGTATGCATGCACACTCTGGATGGGAAGGCCAATGTGAGAATGAAAAAGATGATTTTGCATAGTTGTACTACATTTGCTTTATGGCATATATGTTTATCTTTACTTTACCCTGGCTTTATGATGAGAATCCAATGTCCATTTCTGTTATCTTGTTATGTTTTGTGTCTTTGCTAATTTTATCAAGTCCTTCTTTAGAAACGATGTTGTATATAAATTTTAGAAAACAGCCAGCCGGGCACAGTGGCTCACGCCTGTAATCCCAGCACTTTGGGAGGCTGAGGTGGGTGGATCACCTGAGGTCAGGAGCTTGAGACCAGCCTGACCAACAGGGAGAAACTCCATCTTTACTAAAAATACAAAAATTAGCCGGGTGTGGTGGCACATGCCTTAATCCCAGCTACTCGGGAGGCTTGAACCCTGGAGATGGAGGTTGCGGTGAGCCGAGATAGTGCCATTGCACTCCAGTCTGGGCAAAAAGAGCGAAACTCCGTCTCAAAAACAAACAAACAAACAAAAAAATTAAAACAAAACAAAACAAAAATCCTACAGTTAAATAATGTATTTTTTTCTGTTTCTCCCCAGTGATAAGTCATAAAAGTCTTAAAATCAAAAGGCTAGTAGGTGCTGAATTATTCTGGGGGGCTACAAAGAAGGGGAAACATGAGATTATGTCCTCTTCCATGAAAATTCCTAACGATAGAGAAGATGGTGTGCACACTTACAGAACTAAAAACCAGATGCACACTTGACATCAGCAACAGAAAAGAAAAGAATATAAATTTTTCTGTGTTTTACTCTCTGGCTTGCATTCTGGGGAACTTCTTTGGTTGTATTGAGTTATGTCCAATCTGATATTTACTTTTTACTTGGGTTTTTAATTTTCAATTTGTTGATTTTTTAAATACAAGTTGTTTTGCTTCTTTTTGACATATATTTAGTCAATCTTGATAATTTACTATTACTTTATAGGGCTTTCAATTCCCAAGTATATTTCTTCAAACATATTATATATTTGCTTCATGTGCTGAATCTGATCATTCTAATGCTTATAGTCTTTGTGGGGCTGATTTGTACTTTGCTGTTTTCATTGATTTTCCTCATGTTGGCTTGTTTTCTGAGCAGGTTGAGTAATTTTATACTGTGAGATTAACTTTCTTAGAAATATTTGTCAGATTTATTTGAGGCATCTGTTTAAATAGCATTCATTTAATATATAATTATTCCAAGTAATTCTGCTAGGTTTTTGGGTGTCCTATCATCTTGAGGCCATTTTAATCTTAAATTTTTGACAGGATTTTTCAGGTCATATATGTCTACGAATTTGAGTTAGAAATTCTCAGAGGAGACTGTTCATTTTCTCTACTCCTCCCACAGCTGAAGTAAAGATTTTAAAATATGCTTTTATGTGACTAGTAGCTTCCCTCCCTCCCTCCCTTCTTTCTTTCCTTCCTTCCCTCCTTCCTTCCCTCCTTCCTTCCCTCCTTCCTTCCCTCCTTCCTTCCTTCCTCATTTAAACTCTAAAGTTGTTGCCAGTTGAAAGTCCTGAAATTGTATAGAAATCTCTCAAACTTTGAACCTTGCTATTTCTAGCTTTAGAAAATTGCTTCTGGCCTTTCTAGGACTATTTACAAACCAGGTTCTAAGTCAATTATTCCCAGTTAAGGGTACTATTTCCATGTTTGGAATCGTTTGAAATCATGTGGAGTCATTTTTGCTTGTTTAATAGCTAAGGAGTGTTGTTATTCCTTCGAGGAACATTGCTCTCTAGTCTTCTAGAGTCTAGCCGAGACCACCAAAATTGGTAAATGCCCTTGAGACAAGCTCTGCCTCCAGAATGAGTCTTACTATGTGGAAGGCTTACTTTACTATCTGCCATGATACACAGATAAAGACTTATATATAGTTTTCCAGTATTTTAGGTATTCTATACCAACATAAATTTTTCTGAAATGTCAGTTGGTCACATCACTAGAAATGCAGGGCAAAAATACTTGTTGCGTTGAAAAAATTTTGATTATATACCAAAGCTATATCATGTAAAATTACCTAGTGCAAAGTAAGCACTTGAAATGTGTTAGTTTCCTGTAAATGGGAAATATCAGCAAAAATTTTTGACAACAGTGGACAAACATAGAATTCTGTCTTCGCTGCATAGTACGTAATTTGATGATGTTAAAATATTCTGAACTGAAGAAAACTTATATTTCCTAATCAATGTCTCTGGGAAGATGCCAGTTGTTAGTTTTCACAAAATCAGATTGTCACCACTCAAGTCAGCTGATTATCTAAAGTTGGATGTAAATCAACTCAGCAGCAGCCTCCCTGATGAATATTAATGTGGGTCTGTGAACCATTCTCTCTTCTTCCAGGAGGTAACTTTACTCACCATGTTGCAAAACCTCACTCACGTCATTTGCTTTTGCTAAGAAAATACGCTTATGCAGATTTGAATTTCTTTGTCACTAATCTAATAACCACATCCATAGAGATAAAAACACACGGTCTCCTGAAATATATATACTGGCTAAGTGAGAATGTAAGAAGACTGGTTTACAATGAGATTTAACACATCTAGCTAAAAATTTGATTCTTGAGGGATTTTGTGAAACCACGGAGTGTCAGAGGAAAATGAACTATCAAATTGTTCAATAAATCAGCTCTTGTTCATAATAAATTAATAAATCACGTGGAAATATTTCTCATATAAACAACACCCAAGAGGCCACTGCTATTGCAAAAGTGCTGAGGGGATGAATTTAAGACAATTTCTGGAGACATTCCTCTTCTTTGGAAACATATTTTTTTCAGTTTTGTGTCTTTGCTAATCATATCAATTACCAGTAATTAACAAAGATCAAAGTAAATAAACATATCAGCATTTAACCATGTCATAAGCTGACTTTGAAGACAAAAAGCCTAAGCTGAAGAACGTGTGCTCTCACATTATTTCATAGAAAGACTGCATGTCTAAATCAGTGTGGCAGATTTGAAATACAGTGTGGTGAAAAGACTCAATTATTGAAAGAGCTGATAATTTTGCAACAACATGGAAATATTTAAAGTCATCCTTGGCTTTTGTGAGAAATTTTTTTTAATGAAAGATAAAAATAAGCCATTCTATGGCATCAGATAACAATTTTTACCACATATGATATTGAATAAGGGCAGGAAATTTTTTACATGAGTACTGCCTATCTCAGTTTCAATATGAGTCTCTTCTGGAAAGATGTGTTCCAAGGGATATTACATGTGAGGGTACTTTGGAAGTATAAAGCTCCATAAAATCACAAGGCCTGGTGATTGTCATCATTATCCCCAGTCTACTTTCTCATTTCCCCAGACTCAAAGAAAACAGTGTATTGCCTGTGATAGGCTCAGCTCACGTATCCATATTGTGATGATGGTGATTATCACTATTTTGGGGAGTTGTGGGGAGCAGTTTGTATATATTGATCTTGACTGTGACATTTTCTGACTGTCATATATCGCTGGCCATCTGGGTGAAATCATGAATGACAACAAAGTTGCTGAGTGCCTGTGCTTCTCATGGGGTCTTGTGAATTGAGACCAGCAGAGAAAGCAGCAGTGCTTACCTCTGCTTGAGTCACACAGAAAGCAACAGGTGCCATCTAATGCAGGATCCTTGGGGGCCTGTGTAAACAGCCACCGGGAGAAACTGCCACAAGAGAACCAAGTTAACAGACCCAAACACAGTGCTCTGAGGTGGTATACAGTGGAAAATGAGAGGAAGGCATTAGCTATTACAATACTGAACTATTCAAAGGCAAGGGACCTGTGGGGCGTTCTTAGTTTAGAGAAAGCATTCATATATTATACAGTGATGTTATGTCGACCAATTTTCTGGAAATATAAATAAATTTGTATAAAACAGGTTGGTACTCTGGACACAGAGGGATAAAAATTCGAAGGGAACAAACTGATAAGTAATTTCATATAATTTGGATTTTGAATCTTTGTCACTAGGCTTTCTGACTCATTAATGTATTCTCAGAAACCTTTTGAAAAAACTTTCTCATGGTGAAAGTCACCCACTCAACATTATTTTTACTGTGTCAGTAGTGCTATATTTGCTTGGGCAGGGATATTAAAATATTCATTAAACAATTATTTAAGGTCACCCAGGAGAATGCATTTATCCCGACTGCCCAGCAGTATGAATGGGCTCTAGTGGAGACCAGGGAAGGAAGGCTCCCTATGGTCATGGGCTCTCTGGTTCTGTCCTTCTTTCCAGCCACTGACTAGAGGTGGAGACCGTTTGGCAGGATGAACTCCAGTGTCTGACAGATTGTGACACAGAATATTCCCTGGGTTGCTCAAGGTACGCTCTCAAATCCTAAGCCTCACTCACATAAGTATCCCCATGGCAGAGAATTTCTGACCTGCACAACCCGTATTGACAACCAACCACTGTCAGTCTCTACATAGAAACATTTTATTATGGTTGTTGTGTTGTTGGTCACCCTGAACTTGTCCTCAGAATCTATTGAGACAATAGTTTCCTTATTAGGCTTTTTCTTAGTGATAGTAGTTATAGTGGAACTAATTTACTAAGTTCCTGATACACCACAAATGTATCAGGTGCTCTACACAGTGCTTTATGTATATACTATATTATTTCAATCCCCTCAACAGTTCTGCAAAGCAGGATAATTAATCACCTTTTACAGATAAGAAGGCTACAACTCAGAAGTTAGGTAATTGATTTGTAATCATGGAGCTTAACAAATGGCAAAAGACAGGATTCCACATGGGCTTTCCTGACTGCAAGTTCTTTCCACTGTACTATTCATTACCATCCATGTTCAAACAACCCTTAGACCCAAGCTCTTTCCATCATTTATGAAATGTATGGCTGGGTACATTACAGAAGCCTTTTGAGTCATTCTTTTGTCATTTATATTTAAGGATTTTTTATGATGAAGGATATCATAGCACATATAAAATGTGCAGAGGACTGTAAGGTAACCAGAAGCGGATTGTCCCTGTGTAGATGAATACCCAGCACAGTCTCCCCCGGTTCCTGGTCCCATCTTGCTCAGAGCACTTCATTCTGTAATGAGCGTGCCTCATGGCCATTAGAATGGGCAGTGTCCAGATAATCCAACTGATACCACCTTTAACATAGTTAAAAATTTAGGGACCTACCATTTTTAGAAATAATTAGAGGCAGCTTTAAATAAAAGAAGTACTTAGAAAAGCAGAGATGGATGAAAAGAAAAGAAAACCCCTTCCCTGATGAAATGATCAATAAAATAGAATTAAGGGCTGAAAGTACAGACCACAAATGCCAGTAACTTTTGTGAAAGCTCCAGTCAACAACACTGCATTGCCTTAAAACACCATTTTATAACTAAAACCAATTAAATAATTAACCAACATCACACATATAGCAAATCCCAAAACTGTAAATCAACAAAAATCTGAAGTGCTGAGTCACTGATTTCAGAAGCAATTTCTACACCAAATCCTCTTTAAGAGGTAAGCTGGCAAGACACACTAACACTTAAAAAACTGTAATAGAGAAACACACAGCTGGAAATCCATTTCAGAAAACTATCAAATTTAAATAACAAGTCAAAATTTGAAAACAGTGTCAGTGCTACAGACAAAATATTAGAAAGTAGAATAATAAGCTGAAGCTTTTATATATGACTTTTAAACAGATCCAGATTTCATAGAGGTTAAGACCTTCTCACAGCAGCAGAGGCAGCGAGAATTTGAAATCAGATCTGTTTTTAAATAATATCTCTATCTCTTGCTAGACAAATGACCAAGGACAGTTTTCTCAAACTTTTCTGACCTGGGTTCCCTTCTATATAAATAGGGCTGTATTGAATAACCATAAAGGATTGTTGCTGGTGTATGTGAATTATCTACATGAAATGTGTGCACTTATCATGTTTCCTAGTTAGCAATGGACTTTCATCATGATTATGAAATTCTTAACATATGATGGAACAATAAAAACTAGGTATTATCATAACAATGTTTGCAGTAAGGAAAATTCCCTAAAAATAAAGACTGGAAAATAAAAGGAGTAGAGATTATGCTGAATTTAGTTACAACTTCAAAGCTGTTTCTGGAGTTAAGAATTGTATACACAATGCATGTAATACGCATGTCATGAAGGCAGAGTTGTATCGGCAAGGCTAGGAATCCCCTGATAACTTTTTCCTCCCTGCATTTGAGTCTGCATTTGCTGTAAGTGACCTTTGGGTACACACAGTCGTGATGGAGCCTTTTTCCAAATATCCTGTCCTCTTATGGGTACCGCTAATTGGAGAGCACAGGAGACTTTCTAATCGTGTGTGTGTGTGTGTGTGTGTGTGTATGTGTGCGTGTGTATACACATGCATGCATGCACGCTTGCATGTGTGAGCACCTCTCTAAAAATATATCTTATTTGTTGGAAAATGTAAATGCAAAGTAGTAAAACCAGAAATATCATAGTTTATATATTTTAGATAAAATTCAAAGGAATTATATATATTTAGACCCTATTATCCCTGGTATTCAGCTATAATTTATATCTGTGTTTCATTGTTGTGGTTAGATAATTTATATCTAAATTATGTACTTGAAGCAATTTTTTTCTTGTGTTAAAAGGCCTTAACATTTATTGTTATTAGTTGTTGCTGGTTGTTTGTTAGCTGTTTTTCTCCTTCATACTCATAATTCTCCCCAATCTTATTTTCATATATTCTGTTTGCTTATTAGAGGATCTTTTTTTGTCTGTGGTAAATTTTCTAATAAATAGAAAGTGCCAGTTATCTAATCTCTGACTCTGGCTTTGGTTTTAAAAATAAAATTTTTATTTTATAAATAAAATAATTATTTTAAATATTTAATAATAAACAATTTATTTATGTGGGGTAAGGGAGAGAGATTTACAGTCAAATAATCATACTACTGCAAAACCTCTCCTGTGACAATTTCCAATCACAGATTCCCTACTAATCCATTTTTCAGACTTTGAAGCTAGGACTACATTTACAAAATACATTTAAAATTAATTTAAACACTACAAGACTGATGCATTAGTTGCTTTTGTGTTTTTCTTCTGCAATCACTTCACAGGTTATCAGATGGTTACAAACCTATTCTTAAGCAATAGTTACAATCTGAGATCACCAGAACAGGAAATCTAAGTCAAATCGAAACAGGAAACAATTACAATACTTGAAGAAGGAAAGTTTCCTTTTTTTTTGTTTTTCCCAAGAGCCAGTTGCGGTTAGGGTTGTAAAATTCTGCACAGTGACTATAAGAAGTGGTGTTAATAGTGGAGAAGTATGAGAAACCTACATTTCAGTGAACAAGGGGCAATGTATTACTCTGGTCACTTAAACAAGTTGAGAAATGTTAATTGGAATGTTAATAGCATCTAAACCAATCATATTTGTTTACCCTCAAAACGTGTTACTGGCAAAAGTCCTGAAATTGAGTTTGTTTGACAGTGCTGAATCATAGTAAAACATCTGAATAAAAGATTTTACATTCTTGAAAATATTATATGTATAGATATAGCCCTGGTCATGCTTGAAAACTGTGGGTTAACCACTTCAGAGTATCTGCCCTGAGCTCTCTGTAAGGGCTTCATGCACCTCTTTATCTGAGAAACCCTTTTCAGGCCAATACCCTGGAGAAGAATAGATCAAGACTAAGTATAATAGGAAGATTAGCTAATGTTTCTTTTACATTACCATACCACTTATTTTTTTTATTATAATAGATTACTGGAACAATTCTCTGAAAAGCCACCATTGCTTCAAATCCTTGGGAGTGAGAAATTCAGAGAAATTTCTGTCTGTAGTTGATAGAAATATGATTCTATTTTTTAAACGCCTAATTGAATGTTTATGAGAATTAGTCTACAGTTTTTTGATGAATAGGGGATGCAAACTTTCATTAAGCTGTAATGACCTTTATAAAATTTCTTGGGGAAAAATGAATCTTGACCTTGGCAACTAGCAAAACAATTAGAACATGGCTATTTCATGGTTATTTCACCAGTACATTGTCAACAATGAAGCATAATAGTTTGATGGTGTGCATTCATGCAGAGTAGGGAAAAGGCCACATTTGCATGGAAATTCAATTTATAATTGTTTTTATATTTTATTGATGCTTGGTGAATTGGATGTAAAAGATGCCATTTTTAAAGGGGAATCAAATTTGACAAATCATGTAGCCGGGTAAACACTTACAGTAATTATAATAGTAATTGCACTCTGTTCTATTTAGTGATATTATGGGGTAAGAAGAAAACATGTACCCACTTCAATAATTCTAGATATTTACTAAGGTCAAAGGGACTTATGTTTTGGAGCATGTTTTCATGCTTTTTAACCAGGGTTAGCATGAAATCCATTTAAATAAGATTAAATTTGAGAAATCCAGGACTTGATAATCAGGGAAAAAGCAACAGGTACAACATAACCTTGACTTTATCAAGGTTGTTGATAATATAATTAAATCATTCCTATTAGTAAAGTATGGTAGCATCTAAAATAACACATATATGTTTTTCAGATGGAACATTCGGAAAAATGAAATAACAACATGTACAAGTAAACAGAGGCACAGAAAGTAATAGGTCATTTGGAACACAGAAATTGGTTTGAGACGGTTGGAACTTAGATTACACAGAGGCAACATAAATGAAGAGACTGAGAAGACTTTTAGAGTCACATGTGAAAGGTTTTATCAGAATTATTTATGTAAAAAACTGATGACAATTTTCAGGGGTAAGTGGGAGAGTGTATAGCAGAGGTTCAGCCTGCAGGTGTGAGGTCAGACTTGAGTGTCTGATATATTAACCTACTTGTTGTGTGTCTCTGAGTAAGTTATGTAATGACTCTGAATCCTAATTCCTTATTTTTAAAAATAGGATTAGTAATAGCTCTTTTCTCATTACGTTTCAGAGTTGATTAAACATAATAATCCATGTGAGGTTCTCAGCTCAGATTCTTCTGTGTAGTATGCTAGTTATTATCATCATTATCTTCCAGAAATGACACTTGGAAGGCAGTATGGGGAATAGATTTCAGGGAGGCTATGCTGTGGACAGAACTGTGACTGCAGTCCGCATCATAGATTGTACAGAGAGCACAGACTGTAGCAGTGAGATGAGTGTGCAGAGAACAGCATTAGGTGATCTGATGACTTGCTAGGAGGTAATAGTCAATAATTGTCACAATCATCATTTCAGTCTGGGGAGATATGGGTGCCTGCCAATTGAAAGATATGGCCAATATTTTGTAGAACAGGATTACTGTACATAGAAAATTTGACAATACGGGGGAAAAGCACATTCAAGGAGGATCAGGAAGGTTGCCTGCAGGGCAACTTATGTCAGGCAGAGACACAATGAGAAAACCAGGAGTTGCAACCATTTGAGTGAGAAAACGGTGTCTGAGGCTAACTACAATGCCTGGGGCATGGCTTCGGAGAAATAGGCCATGAAAACATGTTATTAGAAACCATAGAGAACTGCCACATAATTTTGCCATATTATCCTAAATTGCTTAAAGTAGGGCTTCATAATTTGTCAAGGATAAAGAAGGGATGTGCTTTTTTTGTCTTCAATTCAACAATAATGATGGTTTCACCTTTCTCCCCAATTATGTTGAATTTCTTGCACTCAGTGGAAGCCTTTTAAGGCCAAGGGATTTAAATACTAAGAAGATACTGCTCATTCTGGCTTATTCCTCTGATACGTTCGATAGTGTCTCTGCCTTCAATTAAGGGGTATTTTTTAAAAAAACTTGTCTTCAGAACATCTAGACAGTCTTAAGTCACAACATATTTCCCTTTGAAAACTTTTGAGTTAGACTCCTGGATTATTCAAAGAGATAGCTGTTCTATATTTTGTAGGTTTGGGTATATATTGCTGTCTTCCTATGAGATGTTTCTATTCAAAGATCTGTGCAGGGTTCATTTGTCACTTCACCTAGCATGTCTGGTCACACAAAAAGATAAAAACATTAATACACGAATAATGTTCTAATAAAATAGCCTGGCTTGCTTCTTTTTCTCCTGCTTCCGAACAATAAGGTTTTCCTATTCTTGTTCTATTATTGATCTGTGTTAGTTCGCTAGGGCTGCCATAACAAAGTACCATAGACTGGGTGGCTTAAACTAGGGTCCCCAACCCCTATACCAGTCTGTGGCCTTTTAGGAACCAGGCCACGCACTGGGGGGTAAGCAGTTGGCAAATGAGTGAAGCTTCATCTGTATTTACAGCTGCTTCCCATTGCTTGCATTACCTTTCTGAGCTCCACCTCCTGTCAAATCAGTGGGGCATTAGATGCTCATACGAGCACAAACCCTACTGTGAACTGCTCAAGAGAGGGATCTAGATTGCGCTCTTCTTATGAGCATCTAATGCTTGATGATCTGTCACTGTCTCCCATCACCCCCAGATGGGACCATCTAGTTGAAGGAAAACAACCTCAGGGCTCCCACTGATTCTGCATTAGGGTGAGTTGTATAATTATTTCGTTATATATTACAATATAATAATAATAGAAATAAAGTGCACAATAAATGTAATGCATTTGAATTATCCTGAAACCATCCCCGCACCACCCCCACCACTGGTCTGTGAAAAAGTTTTCTTCCACAAAACTGGCCCCTCCCTGGTGCCATAAAGGTTGGGGTCCACTGGCTTAAACAATGAAAACTTATTTTCTCACAATTCTGGAAGCTAGAATTCTGAGATCAAAGTGTTGGGATGTCTGGTTTCTTCTGAAGAACTCTCTCCTTAGCTTACAGATGAATGTGTTCTCATTAAAGACCCTACCTCCAAATACAGCACCAGTCTGAAGTAGAGGGGCTAGGACTTCAACATATGCATTTTGAGGAACACAATCCAAACTGTAACAGCATCCACTTGTATTAGGGAATCAAATCACTTTTAATTTTCTCTGGAACTAGCCCCACTGGTTATCCTTTTCCTGCAAACCACCAGCCTTCTCCCATCCTCCACCTCTCTATTTCCCTACCTTCAGCAGATGCACATACTCAGGACTCTCAAAAACCCCTCCACACTGGGCTGCCCGGGCTCGTCTGGATGATGTCTTCTCTCTCCGTACCTTCTCATCCCATTCCTTGAACATGGAGCTTGTCCAAGATTTAACTGCCTCAGCTCCCATGTATTCTTCCACCTTCTGCAAAAGGGCATCTTTCCCAAACACTTAGCTAAAATACATCTGACAAAGATCATCAATGAACTCCAAATTATCACATCTAGTGAAGACTGGACTTATTAGAGAAATAAAATACCACCAGCCCCTCCTTCCTCCTGGTACTATATTATTCACATCTTGGCATCTGTCGTACTACGTCCTCCTTCCACGGCCCCTTTCTGTTTAAATCTGTGGATGGATTCTTCCTCAACCTAGCTCATAATCCCTCGCATATCCTCGGCTCCCAGTGTGCTGAGGGTCATCACATTCTTCACGTTTAGGTCTCCAATCCTAATCTTTCCTTGATAGCTTTGCTGCTGAATCTACACTCTTGGATGTCTCAAAAGCACCCCATATCTAACATGCTCACACTGAGCTGCATCTTTTTTTTCCCTTTATGACTTCTAGCTTTTCCTTTGATGTTCCCTTATTTCAGGGGTTGGGGTTGGGATAAGGATAAAAAGTAATTGAGGCCTAGAATAAGGCTGCTGTTGATGCCGAGTAAACTCCTTGGAGTAGGAGAGGAAGACAGAGCGGTAAATGCCACAGGTTTGCTGAAGCATCATTGCTTGTCCAATCTTTTTCCTCATCATTTTCACGCATTGCAATTAATACATTTTTAAACTTGGGCTTTGAGGAGGCCTGCTACAGACAAATGTTTGTGTCCCCCCAAAATAACGTAATATGACAGTATTTGGAGATGGGGCCTTTCAGTGGTGATTAGGTCATGAGGGTGGAAATCTCATGAATGGGCTTAGTGACCAGATTAAAGAGACCTGCGAGAGCTCCCTTGCCCTTTCCATCATGTGAAGACACTGCAAGAAGACAGCTGTCTATGAACCAGGAGGTGGGCCCTCACCAGTAACCAAATCTGCTGGCACCTTGGTCTTAGATTTCCCAGGCTCCAGAACTATGAGAAACAAATTTCTGTTATTTATAAGCCATCCAGTCTAGGGTTTTCGGTTATACTGGTCCCAGAGAACTATGCCAGGGCCCAATGAATAGCATGTCTTTCTTCAACTGAGTTCTGTGCCAACTGAAAAGTAGGATGATGTAGATGAAGAGCGTCCAATTTTTTGGCTTCCCTGGGCCACACTGGAAGAAGAATTCTCTTGGGCCACACATAAAATACACTAACACTAACAGTAGATAATGAGCTAAAAAAAAAAATCACAAGAAGATCTCATAATGTTTTAAGAAAGTTTACGAAGTTGTGTCAGGCTGCATGCAAAGCCGTTCTGGACTGCATGTGGCCCACAGGTCATGGGTTGGACAAGCTTGACGTAGATGTTCATCTTTGTTACTTTTTTTTTTTTTTTTTTTTTTGAGATGGAGTCTCGCTCTGTGGCCCAGGCTGGAGTGCAGTGGCGCAATCTCGGCTCACTGCAAGCTCCGCCTCCCGGGTTCACGCCATTCTCCTGCCTCAGCCTCCCGAGTAGCTGGGACTACAGGCGCCCACCATCACGCCCGGCTAATTTTTTTTGTATTTTTAGTAGAGACGGGGTTTCACCGTGTTAGCCAGGATGGTCTCAATCTCCTGACCTCGTGATCCGCCCGCCTCGGCCTCCCAAAGTGCTGGGATTACAAGCGTGAGCCACCGCGCCCGGCCCATCTTTGTTACTTTTAAAAACTAGTTTAAAAGAGACCTTAGAGTGAGAGATAATGGCTTCGTTCACTGACTCCGGGAATTAGGCTGACTTGCCCTCCAAGGTCAGGCCTTTGTGCTGCTAGGATAACAGCCTGGGAGAGAAGAGGAGAAAACCTGGGCTTGATGCAGACAAATCAGCCGCCAAGTTCTATTCCAGAAAGCATTCCATGTGAGTTTATTTGTCCATGATTTAGATAAATCACTAGAGAAGAAACATTAGCATCCTTGCCTCCCTCTTCAAATTGCCACTGAGGAGACTCGTTTCAAAATTTTTGGTTTGTACAGAATTAACAAGAAAAGATACATCCATTTTTGAGCAAAAAATGCACAGAAAATAGGATTTTTATACAATATATTAATTATTCTGTAATTAACCATCAAGGACTTGAATATGAGTCTTCTGGGTGTGAATTAAGAATTCCTGAATTCGTATTTTTAGTTATCTATATCAACTAAGGAAATGTTTAAATAATTTTGTAATAAGATATCTGGCCCATATGACTCCCAACTAACAATTTCAATTCAGGTTCTGGCACTCATAGTGGAGACACCAATAAACAACCCATAGAAAATATAATGTCTTGACAATTTTTTTTTTGAGACACAGTCTCCAACTATCTCACCCAGGTTAGAGTGAAGTGGCACTATCTTGGCTTACTGCAACCTCTACCTACCAGCTTCAAGCAATTCTTGTGCCTCAGCTTCTCAAGTAGCTGGGATTACAGGCACCTGCTACCATGCCCAGTTAATTTTTGTATTTTTAATAAAGACAGGGTTTCACCATGTTAGCCAGGCTGTTCTCCAACTCCTGGCCTCAAGTGATCCTCCTGCCTTAGACTTTTAAAGTGCTGGGATTACAGGCGTGAGCTACCACACCCGGCCAACAAGAAGTATTTATGACCAGAAAAGTTGTTTTTGATACATATTAGAAAAAGATATGTTTGCTGGTTCTCGTCTGAGATAAGCAAGCTGTTTTGTGAAATTATGTATGATTTTTTTTTCTTTCTTAGAGGATTTTACATATTCTGGATCAACCAGTATTCCATCATAGACTATCTCAGGGCTTACCTATCAGGGCACAAGCAGGACATAGGTTTAGTGATATTATTTCATGGGGCCCATCAACTCTGTGAGGGACTTGAATCCAGTCCACAATTGGAATTCAGATATTTGCATGCCTCTCACAATGAAAATGAGTTCTCCAAAGTAAGCCAGACTATATAGAAAGATATTTGAGCTTCTGAGAAAAAAAAAATACTAATGAGTGAAGATGAACTTTTCAGGCTTATCTAGGGGGCTGCATCTGACATCTTTGATGACAGCTATGTCCTCAACTCTCCTCACCCCCAAGTGAATGGAAGGTGTATGAAAAAGTTCTGTATTACAACAGAATTCTTTTTTTTTTTTTTAAAGGAGCTTCACAGTGTCAAAAGTTGTGCTGTTGAAGCCTTTTTCAAAAAACTAGTTATTGAAAATGAATCTTTTTCTTGTTAGTCAGAAGCAAAGAAAGATCACCAAAAGTAGATATTTAATAAGAAATTGGTGTGTAATTGTGCATAATGGTCTCTTATGATTCCTTTTGTTTCTGTGGCGTCAGTTGCAGTACCTCCAATGTCATTTACGATTTTATTTGAATCTTTTTTTTTCCTAGTCTAGCTAAAGGTTTGCTGATTTTGTTATCTTAAAAAATTTTTTTAGTTCCATTTATTTTTTTCTGTTGTTTTTCTATTCTCTATTTTATTTATTCCTGCTTTAATATTTTTTCTTCCCATCTATCTACTAACTTTGGATGTAGTTTTTTTCTTTTTCTTGGTCCTTGATACTTAAAGTTATGTTGTTTATTTGAGATTTTTTTAAATGCAGGCATTTATTGCTATAAACTTCCCTCAGTATTGCTTTTGCTGTATTCTACAAGTTTTGGTATGTTGTGTTTTCATTTTTATTTACATCAAGGTATTTTTTAAATTTCCATTTTGATTTCTTTTCTGATCCATTGGTTGTTCATGAGTGTGTTGTTTAATTTCCACTTATTTGTCAATTTTCTGGAGTTTCACCTATTGTGGGTTTCTAGTTTCATTCCAATGTGGTCTGAAAAGATGCTTGGTGTAATTTCAATCTTAAATGTGTTAAGACTTATTTTGTGAACTAAGAGAATATCTATCTTGGATAATGTTCTGTGTGCCTTTGAGAAGAATGTGTATTCTGATACTGTTGGTGGTATATTTTGTATCTGTATGTTAGGTGTACTAAATCTACAGTGTTGTTTAAGGCTGCTCTCTCTTTGTTGATTTTCTGTCAGAATGTTCCATTCATTATTGTAAGTAGAGAATTAAGTCTCTTACCATCAGTTTATTGCTGTTGATTTTTCCATTCAGTTTTATCAGTATTTATTTTATATAGTTAGGTGTTCTGATGGTGAGTGACTATATATTTATAATTTTTATATCTTACTGATGAAATGAAACCTCATATAATTATTAATATATAATGTCCTTCTTTGTCTCTTGTGGCAGTTTTGGGCTTAAAGACTATTTTGTCTTATATAAGTATCATCACTCTTGCTCTCTAGATGACATGGATAAATTCCTAGAACCATACAATCTACCAACACTGAATCATGAAGAAATAGAGAGTATAAGCAAGCCAATAATGAAGAAGGACATTGCATCAATAACCATAAACCTCCCAAGAAAGAAAAGCTCAGGATCAGATGGCTCACTGGTGAATTCTACCAAACATTAAAAGAAGAATTAATGGCAATCTTTCTCATACTCTACTGAAAAAATCTGAAGAAGAGGAAGCACTTCTAAACTCAATTATGAAACCAGCATTACCATGATACTGAAGCCAGACAAAAACAATACAAGAAAAGAAACCTAAATGCCAATATTTCTGATGAACATAGATGCAAATATCCTCAACAAAATACTAGCAAATCAAACCAAATTCTACTGCACATGAAGAGAATCATAGACCACGACCAAGTGGGATTTATCAATGAGACATGAGTTTGCTTCAACATATACAAATCGAGTAATGTGATACATCACATTAACAGAATGAAGGATAAAAATCACATGATCATCTCAATAATACAGAAAAGCATTTGACAAATTTCAACAACACTTTCATGCTAAAGACTTTCAACAAACTATCCAAAAAAAGACAAAAGAATGAATATTGGTTTCCCCTTAAAATTAGTACGTTAAAACCTAATACCCAATGTGACAGTATTAAGAGGTGGGGCCTTTTGGGAAATGATTAAGTTTTGAGATCTTTGCCTTCATAAATGGGATTAGTGGCCTTATAAAAGAGGTTGAAAGGAATTGCCTTGCCCCTTCTTCCATGTGAGAGCACAGCAACAAGGCACCATCTGTGGAGCAGGGTGGGCCCTCTCCAGACACTGAATCTGCTGGGGCCTTGATCTTGAACTTCCCAGCCAAGATAAATAAATTTTGTTCATGAATTATCCAATCTAAGGTATATTTTTATAGCAGTTTGAATGGACTAAGACACCCATTTAACATTAGTTAATGCAATTGCCTTTGATTTACTTTCCTCTGCCTACATGAAGATGAGAATAAAAGAGTGCCTTGAAACTCGTTGTTTCATCTACTCGGAGAAAGCTGAGGATGTTCTCAATTCCTTGACTCTGTCTCTCTGGATTCTCCTCAAGAGGACCCACTAGAGATCACCTTTCTGATTTAGTACAAAGAATACTTGTTCTCCTATGCAATTAGTTTGTTTTTATCTTTCCCCTTTAAACCAAGAACTATATAATTGAGCTGGTTTCTCTTTATGTTTGCCATTACAGCATTGTCAAACTTAGGATTTACCTGTAGCAAGGGCAAAGGTGGTAATTACAGTATACATTCCACTCTGCTTTCTCTCTTCTTCCATTCAGCTTTTAATTTATAAACTTATGCTTATTTTAAATATCCTTATAATGTGCCTTAATATCTTTTTCAGAAAAAATTGGAGGCACAGAACAGTAGAAAATACATTTATTTTGAGTGTAATCATTTACATTTGTTCCTTTTCAACTAGTCACACATAAGGAATCTTTTTCCCACTAGAAACACTTTATAGATGAGCTGGGAAAATGTGCTTTATAAGCTATTTATATCTCAACCTTTTTTCTTCTCAACATGATTGGACTATGCATAGGGCAAATCAACTACTCAGAAATATGACACTTTTTTATGAATATGAGATTATTTATTTTAGCATTAATTACTTGTATAGATTACCAATAGAATGCAACATAATTGAAATAGAGCTACGGAATTTTCTTAAAGAATAAAAGTGTAATGAGTTCTTTAAGACACGAGAGGGTAATGCACAATGTGATCTAATAATAGAAAATAAAACTAAATGAGACAGAGTTAAGCACAAGGGAATTTAAATATCATTAGACAATAACATGAGACTATAATATTAAAAACAGGATTGTAATTACAAGACTAACATATTTGTAAATGTTAAGGAAATCTGAAATCAAGTGGGTCTGCTTTTTATCATCTCTCTTATCATTTGAGAACTATAAGTTCCTCTCAAGTGTTAAAGCATTAAATGTTTAAGAAATAAGGTGAATTAAAAAAACCATATTTGGAGAAATGGTCTTCCAAAAATATCTGCAATATTATTCCATTAACCTCACCTGTCAATGGACAGACCTAGAACTCTAAATCATAAGTTGAATAAGTTATATTTTCTTTGAAAGCATGAAGAATGTAGGTCTGACTGTTACAGTGATCCTTGACTTACTATACAAAGCTGCCTTGAGATTAAAACTACTGTCTGTTTAAAATATGTATTTCAAAACCTCAGTGCTAGCTTTCTGGTGTATCAAATGCATTGCACATGCTCATCTTTGAGTATAGTAACTAACACAATTATAGTAAAAGGAAATCTTAAAGATTTTATAGATAACCAGAATATCCTGAGGGATATTTTAGCTATGACATTTTTCAAAATGTGAGAAGCATAAATTCATTTCGATTTGAAAATTCAAGTCTCTTAATGCTTGCATGAGGGATACCACAGTGGTTTCATTGAAGTGAAGGCGGGATTGACAGTTGGTCATTTTGGGCTCCTCATATCGTGGCTCCTGTAGGCAATAACAGGGATTATTGTTTCCTAGGGTGTTTAATCCTGGTTATCATGGGGGAGAGAAGGTTTCTGCTACACAAAGGAACAAAGAAGAGTGTGCGTGGAAATCAGAAGGTCCTTTGGGGTGTCTCCTAGTATTGACAGGTCTAGCAATTAAACTATTAAACTGAATGGAAGAAGAGAGAAAGCAGAGTGGAATGTATACTCTAATTACACTTTTTATTAAAACACTTGAGCAACCTAATTCAGGTAGGATCACGGAAAGCTCAGATTCTTTAGAAATAAAGGTATGGGTCAACCCACAACGATATTAACCCCAGTCAGCTATAGGAACACTGTGTGCAATGGGAGCACAAAATGGACAGTGGAAGAAGGAAGAGATAAATACTAACTATAGCCTCATGAACAGTTAGAGAAACAAGGCTAAGATCAACCATGTGTACACTTTCCCCAGTTCTCTATTTTTATCCTGTTCCTTTCCATTTCTATTCTATCTAGACAGTGGTGGTGGTAGCAAACTCTGTGATTTACTCTAAATTTTGAAGTATATCAAAATGTTTTTGTAGCTGAAGAGAAATGAAGATCACACTGAGACAGAGGCAGTGAATGATCCGTGATTACAAATCACTGAGCATTGTTTGCAGGAGCAGCAGGAATGACTTGTAGGCAAGATCGATACCTTATGTCAGAGAAGAGGCCGGGATAAGGGTTTGAGTGAATTTAGCACAGCTTCTCATAGGACATTCAGCAGCCTTGACAGATGTGTTCTGATTTTTTGAGGGACAACACCACATCTCTGCATTGAACAATCCATTCTAGTGGTACAAGTTAAGCTGGCCCTTGTGCATGGAGACTAAGGGGGAGTTATACAGAAAGGCGGCCTGGTGAGGAAGCCCAGGGCCAGAATGGGGCCCGTGAGCTCTGAACCTAATAACATCTAATAACAGATGTAAGTCACTCTTCATTTTGGAAGCTTCAATACATTCTTGCTGAATGGTAATGGCTTCTTCTGTGTGATGCTATTGTGAATTAAGAAGGAAAGCTTGTCTTCCCTTTGAGCTGGAGGCCAAATTGGGGGTGAGTGCAGAGATTGCCAGCAGAAGCAACCACTTTCTAATGAGTGTTGATACTCCCAACTGGCTGGAGAGGCTGTTGTTAGAACACCAGAGGAGAGGTGGTCAACTGGGAGGAGAATATTTTGGCTTCACATTTGTCTTCTTTTTAATTCTTACAAAGATTCAGAGAGGTGATCATCATACCCACCCTATGAATAAAAAAATTTAGGTTCATAAATGGTGATTTTCCAAAAGTTGCATAGCGATAAAGTAGCAAAATCCAGATCTGAATCACAGTTTGCCTGAACTCAATGCTAGAGATTTAACACCTATACTTCTTATTACTATTCATGTTGGTAATTGGGCACTTGAGACAATTTCAGACAGTTTGCTAATTAAAAAAATATATATTCACACACTAGTTCTCAAAGTTTGCTGTACAATGAATCTCTGGAGGAGCTATAAAAAAATAGTGATGCCTGGGTCTCACCTCAAGAGATTGTGGTTTAATTGGTGTATTGTGAAGCCTGGACATTGAGATTTTAAGAGGCTTCCCAGGTGACCTGAAAATGCAGCAAGTGTTTGAGAACCAGCACATTAACATATTGACGGAGGAAACAGTATAGCATTTCTTTCGTAGAAAACTTTTTCTGACTGAGTGTCACAGCCAGGCTGTCTGGAGAGGTGGCCCAAATTAGCTAGAAGACTTGGGGTGGTATTATTGGAATGGTTTTTTAATAATATAATTACTAAATAATTAAAACAAATAATACTTAAAACGTGACAGGTATTGCCTAAGAAATGTTGGTTGAGTAAATTAATCACTGGTGTTTCTACCTTCTTAAACATGTATGCTCTAACAGATAAAAATTAACCCAGTTAAAGAACAGGGGGTAAGGATTAGGAGCGCAGACTTAGGAAGCAGGTTGCCGAGGTTCAGATCTGGCTTCTTCCACTCATCAGCTGTGTGAACTTGGGCAATATTTTTTTTTTTTTTTTTTTTTTTTTTGAGACGGAGTCTCTCTCTGTCGCCCAGGCCGGACTGCGGACTGCAGTGGCGCAATCTCGGCTCACTGCAAGCTCCGCTTCCCGGGTTCACGCCATTCTCCTGCCTCAGCCTCCCGAGTAGCTGGGACTACAGGCGCCCGCCACCGCGCCCGGCTAATTTTTTGTATTTTTAGTAGAGATGGGGTTTCACCTTGTTAGCCAGGATGGTCTCGATCTCCTGACCTCATGATCCACCCGCCTTGGCCTCCCAAAGTGCTGGGATTACAGGCGTGAGCCACCGCGCCCGGCCGGGCAATATTTTTTAACTTATGTGCTTAAATTTTCTTATCTGTGAAATTATGTTAATAATAGTATCTATGTCACAAAAGATTAAAAGAAGTTAGGGCTCAGAAGGGATGAGGAGCATATGCAGGACCATGTAAGTGCTCAGTTCATTTCAATTATTTATATGTGAAATATTTTATCAGCTTTGTTTCCATAAAGATTTAACAAAACTCCTTTACTGTTATTAGTCATTTTACTATCACTTGATTCTATCATGGGTACAATCATATTTTTAATGGAGAAAAATGAAACAGAACAAAAAATAACAACAACAACAAAAAATCTCAGACTTCAATTACCCAGGAATGTCAAGTATAAGAATATTCTGTGAATGAATTCTACATGCATAGAGTGGCTACATGTGAGTTTAATACTGATGTGCTCTGGTTATGCTATCCAACCCACAACCTTCTGCAAATGTTGCCAGTAAAAATTTCTGCTTTTTTTTTTGAGACAGTCTCACTTCGTCACCCAAGTTGGAATGCAGTGGTGGCTCATGGCTCATTAAACTCCTGGGCTCAAGTGATCCTCCTGCCTTACCTTCCCAAGTAGGTGGGACTATAGGTGTGCACCATCACGCCCTGCTAATTTTTTTTTTCTTTTTTTTTTGCTTAATTTTTATTTTGCAGAGATGAGGTCTCCCTATGGTGACCAGGCTGGTTTTGAACTGCTGGCCTCCAGTGATCTTGCCTAAACCTCCTAAAGTGCTGGAGCTACAGCCGTGAACCATCACGCTTGGCCACCTCACTTCTGCTTCTTTTAAACTAAGAGTTTCAGGGTATGCAAGAACTATCTCTTAAGAATCTCTAACAGATCTACTGAATTGAATCTGAACTTTTAATGACTTCATCTTCACTCTCTTATTTTAATAAACACAAAATTTTGCTCATATCAGGATGCAAGTTGAACATTAATTACGAATTGGAACACATAGATTTGTTGATTTTGGATGATCCTGGAATTAATTGTCTTATATTTTATCATGTTTGAATAGCAAAATTTATTTCTTATGTAAAGCATAACATATTTCTAAGAAATGAATTGGTATCAACTATAGATCATGGGGCCATTTTAGGGGTGGGTAGAGAAAAGAAATAAATTATTGCCATTGCCATGATAATATGTTTATTAAAATTCAACACATTATATTTAGGCAGAATTTTTCAGTCACTTGGAATAATTACTTTTAGCCACTATTTTTTATCCTAATGCTGATATCTCAATGACTAGGAACCAGACTCAATAAGAATAAAGATCTCAGACTTCTTAGAAAACTCAGAGTTTACTATATGAAAAATACTACACTGCAAAGTGAAGATTCAAAGGAACAGTATTCATGATCACAAATAAACTATGTGGCCTAATGGTAAGATTACAGATGGTAGAAATTTTAATCCGGATTATGATGTATTCAGAGAAGAGTTACATTTCAGCATGATAATGTCTGAAAAATGCCTGGTCTTGATATGGCAAAAAAATTATCTGGCTCTTCATCCATTTGGAAATGTAGCACTCTCTACTACCTGGGAGTAAGAGGCATCCATAAAATTCTATGACTTAATTATCACATGTTCTCAAACTGCTTTAAATCCATCATCTAATCCCAGCACTTTGGGAGGCCGAGGTGGGTGGATCACGAGATCAGGAGATCAAGACCATCCTGGCTAACATGGTGAAACCCCGTCTCTACTAAAAATACAAAAAATTAGCTGGGCGTGGTGGCGGGTGCCTGTGGTCTCAGCTACTCGGGAGGCTGAGGCAGGAGAACGGCATGAACCTGGGAGGTGGAGGTTGCAGTGAGCCGAGATCGCGACTGCACTCCAGCCTGGGTGACAGAGCGAGACTCTGTCTCAAAAAAAAAAAAAAAAAAAAAAAAAATCCATTATCATTATCATCATCCTTACCACTTATATCTCAGGAAATTTTATGTAAATCTTTTAATTCTAAAATCTCAAACAATTTGTTTGATTTTACTCCATGACAAAAAGCACTGAATAAACAAATGGCACCAGAGGGTGGGATTTGGAAGCATTTCCATCCCAGGGTTTTCCCCAAACTTAAACTTTATTTTAGGGAACCCAAAGATGTGAAATAGTTTTGATCAACTTATATTTTCGGCAACCGACATATGAGATAATGACCACTCTTTTCTATTTTTTTAATGTTGAAATATAACTTACATAGACTGAAACAACCAATCTTGTATATGGAGCTTGATAAGTTTTGACAAGCATATACTCCCTATGTTAGTTTGCTAGGGTGGTTATACAAAAATAGCACAGACTCGGTGGCTTAAACAACATAAATGTATTACCTCACAGTTCTGGAGGCTAAAAGTCCAAGATCAAGTTGCCCACAGTGTTGGTTTCTGCTGAGGTCTCTCTCGCTGGCTTACAGATGGCCACCTTCTCTCTGTATCCTCACATCATCTTTTTTCTGTGCACACACATCCCTGCTGTCTCTTCCTCTTCTTGTAAGGACACCAGTCTTATTGGACTAAGAGCTCACTTTTGTGACCTCCTTTAACCATAATTACTATTTTAAAGGCCCTGTCTCCAAATATAGTCACAGTGGGGTTTAGAGCTTCAATATATGAATTTTACAGGAACACAATTCAGTTCATAACCCCTCATTTAACTTACACCTTTTTCAAAATATAGGATATTTTCTTTATCTGGTAGGTTTGAAGTTTGTTCATGCTGTTCTCTTGTCATTTTTCACACTTGCCCACACAAATGGCAACAATGATTCTGTTTTCCTTCATAATTTAGTTCTTGCCTGTTCTGGACCTTCACATAAATGCATTTTTGCATATCATAATATCTACAAGTATCATCAGTGTTTCTGGATATATCATCATTCCATTATTTTATATTGTTTAGTAGTATTGCATTATATGAACATACTGTGATTTACTTACCTGTTTTTCTGTTGATGGACATTTGGGTTGTTTCCAGTTTGGGGGTTTTATTATTTAAGCTTCTATAACTATTCCTGTACAAATTTTTGATGTGAATATGTTTTTATTTTTCTTGATATATATCTAGAAATTAATTTTCTGGGTCATAGGTAGATATATGCTTAACATCTTAAAAAAAACACCTAGATTTCTTTTTCTAATGTGGCTATAACATTTTATGCTCCAATCAGCAATGTATGAAATTGCCAGATGTTTCATATCATTGTCAAGAATTGGTATTGGAAAGTCTTTTTAAATGTCAGCCATTCTAGAATTTATGTAGTAGTATTTCATAATGGTTTTAATTTCCCATTTCATGACGACTAATGGTATTGAGTAATTTTTCATATGTTTATTGACCATTTGTATATCTTCCTTATGAAGTTTCTGTTCAAGTCTTTTGTACATTATTCAGGTATTTTGCCCTCTTATTAGTGAGTTGAAATAATTCTTTATATATTCAGGATAAATTTTTCAGCTGGATATAAGTATTGCAAATATTTTCTCCCAGTCCGTGCCTTGCATTTCATTTTATTAATGGTAACTTCTGATGAACAGGCATTTTTAATCTTGAGGAAGCCCAACTGATCAATTTTTTTCTCTCCTGGTTAGTTTTTCTGTGTCATATCTAAGAGATACATTTGCCAGCCCCAAGGTCTCCTATGTTTTCTTCTAAAAGGCTTAATGTTTTAATGTATGAGGAAACTACTATAAGTACTTTCACTTGACAGATGAAGAAACAGAGGTACGTGATGGTTAAATGACTTGCCTGATGTCTCACATTGCTTGACCAGAACTTGAACTCATGCAATTTTTCCTTACAACTCCTAAGATAGGCTCCCATTGATTATGCTACAGCAGGGAAAATGCAACGAAAGGGTTACATAAGTTTTTGACTTTCAAATACTTTTTCAAGGAGCATCTATTAATATCTTACTGAACATTCATGTTCTGTGGAGAACAGTTTGGGAAATGCATGCTGGATAAATATTCATGGGTTTAACTAAATCTCTATAATAGAAAAAGACATTTGACATTCTACTTCCTAATAGTCTAGTCCAATGGCCTAGTATTTTGGAAGCATGCCAGGGTGTTCCATAGAGCTTACATAGTTCTGTGTGTTCCCAAGTTCAAGGGTTTATCATCTCTTTATTGCTCAAATTCTCCCTTTAAACCATCCTTATGTCTAGTAATCAGTAATTTTTTTTCTTTGTTCTTCTTTTTTTTTTTTTTGGTGTGGGTCTAGCAGGCATTGCTGATCCTAAATGGTGATGTTTATTTCTTGCTGTTTCTATAATGCAGAAAACATTTTAGGAGAATTGTAGCAATAGTTGACTTCATGTGATCTTCTCATTATCTCTTTCAGGGTACAGAGTTACCAGATAAAATACTGAATGGCCAGTTACATTTGAATTTAAGAAAACCAACTCATAATTTTTTATGTAAGTATGTTTCATGCAATATTTGGAACATATTATACTTAAAAATGTTACTCAAAATTGATATTTAACTGGATGTCTTGTTTGTTTATTTATTTGCTAAATTGGGCAACCCTAGTTAGGGGGCTAAAGTGTATGCCTGTCACATGGGGAGAGACCCTTCTCTTGTTAATTTAAGGACTTCATTTTTTTTAGTATGGATATTTCATGGCATCCAAAACTCCCCTCTCCTGGAGAGTGATTATCATGGACCCATAAACAGGAAGATCTCCTACCTAGAAGGAAAAAGGTACATTCACAAAAATGTTTAAAGATGTTCTAAAGATATTTTGTACTCAGGTCTACTAGGAAACGCTAAGTACCCTATTTCACTATATTATGATTATAACTACTAGGAACAAGAAATGGAATGGAAGATGGAAATAACAAAATCTTCCACATTAAGGCACATTTAAGTTTAAAATCATGGAATGGAACCTAATTAAATGCCAGAAGGTATCCTAACATAATGTTGAGTTTGCAAATTTAAATACACAAAAACAAAGCAATCTAGACACTAAAAGTTCCCTAGCAACATTAACTCACCCACGTCGTACACTGTGCATAATATAGTTAGCATTTAGCAACCAGAAATGTTGCTCATAATGCAAAATATGTGCAACTCAAGATCATTAACATTTTCCATATTTTTTACTCATTTCAAAGGTTCACTATTCTCATTACACTAATGTAGAAAGAGTTACCCAATCTTAGAGTTAAAAATTCTTTTAAAATATATTTGTTTATCTCAGTCTTTTATGAAATTCATCATCAGCTTGGGTTGTATTTTGCTTCAGCAACACAGAATTTTTTTTGCATTTAGGGAATGTTAAATATAGGGTAAATCTTCAATATTATTTCAAACTTACTCTATTTGTAATTATTATTCTAAAAAATACATCAATATGTATTATTCTACTCTACTTTCTAATGTTTTAAATAAAACTTGGAGAGGCCTCACAGCATGGGGACACTTTGTATGTCACTTATTTAATGTGTGAGCAGGGGCAAGTTATGTCCCTGTTTCTGTACCTCAGTTACTTCATTTGTAGAATTGAGATAACAATTGTATTAGACTCATGTGAGTCTCATGAAAATTAAACCACTTAGTTTCTGTAAAGTTCTTAGAGTAATTCATGGCACATGCTAGAGTTACCTAGAAATTCTTAGTGTTCTCAAATAGCAATATTCCAGATGTATAGATACAAGATTTTATATTGTACTTTCTTATACTTCTACAGGTAGACTATTAGAACTTCTGAAACAATGTTGGTGAGTCTACAATATTTCATTATTTAAAGGCATTAAGTTGATAGATTTTTAAAAATTGATGAATTCCTGCTATGGCCAATTAAAAAGTTGTTCACACTTATTGATAATCAATAAAACAAAATCAACATTAAAAGCTATGTGCTATTGTACACCTGCAAAGATAACTAAATTAAGTAAGACTGGTAAGGTGAGGTGAGGACCTGGAGCAGGTGCAATTATCAAACATTGCTAGTGTGAATGTAAATTGCGACACCTATTTTTAACAACTTGTTGGTAACTGTTACCTACTAAATTGATATAGCTATATCCTAAATTTTAGTAATTCCAGAAATAAGCACCAAAAGAAATTATATGGTGATCATAGTGGCATTATTTATAAGAGCCAAGACCTGGGAACCACTCAGATTTTCATTAGTAGTAGAATGGACAAATTGCGCAATGTCCATACAATGGATTTGTATGAGGGCAATGAGAACGGAGGCATTACAGCTGCACCCAGTGATACGGATGACTCTTATAACCACAATGTTGAGGAAAAGATGCAATAAAAGAACTTACACAGTGTAATTTCAACTACATAAATCTTAAAATCAGAAAATCTGATCTCTGGTGTTAGAAGTAAAAGTAACTCTTTCTAGTGGGGAGGAGAAAGTAGGGCCTCATGGTAGCTACTAATATTCTGTCTCTTTTCTTGAGTATGGGTTACCACATGACAATTCATTGAGATGAATCCTTACAATTTTGCCAGTCTTTTACATATGTTATACTTCAATTAAAATTTTAAATAAAACCTTCAAAATATTTTAATTTGAGAAACTAACAAAAAGTTTTATGATTTGAGTCTGCCAATAATTCTAGCTCCTGGTAGAATTATTTTAGAAACCAATGTCCACTTATAAAGGAAAAAGGCAAAACTAATTTGCACCCTTACCATACCAATTCACCAATATAGTTCATGAGAATGTGAGGAAATGCATGCAATGCTTTAATGAGAAATATATCAAAGAGGTAAACTTAATCTTACATAGTTTCCAATATTGAAAGAATCCATGGGTCAGTTAGAATATACAGTTGGGGTGGGAGTTAGAATTGGGAAATGATAAATCCTCTTGTTGAAGGCAATGGCAATTGGAACAAGGCCAAGGCAAGAATCAGATGCTGAGCCCAAGCTGGTACTTTTTGTTTTCTTTTCTTTCCTTTTTTGAGACAGGTTCACTTGTTGCCCAGGCTGGAGTGCAGGGATCCAATCATAGTCACTGTAATGTAGAAACCTGGGCTCAAGAGATCCTCCTGCTACATACAGGTGCATGCCACCATGCCTGGCTAATTTTTTTGTAGAGATGGGATCTTGTTATGTTGTCCAGGATAGTCTCAAACTCCTGGCCTCAAGAGATCCTTCCACCCTTGCCTCCCAAAGCACTGAGATTACAGGCATGAATCCCTGTGGCCGGCCAAAATTTCTAACAAAATATCATAATAAGGCAAATGGAAAGGAGATAAGAGATATGTTGCAAAGTCTCCCATACTAAGTAAATTCTATTTAATAATATATTGTATGTGCAGGAAAATATTGTTAATATAAGCATTTGTGTTATGATGAATCAGAATTATTCATTTTTGTGATTCAGAATACAATTAGGAAATGTATGAACATGATATTACTAACAGGAGTTCAGATTTTAAGGCAAAATTTAACTCCTCATTTTAAGTGAAAAGACTATCTTTTCATGAAAATATAGTGTTAATCTAATAAGTGAAGAATCTACATAGGTCCCAAGAGACATTTATGAACAACTGGCAGCTGGATTAAACTAAAATGAGTCAGAGTCAGATAACAGTTCTCATCCAGTTTACTTGCAACAGTTCACTCTATTCAAGAAATAGCAAGACTGGCTTTTCCTGGAAATGTCCAGAAAAGAAAGGCTTTATTTCAGGTGAGGCTGTTCAAGTCAATTTGAAGAAGCTAAACATATTCCCATCGCCCAGGATCAAGTGTCTTGGAAGAAACTGGTAATTCACACCCAAAGCATAAATATTGGGTTTGAATCATATTCAACTTCTAATTGTATAGGCCAGAAAACCAAATATTGGCAATTTCATATGATTTAGCTTGGTATATACACAAATATATAATCATTAACCAATATGGAAGGACTAGAGAACACATGTTCAATACAGATGATGGCAGTTTTCTCTGAGGACTGCTCTGAAGACAAACACTTGGGTATATAAAATACACTATAGCTATACACTTTGGTGATGTGTATTTAATCTAACCATACCTAAGACAACTTGAGAGAAAAGGTACTTAATAATTTAAGAACATCTGAGAGTTATTAGGTTGGTGCAAAAGTAATTGCGGTTTTTACCTTTTTTTTTTTTTTTTTTTTACTGCAATTACTTTTGCACCAGCCTAATATAACGATATTCTCCGTTGATATTAGTTATCAGTAACCCTACAGGAAAAAGCAATATAGAATTAAAAAAAAAAAACGCTTTTAACATTGACTTTTAAGATTAACTCTCACACGTAAGTTTTTAAGAAGGGATAATTGATACCTTTAGAAAAACAATTTGTGCATGACCTAGTATATAGAGCGGGTAGACATGTTTTGATCCTAAAAATGTATTTTGTCTTTCAATGTTTGCTATTAAACAAACAAGCAAAACAATCACGAAATTTGGACTTTATGTTTTAGCAAAACAAACATTGGTTTCTTATTAACTAAAGGTTATATATAATAAAATACCTTCAGCATTGACTTTTATTTTTCATGGCTTTTTAAAGAATGATATTTCTAGTTCAGCAGAAAAAATATATATTTGCACTGGCAATTCAAAGTCATTGTTCTTTTAATAACAAGAATCTTGGGCTATAGAACTTTCCGATTTAGCTACCAAAACTTTGAAGAACATAATTTTAGATGCAAAACGAGATTCTTTGAATCTCTAGCTCAAGAAATTACATTTCATTAAAAATGCATGAAAGATGTAACTGGGCGTTGGTGGCCAATTTCATTAAATGAGCTGTGACTTCACAGAGAAAAAGATACGTATCTATTGAGTTCCCAAGGGCTAGATTATTCAACGAAAATTTATTTCTACTAGGATATCATAATGGAAAGTAGCGAGGCTAAATTAGTAAAATTTATTCTGGGGTACAGCTCATTTATTCAGTAATCATTTATCTCTTTAGAAAAAGTATTTACATAGTGAGATAATTTAATGAAAGTTATAAGACTTTCTTATTTCAGTTTTCATTTCTTTTTATACTCCTGACTTATCAGCTTGGGTTAAACTCTTGCACACTTGAATTTTTCTTTACATTCTTGCATGAATTGAGTACCTTAAATTATCTTTGCATAAAACACCCCCATTGTTTACCTTGTAGATATCAACATCATCAACATCCTCATACAGGTATTTGAAAATCCTCAGTTCTGTAGGCGTTTTATTACAATGTTAAAAGAAAGATTTTGTACCCTGAGCTTAGCAGAAGCTAGTTTATGTTGGTAGTATATTCTTCCAAACAATAGCATTCCTCCTACCAAATTACTGTTACAGACTGAGGTTGTTGCTGTATCCTATGGAGTGTCCACAAACATTGATAAAGATGGAAACTAACATACTGATCACATCCTCCATTCTTCTTTTTCAGGAATTTGGTTTTTAATTTTAAGTCGTATTTACATTGTTAGCATAAACATATTTGAAATTTAAAGATCAAATGGACAGAAAGATGAATTTTATGATTTTAAAATTTATTTATATTATTTTAAAAATATTCTACTTTTGTCAATATGTGAATTTTCTGAAGACGTTTAAAAGAACAATACAAATATATTATGTTACTCTGAAATTATATCAAAATTTTTACATGTACCTAATCAATGGGGTGTAATTGGTTGGAGTTTGATTTAAAAGAATAGAATTAGATTCCTAATTTATTCTTAGAAAATAAAGTGAGTATTTATAATTTCAATTAAAATGATAGAACATACTAGAACAAAACATAGAAGAAAAAACGTTTTATAATCCAAAGTAAGGAAAGTCTTCTTAAGCAAAAACCAAAATCAGACACTCTAAATCCTTGCTATTCAAAGTATGTGCTATAGATCAGTAGCATGCACATCTCCTAGAGTAAATTAGAAGTATCAGCTCTCAGTCTTCACTCTAGCACCTGTGCTTTAACCAAATCCCCAAGTGATTTGTATGCCCAATAAGAAGTTCTCAACCCTGTCCACAGTTTAGTATCTCCTGCGGGACTATGTTTCAATGTCACCTCAGTCAATTAAACCTAAATATGTGGGGGCTCAGACTGTAGTCTTTTTATAAAAGCTCCTTGGTAAACCTAATCTGTAGATGATTTGGGAACCACTATTCTTGAAAAAACATGAACAATTCAGTCTTTGATACTTGAATAAAGTTAAAGATAAAGGTAAATTCAGAGAAAATATTTGCAATGAGCTGGGCATGGTGATGCACACCCGTAGTGCTGCCTACATGAGAGGCTGAGGCTGGGGGATGGCTGGAGCCCAGGAGTTTGAGGCTGCAGTGAACTATAATCACACTACTGCATTCCAGCCTGAGTGATAGAGCAAGATCCTGTCTCTAAAATAAAATAAAATAAAATAAATTTTAAATTGCAATTTGCAGTTTAAAATTTAGAGCTAATTTGCCTAAAATGCAAAGTGATCCTTCACATCAATGGTAAAAAGACTGACAACCCAAGCAACATAACCAGGCACTGACTATATCCTGAACCTTCACAGAAGAGTAAATATAAATCTCTAACAAACTTCTAAACAGATGCTCAAACTCACTAATGAGGAAACTATAACTTTAAATAACAATGATGCACTATATTTTCCCTATCAGACTGACTATAATTAAAAGAATTGATGATATCCTTTGTGGTGAGGGTATGAGAAAGCGGGAACTCTCACACTATCAATGGGAGTATAATGAATATTCGTTTTGGATGGCAATTGGATAGTGCTATCAACATTTCAAATGCACAGATAATTTGTCCCAACAATCTTACCTCCTGAAATCTTTACTATAAGAAATAGTCATGTAATTGTACAACTATATATGTATATATGAGAAAAATATATGTATATTTGTGATAAATATATGCAAGATATACATATGAGAAAAAATTGAAGCAAACTGCATGTTCATCACTGCTTCAATGTTAATTATGATGAAACTTTACTGTGGAAAACTATCCAGTGGAGAATAAAGGAAGTTATATTACTGACACGGAAAGATATTTGTGATAAACAGCAATTTATAGATTTCTCTCTCATTTTTGCATTGTTTTTATTTAAAAATGTTATTTATAAACGGAAAGGCTGGCAGAATGCTTGTTGAACTCTTAACATTTGTATCGTCTAGGGGTGGAAGGTAAGAAAGGGTGAGACAGGCACTTTGATTTTTAGCATTTACAGTGTGCTATTTGTTTTTTAGCCCAATTACAATACTTTTGTACTTAAAAATAGATTTGTAATATTGTTTAAAAAATTGATTACTCAGAACTAGCTTGTGTGCATTACTGTGAAGAGAACATTTTGGAGATGAAGACACAAAGAAAATAAGCAACATTTTGTTATTTTTTTTTTTAAATTGCATTGTGGTAGGTAGAGGAAAAACAACCTACACAACTTTTAGAATTTCCTTTAAAAATTAGATTCTACATTAAATTAAAATTAAACACTTTTAAATTGTAGATATCACTTAGTAATTGATCTCATATAAGATAATGACAACAAAGTTAAATGACATGCGTAAGGTAACACAAGTGAAGTTAGGTCAAAAGGCACACGTTAGGCAGTAGGCAGTCTCCTAGAGAAACTAGGGTTAGGAAGTTTAAACTGCTTTGCAGTACAATGTGGTAAGAGTGTCAGAAAAATGTAGGATACAAAAATCATTTATGTGCTCTCCTATATGCTACTTTCCAGGCCTGCAATCTACTGACCACAACACTCCCTTCAATAACAGCCAAAGATAAAAACGATGCAAGTTATTGCCAGGGACTGGGAGTTGGGAAAAGGAATTGACTACAAAGAGGCACAAAGAAACATTTTGGCACCATGCAAATATTCCATATGTTAATGTTGCTGGATACATGACTATGGGCATTGGTCGAAATTCCTGGAACTATACATCTCAAAGGGAAAATTATATTTCAATAATATTGGCTTAAAAATTAAAATACAATATAAATAACAAACAAAACAAAAACATTTACCTAGTACTTCAGTATCTACTTAAATAGTGATTGAAATAATAGAGAAACAACATTAAGATTTTATAACATAAAATATTGTTTTAAAAGGGGCCTGAAAAAAATCCTGATTATTATTTACATTTTATTGGAAAAACATATACATACAAAAAGATGCAGAGATCTTCAGTTTTTTGTTGTTTACATTTTTCTGATACTACTTTCTGAAAACACTTAGAAGACTAAATCTAAACATAAACTGGAAAATGGGTAAGATCTAATTAGTTGCTCTTTACATTTGTTCTACTGTGTTGTCTTAGCTGGGCAATGTGAACTTAGGAAAGGATGTTATAAATATGAAAGCAATCATTAGATTTGATTTTTGTTCATATTTATAGAGGCTAAAATTACATTTTCCTGGATAATGGAGTCTAAAGTATAACCAAAATGTAATTTAAACTTTAGATTGCTCTAATGTTTATACAACTAAAATTAAACCACATACCATGTACCGGGGGCTTTAGCTTAAAACCATTTGTTAACATTGACAATGTGCATTCCTATGAGAATCATGTTAATATAATTGTCCTGCCCTTCGTTCTCTTAAATAAACAAGTGACTTGTCCCCTAATAGCCTCATTTTGTTATGTAAATGTGCAGTACCTTCCTTCAACAGCCACATATCACCTGGAGTGGTGAAGGTCTTGCAGAATGTTATGTTTATCTTTTACATTTATGGCTAAAATCAAAGAGTTTTTATAAAAATATAAAGCAAATACTTCTCCAGGAAAGCTATCAGGTGGAGACATAATTCTTTTGACCCTTCATTGACATCGACATATTAAAACCTAAAACCAAAACCCAAAAACCCACACCATTAATTTATAGAACCTTCTCCGTGTTCTGTAGGACTCATTTTATCTGGGATCCTCACATCCTCAATAGATTAATACACAAGTCATTTGTCTTTCTTGTCTCCAGAGCAGACATACAAAGTCATAGTTTCCATGGCAATCGGACAAGCCCCACCCCAAGTGGTTGTTAAACTGTACAGCTTGCACTACCACTGGGGCTCTTTACTGCTAGAGCATCAAACCAATTTCAGAAGCAAGGCCACTTGAGAATGACAGATTAGCTTCTGGGAAGGTTGACTTAGCACAGTGGGCAGCTGGCTTAAACACTGAGAGGCAGAGCAGAAATATAGATTCCCTGAATGAAAAGTTACATTTCTATCAGCGTTGTGAAGGAGAGAAAAATCTACAGGGTCACAGCCATTAACATTTGAAATTTTTATAGTTAAATTTAATAAAAAATGTCATAAAGAGATCAGGTCACATCATTAGTTCTAGAGAATAAGAGGAAGTAAGTGAGATTGTCTTCAGGAGGAAAAAAAATGATCTAAAGGTTGCTGAGTTACTCATGAACTTTTCACATGGTGTTGCAGGTATAAAAAAGAAATCAATGAATCAATGCATATATATGCTTTGGGTCGACTTCATAATTAAAATATGCTTCCCTCCCCCAGCTATATATTCTTTGGGAGTGTGCCTGTGGCCCACAGAGAGTGGCAGAAGGGTTGGTCTTTTGAAGATCAAATTGGGCTTATTCAAGAAAAATCTGCTCAAAATAGATGAGCACCCCAAAAGAAGACAACTTTATATTGACTCAAGCCCTGGCTTGCATCAGTCTGATAGGTCTGAAACCAATTCTATCAATATTGGTATGGAATCAGAGTTTCCATTCTGGTGCTATGATGATGGCATTATAGGCAGGGACCCACCTTCAAGGCCTGCATTCTAACCACTGCTCACACCTCCCACCCCTTTGAGGCAACTGATTCCCAATGGGAAACATCTCAAAGATTTGACAACAGCCAAATAAACCACTAGTGTTCACTGACAGATGACTTTCCTATAATAGTTTTGTTGATAAGTAGAGTAGTCAAATTCTTAGAGACCGAGGGTAGAATGGTGGCTGCCAGGAGCTGGGGGAAAGTGAGCTTGGGGAGCTATTGTTGAACGCATAGAGTTTCAGTTTCACAACATGAAAAGAGCTCTGGTCACGGATGGGTGATGACTGCACAACAATGTGAGTGTGCTTAATGCCACTGAACTGTACGCTTAAAAATTATTGAGAAGATACATTTAATGTTGTGTATATTTTACAATTATACATATACGTATATATATACGTATATATACGTATATATATATAAAGCGGAGTTGAAAAACTCTAATAAGGCCCTGAGTCCAAAATGAAGCCTCCTGCTTCTAACACACTTGAATCTAAGGGACTCGGTTTTGCAAATCACATCTTGTTTAACTTAGCAAAGAAGTGGCATGTGTAAAGGAAATGGAAAAGAAAGAGAGATACGGATGGCATCTACTCCTAGAAGACAGTCCTTTTCCAGGTCTACTTATCATGGTTGGAAGGCAAGAAGAAACAATCATGGCTACTCTAAGTCCCAGTGATTTTTGCAGGTATAGCAGTCTTTTTTTTTTTTAAACTTGTGTATTTATTTATTATTTTTTATAGATTTAGAGGGTATAAGTGCAGATTTCTTGCATATATTGCATAGTGGTAGAGTCTGGACTTTTAGTATAACTATCATGGGAATAGTCAACATTGTGCAGGTAGAAATTTGATCACTATTTTGTCAACATCATATCCCTTCAACTAGCATAGCTGCTAGAATACTGTAGGACCTCAATAAAAGTTGTTAAATAGATAAGTAAATCTGTCCTCTGGTAAAACACAGCTCTGTTATGGCATGTGAACTTACTAATTTTATCACATTAAAAATTTCTTCTCTCCCGAGTGGTAATGGGTGAGTAAGTTATTTAACTTCTGGGAGACTCGGTTTTGTCATCCATAAAATGCAGACTATACCTCTTTCCCCATAGTGTTGTGGCATTATGTACATGTGTGTGCAGAAGTCTGTGTATACATACATATTTATATATACACATGTATTTAAAACATTCAAAATAACACCTTAGCACATTGTAGGCACTTAATAAATAGTAAGTAAGCACTATTATTTTTTTCATGATTGCTATTGTAATAAGCCTATTCTAAACGAGTAAGTTGCATATCTTGTCTCATTCTTTTGCCTAGTTTGTTACCAAAAAGGTTGGCCCTTCTGTCACTCAATATATAGGCCACAGGCATCTCCTTAAACAGTTTAGGGAAAAAGCTTTTATTATACATCTGTCATAGTTAATAAAAGTCAGTATATAAATCGACTCACTGATTTATTCATTCATCCATTCACCATGCTTTTAGCAAAGGCCTACAACGTGCTGGCACCATGCTGGATCTGAGCAGGTCCTGCTTCCCAAGTGTTTAAACTAAACAGGGGAAATAAACAGAGGGCAAATGATTACAGTGAAAAGGCAGTGTTTTAAGTGCCAGAAGGATAAGGGAAGAATTTTAGAAGGCTTGCCATTCCATGCTTGCTTAGGACCTCATTGTACAGGCTATAGAAATCCACACAAGGATTCTGGGATGCAACAGAACCACGGTGGTTAATCAGGAAGATAATTTGGTAACCGTGTGGAAGGTGGATTGAAGTGAGGAGTGGCTGAGCTTTTCAAATGTCTATTTTCTGGTGCTATAGTTAGCAACACTGAAATTCACTCACGTTCTCTTACCCACGGATCTTCACCTTTTTTCTTCACAGCTCTTACAGAGTGAAAGAAATTATAAAGTAGAGAAATAAGGCAATTTTCTAGCTTCGGGAACTCTGAACTGCTGTAGCCATATCATATTACCTCTGGGGCCTTAGTTACCCCCCCACCCCATTATACATTTAGTAATGTCTGTGTTGTCCATTAAATACTTATTTCTTAGAACTAAAATTATTATAAATCATGTTACCAATATGCAAGAATTTTTAAAATTATCCACTGGAGGAGCAAAGTAGCAAAGTTTAAGATGTCACATATATCTTAACAGTAGACCATACAAGCATGCATAAATCTCTAGTTTCCCTCTGTGACTATATATTCACTGATATAAGCATTGGGAAAAACCTGGGATAATTTGCAGAAGTATAATTCATGATTCAATAAACATAAATCAAAATCTGAGGAATGTAAGAAACTCTAGAATCTCTTGAGTAGTATGAAACAGATGGCTAGTTAGATTTCACAGGTCTCTATGTATATGCAATTGAGATTTTATTTCTTCACACATACAATTCCACAGTTATCTCTTACCTTCATACTGTACATATGGTAGAGGTGAAATGTTTGAAGAGTCATTAAGAACTGTTCATGCTAGGAAAGCAAAAGTATTCCCACTTCATTTGAAATACCAGAACTTTATTTTAAATACCAAAAGAATCCTCTAGAGAAAAAAAGTAATTGTATTTTCCTTAAGCCCTCTTCTCCTTAGAAGAAGAGGAAGACAAATAATATATATGTATGAAAGGAGAAGGAAGGAATGTAAACTGCTGCTTAAAAAGTGACCCTATTTGTTTATTTAATTGTTCTTTTCTTCCAGCATACCTCCCCACTGTGCAGGTTAACAGGAGAGTTTGGATGAGGACTGTAGCAGGTGGCAGATGAGAATATTTATAATGGGTAGGAAGTTTGGATTGGGAGAGTCAAAGAAGATAAACAGGACCCTTGAGAACCACAACTCATAGCAGAGATGTGGAACCACGAAGCCAATCTTGTGTAAGTAAAATCATGGCATGAAATTAGTATATTGTGTTTCCTGAGACCAGGAAAACCAGAGAAGACAGGAAGGGAAAGAGGCAAGGAGACATGGAAATGGATCTAAATCTGGCTTCATATACTCCACAGATACAGGCTGTTGAGGAAAAAAACCTATACCAGGATCTGGTCCTGTGAGCCAAGTGGCACAACAGCTTTCTGTAGCCACCAGAGAAACTGGCAACTGTGGAAGCAGCTTATTGGAACTAAGAAATCGATCTCCTTGAGTTGAACTCCTGGCTCCACCTCTCGGGCATGTCTTTACTTCTCTATTTTTGCATCATAATGGGTACAAATGATATCAAAGGGAAGGTAGTTGTATCTATTTCATAGGGTTGTTGTGAGGAGCCAATAAATTTTTATACAAACTAGCCCTTTGATACCTGAATAACACTCCAGAATGTAAAGTAATAGTATTGTGCAAGCATTGCATTATCTTCATCTTCAACATCTTCATTAGAAGATCCTTTTAACAGAAAGGCAAAGAGGTAGCATACTCCTATATAATTTCTGCATTTCCAGTATTGGCAGTACAGATAGCGGAAGGGCAAATGCAGATGAAAAACAGTTCACTTAATTCTCCCTGTTGAAGAAAAGAGACTCCCTTGAAACTACCCTCATCTTACCCTGTCTCTGTTTTCTCAAACCATTTACTTTTGAAAACTTGTGATTCTGAGTTCTTTCTCTGTCGCTTTGAAATTTATTTAAATCATTTTAAAAGCTAAAGCTAAGTCTCTACGACCCAGGAAGCTTTAAAACTCAGGAATGACTTATCAAGGGCCTGGGAGCCAGCTCTTTAAAATGCAGTCATCAAGGAAGACAGCGCCCCTATCTTCCAGTTTGCATGGGCGCACAGGAGCCTAAAATGTTGGGCACCAAAACCACCTTCTATGACAGAAACAATGAAAAGTTTACTTAGCTTTTGGATAAAGCCAATTAGCTTACAACCCAATCAGCAGGTAAATTTAGGATGAACTATGTGTGACAAATTGTGCTGTCAAGTCTTCTTGAGGACCACTTATTTTTTATCCTGAGCATGTGCACGTAATTGGTTGTGTTTGCTGGCTATAGAAAAGGGTGGGATTTCTTGTTGACTTTGAAATCTTTTTAAAGAATTCCCTGTGATGCAAATCGCATTCCGGTTTAATGATTTTTATATAGCACAGCTGTTCCTTTTCTTTTGCGATGGAGTCTCGCTCTGTCACCAGGCTGGAGTGCAGTGGCACAATCTCAGCTCACTGCAACCTCCGCCTCCCGGGTTCAAACAATTCTTCTGTCTCAGCCTCCCGAGTAGCTGAGATTACAGGCACGTGCCACCACGCCCGGCTAATTTTTGTATTTTTTTTTTTAGTAGAGACAGGGTTTCACCACATTGGCCAGGCTGGTCTCTAACTCATGACCTTGTGATCCACCCGCCTGCGCCTCCCAAAGTGCTGGGATTACAGGTGTGAGCCACTGCGCCCGGCCAGCACAGCTGTTTCTTTCTACCTTTGTGGAAAAGTTTTCTGGGTTGGGAATGTAACTGAAAACAAAATCCTAAGTCCCACAACTGACTGAACAGAACCCCCACCTTGGCCAAGGGGACCCCAGAGAAACCCGAAAAACAAAGTTCTCGCCATGATAGGCAGGGAGGTCTGAAATGCCTCATTATGTTAGAGTATGTAGCTAGTCAGGCATGAGCAGGGTAGCAGAGGGCTCCCCTCCCCCACCAGGAATGTCAAGCGATCATCAGATGGTGGTCAGGCGGTCCTGATGATACAAGAGTTAAGAAGAAATCACTTAGGCAGATGGTAAGGGTATAGGAGTCCTCGGTAAGTCTTTTCTCTTTAATGAAAAGCAGCCCCAAATCATTTTCTAACAAAGAACGCCCTGTAAAGTCAAGCTGCAGACAGACAAGCAAGCTGGGAGCTTGCACGGGTGAATGCCGGCAGGAACTAGGGCCTAGACATTTTGAAGATGGCAGCGATCAACTGGAAAGCCTGTGTGCATAATAAGATTAGAATGGGGCGACCAGCCTTCCCCGGGCGCTATGTAAACGTCATACCTGATTGAACCAATATGTGAGCTCTACTTAAATAAGACACCGCCTCCTCAAACCTGACTATAAAATTTGGCACATCTGCCGCCAGCCGGTCCTTTCTGCTTGGAGATCCCTTTCTCTATAAAGCTGTTTCTCTTTCTCTTCTCTTCTCCCTGTTAAAGCTCTACTCCTAAACTCCTCCTGTGTGTCCATGTCCTACATTTTCCTGACTGGGACAACGAACCCCAGGGTATATACCTCAGACAATGTAGCTGCTTCACTAATAATAATTGGTCCCAGCCAGAGCCAGGGAAGAGCAGTCTCCCAGTAGAAAATAATCTGAAACTGGTAATCAGCAGCTTCCTGATAAGGTCTCAGGATTTGGGCGAGTGGGCTCAAGCATGTGCACTAAAAGGCAAAATGGTGGAGTTTAACAGGTATATGACCTTCAAGGAGCATTCAACTGGCAAGGGAAGAATGCCTCAAGTGAGCATGCATACAACTTCGGTAAACACACTGCTCATGTGGCCCTCTCAAATCCTAGCAGGGCCACCGCTCATGCGGACAGTCCACCCCAAGGGAAGAAGCATATCTACGTATAAAACCTTAAGTCAAAAGGTCCAAATGTGCACTTGATCCCTCAAGTTGCCTTACTTGGCCTCTCAAGTTGCCTACTCAGCCCTCTTCCAAGTTTATCTTACTTTCTTTTCTGCTGTAAAGCTTTCTGATAAACTTTCACTCCTGCTTTAAAACTTGCCGTGATCTCTCACTCTGTCTTATGCCCTAGTTGAATTCTTTCTTCTGAGGAGGCAAGGATTGAGGTTTCTGCAGACCCATACAGATTCACCACCAGGAACCTATTTAGGTGCTGCGTGACTCTCATATGTTCTGCCAATAATAGTTATACTCCCTCCCTTTTTGAGTTTAAGCACAACTGAGCAGCATTAATAGTAAAATAGAGATCATAAGACTAACAAAACATATGATTTGTGGCATTAAGGTACCAAATTATAAACAAGACCTAAGGCTATGCAAGGCCAGGTTTAAGTTGTACCCTACAAACTATAAAATCTCATTAAACAGGGTTTTCAAAAAATTAACCTGGTATAATATGGCTTACCTTCCAAACTGACTGGTATAGCATCAAAAGACAGACAGTAGACCCTGAAGGACATCAAAATATTTTAGGCCAAAATATCTTTCTTTGACAGATTTTGAAATGACCCTGCAAAGCTGTCTTTTGTGAGGGAAATTTGCATCTGTTGAGAATCTCCATTAATGTAGCCAGGCCTTCCGTTTCTAGGCCTTTCCTAGATCTAGGAGACATTATTTGAGAATCTCATACCTTTCAAACTCTAAAAACAGACATTTTCTGTTTATTCTTTCTGCTGGTCCGCTTCCTATGAGGCTTCATCTATATAACAAGGGCCTTGGCTCCCATAATCCCTTTATCTTAGCTCAAGCATTCCTTTCTATTGACTTCAGGTCTTTAGATAATAGCTTAACTCTCCCAACCAATTTTCAAATAAAGAATCCTTAAAACCCACCTATGACTTGTAAGTGTCCAGTTCCAGATGTGGCACCTTTTTGGGCTGAACCCAATGTATACCTTCCATGTATCGATTTATGTCTTTGCCTGTAAATCCTGTCTCCCTAAAATATATAAAACCAAAACTGTAACCCAACCACCTCGGGGCCACTTAGTCAAGGCTTCTTGGATTTGTATTTTTCTCCAGGATGCAGTTGCTCATATTGGCTCAGAATAAACCTCTTTACAATATTTTTTATTTATTTATTTATTTTTATTTTTTGCATTAATAGGAGAAGATTTTGTTTTTAATCATCTTTACCCAACAACAGCACAGTGTTTACTATCATGCACAGGTGCTCAGCTGACTGAGTTTAAATGAAAGCTCCAGGCCGGGTGCAGTGGCTCATGCCTGAAATCCCAGCACTCTGGGAGGCCCAGGTGGGCGGATAATGAGGTCAGGAGATCGAGGCCAAAATGGTGAAACCCCGTGTCTACTAAAATACAAAAAATTAGCCAGGCCTGGTGGCATACGCCTGTAGTCCCAGCTACTCGGGAGGCTGAGGCAGGGGAATCACTTGAACCTGGGAGGCAGAGGTTGCAGTGGGCTGAGATCGCACTATTGCATTCCAGCCTGGTGACAGAGCAAGACACTCTCTCAAAAAAAAAAAAAAAAAAGAAAGAAAGAAAGCTCTGTCACTGCTAGCTGTATGACCTTTGACAGGTCACCTAAAGTTTCTAACCCCAAGTTTATTCATGTCTATAATGGGGACACTGACAGCCTAGCTTATAAGGACATCATGAAAATTAAATGAGATTTTTTATATATATATATATATATATATATATATATAATCATATGTATAATCATATATATATGAAATCTCATATATATATGTGGCACATTAACCAATGTCTGGAATATTGTTAGCATGATATGGCTTCATTATCAATATTATGGCAATCATACCAAACAATATATATAATTCTGCCCATGACAAGCCAGTTCAACTAGCTTCATAAAATTTAAGAATTAGAAAGAACTCTAGAGATTGAAAGGTCTGATTTCCTAACAATCTGAAAAGTTAAATGATTTAAGAAAGGTTATGCAATTTGGCTGAGTTGGGCTAATATGGTCTTTTCACTCCCTGTCCAGTTCTCCCCAGCTATGCATTCCATTCCCCCTGCAGTTTTATTGTTACAAACTGATACACAGTTGAAAATGTGGAAATAGAAAAAGAGAGACATATCTTCCCCCCTTCAGTGGAGGGAAAGGTCTTTCCAAGATTGGCAGGAAGAATTATACTGAGTGATGAGAAACAGAAAGTTGAAACATAAAAAATTCATTCAGCTCCACCTTACTTTATTGCCTGGTAACAATAGTTTATGTAAATTTAGTAACAGGACTATAGAAATAAATTTATTGCTGCTGCTGATGACAACCACAATGTCTTCTAAGTGATCACAACGCTAACGGTGATGCTAATAATGATCACACATATTCATAGATGATGGTGAAGTTGATGGGGATATGTTGCAATGATAAAAAAGTACCCTAGGAAAAGAACACAAAAAAAATTCATGTACATTTTTCCTAGTTGGAGATTCCCAGGCCATTTATCCTAGCCCAAGATTCTCCAACTAGGAAAAACAAATCTTATATTTTTTCTTCCATCATATTATTTTACTGACTCTGATGACATTCTTCCAGTGAATATAAGGAGGTTGGCATCTAATTGTTCAGCTAATGTTCAGTTTCTTTTTCTTTTGAGTCCTTTCCCTTTAAATTTTAAATTTCTCCTTGGATTACACTTCTAATTCTACTTCATCTTGTGTTGCCTCTGAGAGGGCTTTCATTGGTTTCTGTTCATATAACGATATCTCTGGCTGTTTGTCACTTCTATGACTCTTTATGTCATTTATATAAATTATAGTCTCCCCAAAATTCAGCAAGTTTCTAGAATGCCTTTATTTTTAGTCCCATTCTTAGAAGTAAAATGTTATACTTCTATTTATACTTTGAGTTCTGGACCTTACTCTCATCTATTTGAAGTTTTTTTCATCTATATCTTTTTGGAACTTTGAGCAGAAACCAATGGTATTAAATACCTATTCTTTAAATTATTTCACTGATATTTCTAAATTACATTAAAGAGATGTTTTCTCCCACCCAGCATTCATTGCTTCATGTTGTTCTCCATCAGGGAAAGTGGCCTCTTCTCATTATGGTTTGAAATCTATTTTTTTGTTTTGTTTTGTTTTGTTTTTTTGAGATGGAGTCTCACTCTGTCACCCAGGCTGGAGTGCAGTGGCGCAATCTTGGCTCTTTGCAAGCTCTGCTTCCTGGGTTCACGCCATTCTCCTGCCTCAGCCTCCCTAGTAGATGGGACTACAGGCACCGCCACCACGCCTGGCTAATTTTTTTGTATTTTTAGTATAGACAGGGTTTCACCATGTTAGCCAGGATGGTCTCGATCTCCTGACCTCATGATCTGCCCACCTCAGTCTCCCAAAGTGCTGGGATTACAGGCCTGAGCCACCATGCCTGGCCATGGTTTGAAATCTTGAAGTTCATTTTACCTCTTCTCTGATGTCTGTGTATATACAGCCAATGATGAAATCTTAATCATTTCTCCTTGAAAGTATATGGTCTTTCATATTTTTTCTACTCTCATCTCTATTGCTGCAACCCTCACCTTGGTGCTTAATAATCTGTACCCCTGCAACAGTCTTGTAACCCCAACAGTCTTGGGGAGGTGACTATTCTCCTCACCTCCAAATAAGTTCATAGAGCATTTCCTAACCAAGTGTTTCGCTGAGGCATTCTGTAAAATATTCTCTAATGTGTTCAATGGCACTTTATCGCTTATGCCTGATTACTTCTGAGTAGTTGTCAAAATCTTCTGTTATCTTGGTTTCACTAGATTTATATACTTTGATTTCCATTATTCTCTAGGCTGCAACACCCTTTATATATTCAGACTGTTTTTATTCTTTTCTTCTTTTTTTAGAACTCTTCTATGCATGTGGTTTACTACAAATCTCAAATCTTATATAATAACACAAATATAAAAAAAAACTTAGACAAACACACAATATATCACTAATTGTATTAGTCTGTTCTCATGCTGCTATAAGGACACACCCAAGACTAGATAATTTATAAAGAAAAAGAGCTTTAGAGGACTCACAGTTCTACATGGCTGGGCCAGGGAGGCCTCACAATCATGGTGGAAGGTGAAGAAGGAGCAAAGGCACATGTTACCTGGTGGCAGGCAAGAGAGAAGTGCACACCAAAGCTTGGGGGAGCCCCTTATAAAACCATCAGACCTTGTGAAACTCACTCACTATCATGAGAACAGCATGGAGGTAACCACTCCCATGATTCAATAACCTCCCACCAGTTCCCTCCCACAACATGTGGGAATTATGAGAACTACAGTTCAAGATGAGATTTGGGTAGGGACACAGCCAAACTGTATCATTCCACCCTGGCCCCTCCGAAATCTCATGTCCTCACATTTCAAAACACAATCGTGCCTTCCCAACAGTCCTCCAAAGTCTCATTCATTCCAGCATTAACTCAAAAGTCCAAATACAAACTCTCATTTGAGATGAGGCAAGTCCCTTCCACCTATTAGCCTGTAAAACCAAAAGCAAGCCAGTTACTTCCCAAATATAATGGGGGTACAAGCATTGGGTAAATGCACCCATTCCAAATGGGAGAAATTGGCCAAAACAAAGGGGCTACAAGTCCCATGCAAGTCTGAAATTCAATAGGGCAGTCATTAAATCTTAAAATTCCAAATGATCTCCTTTGACTCCATGTCTCACATCCAGGTCACACTGACATTTTCCCCATTGTCTTGGTGATTAGCATTTGGCTCCTCATTAATTATGCAAATTTCTGCTGCTGGCTTGAATTTCTCCCCAGAAAATAGGTTTTTCTTTTCTATCACATCATCAGGCTGCAAATTTTTCAAACTGTTGTGTTTTGCTTCCCTTTTAAACATAAGTTCCAATTCCAACCATATCTTTGTGAATGAATAAAAGTAAATGCTTTTAAAAGCACCCAAGTTACCTCTTGAATGCTTTGCTGCTTAGAAATTTCTTCTGCCAGATACCCTAAATCATGTCTCCCAAGTTCAAAGTTCCACAGATCTCTAGGACAGGGGCAAAATGCTGCTATTCTCTTTGCTAAAACATAGCAAGAGTCACCTTTATTCCACTTCCCAAAACATTCCTCATCTCCATCTGATATCACCTCAGCCCAGACTTTATTGTTTATATCACTATCAGCATTTTGGTCAAAGCCATTAAACAAGTCTCTAGGAAGTTCCAAACTTTCCCACATCTTTCTGTCTTCTGAGCCCTCCAAACTGTTCCAACCTCTGATTGTTACCTAATTCCAAAGTTGCTTGCACATTTTTGGGTATCTTTACAGCAGCACCCCACTACCTGGTCCAATTTACTTTATTAGTTTGTTCTCATGCTGCTATAAGAACATACCAGAGACTGGGTAATTTATAATGAAAAAGAGGTTTAGTGGACTCAGATCCACATAGCTGGGGAGGCATCATAGTAATGGGAGAAGGTGAAAAGGAACAAGACATGTCTTACATTGCAAAAGGCAAGAGAGAAGTGCAGAGCGAAGCGGGAGAAAAGCTCCTTATAAAACCATCAGATCTCATGAGAACTCACTATCATGAGAACAGCATGAAGGTAACCACCACCATGATTTAATTACCACCCACTGGGTCCTTCCCATGACACTTGGGTTTATGGGAACTAGAGTTCAAGATGAAATTTGGGTGGGGACACAACCAAACCATATCAGTAGTAAACCAAAATATATATAACCTCATTGATAAATCAAAATCTATTACACTTGTAGGGCCCAACCTGAAAGCCACCTGTCCATAAAGCCTTCTATGAATATTCCATGGATGTTGAAGCTTTCCAAGAACATTCTGTGAATTTCTCCTTGAGCTACTCCTTTCCTAGACCTATCTATTATGGTCTATCATAATCTATTAGTATACAGTGACACATTTAAAAATGAATGTACTGAGATGTACATATCTTAATGTGTATTGTGTATTATCTTCTCTAAAATAGTTACTTCGGGGAACTGTGGTTTAATGTAATGATGTGGTTATTGTTCAAAGGCATATTCTTTTTAATATTGTCAGTGATGAAAAATAATCTTTTGAAATAGATTGGAATTTTGGCCACAACTAAAAGTAATTCGTTGTTAAGTCGCTGGAAAATAGATGTTCAACCTGGCTAATGCAATTTTCTCAGTGAAAAACATGGTGTGGCTCTGAAGCAATGAGTTCATTTATTTATTTATTTATTGCAGAAATTTTGGGCTAGTTCCAAAGATGAATTCTGACTGGCAGAATCACTGGAATGAATAAACTGTTTTTCTATTACCAATGCAAAGATGATTCTTCATCATAATGCATCCATTATTATATTTATGAAGACATAAGCTTATAAATTTGAGTCCATATATTCCTCCATCATATGGTTTTGATTTTAATACTATTGTTTCAGGTCTATTAACCTTCCTTACTGTGAAAAATGTTTTAATGTAGGAAACAGAAATGAATTGATTAATTTATTAAAATGTGAGTCTAAACATGGAAGTTGTTTTTCAGATATAAATTGCCCTTGAATGTCGTGTTTAGCTCTTGTCTTCTAAAACTTTAAACCCATGAACTCCACTGACTATATAGATGGCCTTATACAAATCACTTCACTTTTTTCAATCTCCATTTCTTCATCTATTAAGTGTGAGTATTAGACTGAATTTCTACAATTATTTTCAGGTTTGTAAATCTTCAAATCTGTCATTTAGAGGCCAGGCACGGTGGCTCACGCCTGTAATCCCAGTACTTTGGGAGGCCGAGGTGGGCAGATCAAGAAGTCAGGAGTTCGAGACCAGCCTGACCAGCATGGTGAAACCCTGTTTCTACTAAAACTAAAAAAATTAGCCGGCATGGTGGTGCACACCTGTAATCCCAGCTACTCAGGAGGCTGAGGCAGGAGAATTGTTTGAACCCAGGAGGCGGAGGTTGCAGTGAGCCAAGATCATGCCACTGAACTCCAACCTAGGCAATAGAGTGAGACTCCGTCAAAAAAAAAAATTTCTCATTTAGGTAAAATTGAGAATTACATATTTCATCTCAAATGATAATGTTTAATATATTCATTACAGAAAAAAGACATACCACTTATTCTAAATAGAGTCAATTTCTTTGAGTAGCATGTTTTTAGTTGCTTTCCAGATTTGCTGCTTTCACAGAAAATAAAATTTCAAGATGAGGCAGATTCTGACAGTGCCCACACATATTCCTGGAATCTTAAAATATGATTGCTTCTGTGGACTTTCAACTGTGAGTATCTGCATGACTGTGTGTAAGGGATTTTCTAGCAATGTAGAAGGCCACTCTTTCTATAAGCAGGAGAGGCCTGAAGTGCTGAGACATTAACACTTCTGCCCCAGCAGCTTCCAGTAATACTTGCTGGGAGTTGGTGTTTAACAATCCCAGCTTCGCACCCATTGGGTGAAGAGAACTCTGAGCTCTGTTTTTGCAGTTCCTCACAGGAAACGTTCCAATCATTTCCCCGTGGTGGCTGGCTTCACATTATACCCTTTATTTGTAGCCTGCCTCCTTGGAATCACTTCTTCCACAGCCCTACTAGTATTTCCTATATCTCCCATCTAAACTAATTACATTTAAATTCTTGTCTCAGGATCTGTTTCTGGAAGAACACAAATTAAGACCAAGATCACTGCAAAATCACCATATTTTGAATCTACAAAATGAAGGTAGAATGAATCTCAGGTAATTCTCAGTGTGGTAGAAATTAATATTTTACATTATTCCATTTTGAATATATACATGAAGTCATGTTAGTTATAATCTCTTGGGATCTTGGAATTTTTCCTATAACATCATTTCCATGAGGAAATAGAAAAAGCTTCAACCAGGCACCTGATGACCTAACTTATAGTTTAGTCTGTGACTTGGGCCTTGTGCTTAAACTCTGAGCCTTAATTTATTCTTTAAAATAAAGACATCTAAAACAATTTATTACTGGCGAGTGTGGTGGTTCAAGCCTGTAATCCCAGCACACTTGGAGGCTGAGGCGGGTGGATCATGAAGTAAGGAGTTCAAGACCAGCCTGACCAATATGGTGAAACCCTGTCTCTACTAAAAATACAAAATTTAGCCAGGCGTGGTGGCGTTCACCTGTAGTCCCAGCTACTCAGGAGGCTGAGGCAGAAGAATCGCTTGAACTGGGGAGGCGGAGGTTGCAGTAAGCCAAGATCACACCACTGCACTCCAGCCTGGGCGACAGAGCGAGACTCCATCTCAAAAAAAAAAAAAAAAAAAAAAAAAATTCTGGCCGGGCACGGCGGCTCACGCCTGTAATCTCAGCACTTTGGGATGCTGACGTGGGTGGATCACCTGAGGTCAGGAGTTCAAGACCAGCCTGGCCAACATGGTAAAACCCCATCTCTACTGAAAATACAAAAAATTAGCCAGGCATGGTGGTGTGTGCCTGTAATCCCTGCTACTCAGGAGGCTGAGGCAGGAGAATTGCTTGAACCCAGGAGGTGGAGGTTGTGGTAAGCCGAGATCATACCACTGCATTGAAGCCTGGCAACACAGCAAGACTCCATCTCAAAAAAAAAAAAAAAATTCTACAAAAATGTAATGTTTTTAAACAGTGATATTCAATTCATTTCAGCTTTTTCATTCACTCTTGCTTTCAAGACTGTTTTTTCTTTTTGGCTTGAATAACAATATTATGCAATCTCTTCCCCTTTTCTTTTTAAGTAGTCCATAATTTAAGTCTGTCCGTTAAGAGTTCAACTTATCTAGTGCAATTAACCACTCTGCCACTTGTGGTGTAAATAAGATGCCAAAACACAAAAACAAAGCCATGGAGATATACTGTATATATTTACATTTCCTTATGTTTCTGAACATAAGTCCACTACCTAAAACTCACAAAAGTGACTATAAATAATTAAGTTCAAACATGAAGTAACTACTTGAAACTTCAAATTTGCCTTTAAGGATTAACTCCAAGAAAGGTTAATATGAATCTAAACCAAAAATACATGATTATTTGTGGAAAAGAATGATTGATAGAGAAAATATTACCTGTACTAGTTTTCCTGTGGCTGCAGTAACAAATTACTAAAAACTGGATGGCTTAGAAGAACAGAGACTTATGATTGTCTCACAATTCTGGAGACTAGAACTCCAAACTCAAGGTGTCAGCAGGGCCATACTCTTTTTGAAGTCTTTAGGAAAATCTATTCCATGCCTTTTTCTTTGCTTCTGCTGTTGCTGGCAATCCTTGGTACTCCTTGGCTTGTGTCTAGTCAATCTCTGCTTCTATCATCACATGGAATTTGTCCTGTGTGTCTGTCTCTCTTCTTATAAGGATACCAGTCCTTATAAGTACATTAGGACCCACCTTAGTAACCTCTTCTTAACTGTATTACATCTGCAAAGATCCTATTTCCAAAGGTTACATTCACGAGTACTGGGTGTTTGGACTTCAGTGTATCAATCCAACTCATACATAACCTGTCAATCATTTGCACATGCAAATGGACCCTTCTGGTCATGGCTGGCTCCAAGGGAATCTACCCACGTCAGCCGCACAAGAATCCATCTCAGAAGAAACCTACTCCCACCCATTCTTGGAGTTTAATGCTCTGTGGTTGCTGTCCAGAAACTCTTAATAACTTTATCTTTGAATTTATGTTTTGTAAGAGAAGCTTGGGTGAACACTTTGGTGTCTTGGACCATGCGTGGGGCACCTCCTGATAAATACCCTTGATGGGTTTTCAGCAGCCAGCTCTCTCACCCCTTCTCCCACCTGGCCTTACCCTCCACACCCTTGCCCAGCAACTACTGCTGAGCCTAGGCATGGAAAGGTGTGGAGTAGAGTGTGCACGCCCCATGGCAGCTCAGAGTGAAGCATGGCAGTGGCCACCCTCTCTCCCCTCAGCCAGCAGCATTACCATGCATTTTGTGGTCGACTTGGCAGGGACAAACCTCTTGCCCACTCCAGATGCAGGTATTAAGAGCATCCTGGAGAAGAGGTTGCAATTTTTGAGGGTTGTCCATGTGTAGTGGTTTCCAGTGGTGAACTGTGGGAAGAGAAGACCCCACTGGCTGGGTCCCAGTGAATCAATCCAGCAGCTGACAGCTGGGAAGGAAACGCGGTCAGGGGACGTGTCAGCTGTTTGAACAAGAAGTACTGCATTTTCCATTTGCACTGGGTAGGACAAGTGATATAAAATGTCCTGCTTTTAGGCATTTCTCTCAATGGTTAAAAAGCTTGGAGAAAATTCTAGTTTTTAATTCTGCCCATCACCTTTTCAGTTCTTTTGAGACAGCCCATGCAAATTGTTTTAAGCCTTTTCATTTACTCTTGCATGAGCCACTTTTTGCTGCACACTGTAGCTCCACACAGAGATGAAGAATGAATTAGTCTCAGACAGCTGCAGTAAGTAGTTTCCCCGAGAAACAGAATTCTCACTGAAATATAATGGACTTTCTAAAAACCTATCAAGGTCTTCTGCCATTTCTGGGCTCTTCCAGTATTTTAACTCTATTAGTGGTAATTGGTGTGATCTAAATACAAACCAATTTAAGTGCTTGATGCAGACAAACCAAGAGCTTCCTGTATCAGAAATTGTGATAATTTTTTTCATTATAAAATCTACATTCAGGTGATTCTTGCTTATAACACACGGCGAGTACAATTATAGACGTCTAGACTGTCTGTGAACATTGTTTACAATCAGAATAATTCTGTAAGTTGTCTGACATCTTATTTTCCTTTGACAAGCTAAAAATTATTGTGACAATAAAAAACATTTTTCCATAAAATCACCAATGTTATTTCTATTTGTATGTACTAAAGTTATCAAATATTTTTTATTTCTTGTATTTCCATTGTATCACTTTTCCTTAGAGAAGAAAAATAAACAAATATAAGATCATTCACATATGCAAAATTATTATCAACCACAAGGAACTACTGATGCTTATAATCAAAATAATTTAAGTGTGCCTTGAATATTCAATCTTCTGACCCTCTGTGAGGGAACACTACTATCCTGATTAACAAGACAGCTGTGGTTCAGAGAGGTAAAGTAACCTCTTAAAGAATTTAGGGATAACAAGAGGTAGAGTAGCATGTAAAACATTAGTTTGTCTTATTCAAAAGCCAAGAACTGCTTAATTGTGTAGATTAATATTAATAAAAATAAGATTATATCTGAATACTTGACATGGAATCAGAATATCCAGGAACAGAGAAGGTAGGCGAGTAGCATTTCCCTTTAGTCTCTATATAGAATATTTTGCTAAAAAGAAAGAAGCATTTCATGTGTAGATGATCTGAAAAGGGCTGAGTGTTTAAAAATTAATTTAAGGAAGAGACAAATTATCGACTAGGTATCTTAGCTTGGGAAGGTGCTTTTAATTTTGGAATATCAATGTGGGTAAGGGAAGTAGACAGTCATAAAGGTTGGTAGCTTCGAGTTTTCAGTGAGCTCTAGGCTTATAGAAGAATTTAAAATGGGAAATCCAGATGTCCTTCTAGCTTCTCTAACTCAATAATTCAGGATATAAAATGAATTAGGGGGCCAGGCGTGGTGGCTCATGCCTGTAATCCCAGCACTTTGGGAGGTTGAGATGGGTGGATCACCTGAGGTCAGGAGTTCAAGACCAGCCTTGCCAGCATGGTGAAATCCTGTCTCTACTAAAAATACAATAAATAAATAGATAAATAAATAAATAAATAAATAAATAAATAAATAAAATAAAAATAAATTAGCCAGATGTGGTGGTGCACGCCTGTAATCCCAGCTACTTGGGAGGCTGAGGCAGGAGAATCACTTGAGCCCAAGAGGCAGACATTGCAGTGAGCTGAGATCACACCATTACACTCCATCCTGGGTGACAAGAGCAAGACTCCATCTCAACAACAACAACAACAACAACAACAACAACAAACAAATTAGGTACTCCAACTTTGCATTTATGCTACATCTTCCTGCAGATATAATACACATAAGACAAAAACATGAGAAATTCTTAAATTTCTTATGGTACAGGTGTTTATTTTAGAAAGTTAATTACTGGAGGATATATTCTGCAGGAAAAAAATGCTATCAAAACATTCTATGATATTGCACACATACACACACCCACCTCATTTATTAAAAAAATAAAACTAGTAAGCATCACACAGAGTGGAAAGGAAGAGTACGATGCCATCAATATTACATTACTGATTACTATTTAGCAGTTTCAAGACCTAAAGTAGTATAGAAAATAAATGTAATATTGGCCAATCAATTAACACAGAAAATGTCATTAATAAATATCTAAATTAAACCAGTAAAATGTATTACCAGTTTTTAAAAAAAATCTTTCAATTTGCAAGGCTGTTTCTTTAGATTATATTTTCAGCTAGAATATAATTTAACTTTCTATTTCCTTAATCAAGACATTATCACCCAGTAGGCACTAAAGAAATGCTTGTTTACCAGTTATTTACATTAATATCCAAATATAATATAGTTGAAAGCTCATTAGACTTAAAATTTAAAATATGGGTTCAGATCCTGCTTGTACTGCTACTTGATATATATATATATGTGTGTGTGTGTGTGTATATATATATATATACACACATATGTATAAATATACACACACATATATATATATGCCTTTGGGAAAACAAAGTCTCTGAAGCAGTTTCCTCATCTGCACAATAGGAATAAGAGAATATGTACAGGAAGGATCCTTGTGATGAAAAATATAATGTATGCAAAAGTGCCTGGCATAGTACATTGAACATAATATGATTTATACTAATCCTTATGATGAAGAACACAATAATCTTATGAAACAAAATATTGTTTGATTAAGGGTAAAAAATGTCTTAAAAGTCAAAAAAGTGTTTCTAATTCTAGAAACATTTAAGCTTCTAAAAGTTGTTGATTGCTTAGCAAATTATTTAACTAAAAAATATAAGGCCAGGTGCAGTGGCTCATGCCTGTAATCCCAGACTTTGGGATGCCAAGGTGGGCGGATCACAAGGTCAGGAGATCGAGACCATCCTGGCTAACATGGTGTTATAAAAATATAAAAAATTAGCCGGGCGTGGTGGCAGGTGCCTGTAGTCCCAGCTACTTGGGAGGCTGAGGCAGGAGAATCACTTGAACCTGGGAGGCAGAGGTTGCAGTGAGCCGAGATCATGCCACTGCACTCCAGCCTGGGTGACAGAGCAAGGCTCTATCTAAAAAATAACCATATATATATATATATATATATATATATATATATATATATATATATTTTATTTCTAGCAAGCCAAATGTATTTTGATATTGTGTCATCTTTTATACTTCCCCACATTCTCATGCCAGCAACTAGGAGCTGAATTCTAGAAATTATAGCAAGTTCAAATTCAATTTTCTTAGTGTTGGTCTAGAAGTCAAAGATCAGAAAATGTTTTATTCTTTTTGAACTGTGAAATTAAAAGATTTCTAGTAATGATGAACCAGACCTCAGAATATTGTAGTTGATTGAATACTCTGTACTTTCAGAATTAAGTTACTATCTGTAAATTCTTTAATTAATAAGTACAATTTTAGTTTTAAGTTAACTTCAATAAATAAAATTATATATAACTATAGTTGATAAAAGTTGTAAATTTTAATAACTAGCAGCTTTTTTAAAGTAACTAGAAATCTATGAACATTGAGTTCCAAGCTAAACTATTAATGATAGAGATATCATTCCCAACACATAATGGGTTCACACATATAATGTGTGGAACATAACAAAAATATATAATGTTTCAACCTCATGGAAAAGCCTGAAACTCATTCAAACACACAAAAAAGGGATAAGTTAAAGGAAGAGAGGCAGTGAATTCTGCTTTGGGTTTGCCACAGTATCTTATTAAATCATACTTGTAAGTGCATTGATCTTATGTGTCCAAGACTAAAGCACTGCAATAGGCTCTTAAGGGCAAGAGGGTTCCTAAAAGCAACGTGAAACCTGGTTATATGCAAAGTGGTATAATGTGTTGGCAGACACTGCATAGACAATCCATCCTATGGAAAGGAAGAAGGGCTATTTCACAGAGGGCATTCAGAATCATCATGAAGATATCGCCATTCACTTTGCTAAGTAAGCATCTACAGTCTTCTCCTGGCCATAGCTACATATCTTTTACGGGTATTTCAGACTTTACCAGGTCATTTATATCATTATAACTTACAATAATTTTAAACAAACTGGTCAATATGTTGGTGGCAATCAGCAATTCTCTTTTCTCTGTAACCTAGGGTCAGTGTCTACAATCAGCCATTCCATCAGATGAAGGGTAAGGCTCTTGGTAGGATGAGAATTCTATATGAGATGTATCACCAGCAAAATCAAATCTACTTCAGTTGCAAAAGTTATCTTTGTTAGGATCTTATTATGATTCTTCCTTTACCTCAGGTGCAAAGAAATTACTTTAAAATTACCTGATTTACCTTGCATGTTGTTCTTACAATGCTAGACTCCAGATCTGTGGTTATACTGTATGTAATTACACAGTAGCAAAAAGGGCTAGATATCCATCAAAATTCTTATAAAATAACTAAAATAAAATAATGAACCCTGTCTCTAGTGACTGTATCATCCAGGGGCCATCATTATCAACATAGTGCAGCACCAGCTCTGGTTTCTGGTGACATTTTACACTAAAGCGAAGCCAAATGTCACTCCTTGTCAGGCCAGCTTATGAAAATCATAACCAGTACACATGGATAAGGTCAGGGCAGGGGGGGTGGGAGATTTTCTTGGGTGGAAGGATAGGGATTAGAAAGAAGAAAGTGAAGGTGGTGAGGAAATAAACTTCCATGAATATGACAAAGGCAGGTAAAGGATCTAAGAAGTACGATTCTGATTAATAACATTACATAACAATTCTGCTTGACTTTCACACTGCTGGCAGCTCTTATCTCACCATATGATCGTGTGGAGTTTGGTTAAGAACTTTTCATGAAAGCCAAAAGAAAAGACAGATTAAAAACCACTAAAGAAATACTAACAGGCTTAGCTAATACTTTTATGTGAATATATAGATGCTATATTTAAATATAAAGTCGGAGATTAAACAAGTCATAATATTGAAAAGTAAAGACTGGAGTTGACTGCCAGGGCTTGACTTGAGCTCTGCTACTCGTATCTGTGACCTTGCAGATATTTTTAAATTTACCTGAGTCTCAATTTTGTCAGTTGGGCTTCAATTATAAAATGGGGCTGTTAAAAGTCCTGTCTGTAAGCCGTGAGGATAGAGAAGAAGCTCCAGTGAGCGATGCTGAAACAATCAATGGTTTTAGTGAGGTCACCAGGATTTTATTTAGAAACAAAAGTGAAAAGTAAATATGACATATTTTACAACTCAAAGTTGTTCCATACCTCTTAAATATATAAATAGGAAGCTATAAGTGGACATTTGCTATTCATTTAAGGTTATACTAGGACTTATTATTTAAAATAATCAGTTATTGAATTTCTAATTTTCATCAGGCAGAGAACTATCACTAATTCACACACAACAGACCATTAAGGTAAACTTCAATTCATCATTGCACTAGAGATCCTGGGCAGTGTGAATAAGAATAGGAAAAATAAATGAAATATGTAAGAACTTAAAATAAAGAAATAAAATATATTTTCATTATTCATAGGTGGCATGGTTATATAACCAGTAAATCTCAAACAATCCATCATTCTGTTTATTTTTATTTTTTTGGGACAGGGTCTTGCTCTGTCACCCAGGCTGGAGTGCAGAGGCATGAACGTGGCTCACTGCAGCCTTGAACTTCTGGGCTTAAGCCATCCTCCCACCTCAGCCTCTCAAGTAGCTGGGACCACAGGTGCGTGCCAGCACACCCGGCCTAATTTTTTGATTTTTTGTATAATGAGGGTCTCACTTTTTGCCCAAGCTAGTTTTGAACTTCTGGGCTCAAACGGTCCTCCTGCCTTGGCCTCTCAAAGCTCTGGGATTGTAAGTGTTAGTCACTGTGCCCGACCCATAGATAAATTATAATCATTGGAGGTAATATGCTGGATATAAGCTCAATATATAAAAATTCATTGTCTGTTTGTATTTCACAGACAAATAATTAAGAAATTAAAAAAAGTTTAAAACCACGCCATTTATAATACCATCAAATCCAGCAAAAGAAGTACAAGAACTCTACACACAAATTTAAAAAAAAATTGTTGAGAAAAGATAAAGACGATATAAGCATAGAGGAATACCACTTTTACTGAGTAGAAGGTTCAATGTTGCAAAGATGTCAATTCTCCCCAAACAGGTTTTGTGAAACTTGACAAGCTTATCCTAAAACATTTGTGTGAAAATGCAAATTATCCATTTATAGCTAACATATTTTTTAACCATGAAAAGAAATGAGAGGATTTGCCTATCCAACAGCAATATTTCTTATAAAGCTTTGACAATTATAAGTGTGCTTTTGGTACAAAGGAAGACAAATATAACAACAAAATATAATAAAGAATTTAGAAATAGACAATTGATTTATGTAACTGCAAAGCAATAGGAATTAATAGGCTTTTAAGCAATGGTTCCAAAAAATTATATATCCATACTAAAAAATATAGCACTTGATTCCTACCTCATATCATACTTGAAAGTCAATGACAGCTAGATAGTGGATATAAATATGTAAGGTAAAACCAGAAAGCTTATAAAGCATAACATAGAAATTATTTTCCTGAATTTCAGGTAGAGAAAGATTAATAAAAAGAACAAATAAAACCATACTAACCATAGAGGAAAAGGTAGTTATTTAACCACATTGCAATTTTAGAACTTTATTTTTTGGTTGTCACCAAATGATACTGTTAAGAGAATGTCAAAAAAGACAAAACTGGAAGAAGATATTAGCACCGTATATATTTAACAAAGGCTTATATTCAGAAAATGTAATGATTCCCATGAAGAAATGTGTGCATGTGTGTACTGAGACTTATACGAGTATGTTCCTAGCAGCACTAGTTATAACGTTCACGAACCGGGATATTCAAGTGTCTATGAACAGAAGAAAGGACAACTAAGTTGCGTTGTATTCATGCAATGGAATGCTATGCAGTAATGAGAATGAAATATAGCTACTCACTTCCAGCCTGGCCAATATGGTGAAACCCTGTCTTTACTAAAAATACAAAAACATTAGCCGGGCATGGTGGCGCATACCTGTAATCCCAGCTACTCGGGAGGCTGAAGCAGGAGAATCGCTTGAACTAGGGAGGCGGAGGTTGCGGTGAGCCAAGACTGCACCACTGCACTCCAGCCTGGGCGACAGAGTGAGACTCTGTCTCAAAAATAAATAAATAAATAAATAAATGAGCAAAAAATAAAAATAAAAATAAAGAAATATAGCTACTCACAAAAGCAATGATAAACTTCACAAACATATGCTGAGCAAAAGTGTCCACAGAATAGAATGTTTACTGAACTTCATTTATATAAAGTTTTAAAAAAGACAAAACTAAATGATAGATTATAGACATATGTGCTTACGTAGTAAAACTATAAACATATTCAGGATACAATTACCATAGAACTTATACTGGTGGTTGTTTTGAGGGAGGAACAGTCAATGGTTTGAAGCAGTCAAGAGAGGGCCTTCGAAGCACTAATATCCCATTTCTTGACCTGGGTTGTTTACCTGATAGTTCTTTTTGTAATAAATTATTGAGTTATATATCTTTTGTATGTGTGTTATGTGTAGGTATGTTATACATTGCAATGACAATTTTTTTAAAGATAGGCAAAATAAATACCCCATTAAGAGAGTGTAGAGAAGAAATGGAGCATGAGAAGATAATTGTGACACTTAAGAGTTTACAGAAGGCTTCAATCCAGCCTATACAGAGTTTTTAAAAATCAATGAGAAAAAGACAAATAATGCAATAAAACAGGCAATGTGCAGTGGCTCATGACTGTAATCCCAGCATTTTGGGAGGCTGAGGCGGGCAGATCACTTGAGTCCAGGAGTTTGAGACCAGCCTGGGCAACATGGCAAAACCATGTCTCTACAAAAAATACAAAAATCAGCTGGGTGAGGTGGTGTGCACCTGTAGTTCCAGCTACTCAGGAGGCTGAGGTGGGAGGATAACTTGAGCCCAGGAGGTGGAGGTTGCAATGAGCCGAGATCGAGCCACTGCACTCCAGCCTAGATGACAGAGTGAGACTCTGTCTCAAAATAAATAAATAGATAAATAAAGTGCTAAAAATGTATATTCTGTCCTTTTATCTTGGTCCTCCAGTCTTTGGGGAGCCTGGGGAAAGACAGAGTGGTGTCATTTAAAACACAGCCAGGTCTGAGTGTCTGCTCAGGTTTAAGGATGTTACTGAACAGTAGAATGCATAAATGCATTGTGATATATTCATATTGTCGAACATTATACAACAACCAAGATTAATGAAACAAAGTACATCCTGAGTCCCTCAACATAATGCTTAACAAGAGTAATATATAATTCTATTTATGCAAATCCAACAAAGAGACAAAATGTTTAGAGATGTGTGCTTAGGTGTTGAAATTATAAATAAAAGCAAAATTTATTACGATAAACATCAGGATAGTGGTTACCTTACGATGGAAGACAGGAATTGGCTATTGAGAGCAATCAAGAGAGGGACTTAGGGTGCTACTGTGATCATTTTCCTGACCTAGGTAGTAGTTACAGGAACATTTGGTTTGTAATAAATTACTCAGTTGCACACAGAACAAAATTTCTATGCTTTTCTATGTATGTATTAGATATCATAAGAAAAGTCAAATAATGCAATGAATTAAGAAAACACCTTTTAAATGACAAATGGCGTGGTAATAAATCAACATTGAATGAAAACCCTCATCCTCATAATTAGATTGATTACAGTAAAATACACTTTTTTTTTGGGGGGGGGGGGGACTGAGTTTCACTCGTTACCCAGGCTGGAGTCCGATGGTGCAATCTCAGCTCACTGCAAACTCCGCCTCCTGGGTTCAAGCGATTCTCCTGCTTCAGCCTCCTGAGTAGCTGGGATTACAGGCATCTGCCACCACACCTGGCTAATTTTGTATTTTTAGTAGAGACAGGGTTTCTCTATGTTGGTAAGGCTAATCTCGAAATCCCAACCTCAGGTGATCCGCCCCCTTCAGCCTCCCAAAGTGCTGGGATTACACGTGTAAGCCACAAGCCCGGCCTAAAATACACTTTTTATCGCTGGTAACCAGAGAATGGAAGAGAAGTTAAATGTTTAAAGATAATAATCAACTAAGAGAATGCAAATATAAAAGTATCCTGATAAAATTACATTTGTGCCTTTTAATAATTACTTTTATTGTGAAAAGTAATTCTTATATAATTCACTTGGTATCCCTTTAAATAGTTTTCTTTAAAAAAACACATTAGATATGGTTTTAATTATCTTTCTTAAAGATTTAATCAAAATTTCAATTGTGACACAAAGACTTAAAATATTTTTTTCTTAAAAGCCTGTTTTATTTTAAAAGGACACATTCTCTATATTGAGTCCAACTGCTTATATAAATTATCTGAATTAAAATAGCATTTACAAATGACTCTCTGGGACACTTAATTTCAGTCCTTTTGGGGGGATATTAATGAAATGCCAGTTTTAAAATCAAGTTACGTAGCACACAATATAATCATCCTTCTAGAAAATTCTAATGAATAAGATTAGATAGCAAGAATTTCAGTGGAACCTTTTATCTCCTATTACATTTGACTGTTTTCATATAATTTAATTTCACTTTATTTCAGTCCAACATAAAATGAAGCATTCCATTGTCTGCTTAGCTGCCATTTCTCTGGATATTTGAAATAGATTTAATTGTACAAGGTCACATCTGAAGAGATAAAAGTCTCTGGAGAGAATGTAAATGAACTTTCTCCTATCTGATCACTTATGAATTCTTTATTACCCTAAAATTACATGATATTATCCTGAAGTGACATGAAATGTCTTACTTATTGTCTTGCCCATTCCTGGAATGAAAGTAGAATATTAAAGAAAACTAATGCTTCTGAGAATTGGCTGCTCTAAAGGGTACCTTCTTTCATTACTCATGCTTCGTAATTGGCAGTCCACAGCAGGAAAGCCCATATAAAATATGCTAGTTATATTTAGATCATAGTTCTGGATTTGCCTTTATGATGAGGTGCTAAAAATTATGGCATATTGTAACAGATGTCTGCAATGTGCTAGAGATGCCAAAGTTCTGTTTGTGGTAAAATGTTTTATACCAACTGTCAGAAGAATTTTTCTGTCAGTCAAGTGCTGAAAGGCTATTTGCAAATTGTCTTTAAGGAATGAAAAAATGGCAGTGTAGGACAAAACAGATACTGTCTTAAAGTTTAGTATTCTCATTTTAAATAGTGAATGACTAATGGAATGTGCAACCTATTTATACTCCAGTCTGTGCCATTTGTAGATAGTATTATTACAGATATTATCATCAATATTTATTTTTAGCAATATCTATCTTGAAATTACATGAATTCTGAGAAAATATACATTCTTGCAAATAAAGAAAACATCTTTTCACTTTTTCCTCTAAACTCCCACAATTTTAATTGTTTACACCTATTTAGGGAAAAATCTATTTTTGACTAACAAGTTCTTGATGCAACATTTACTCAAAGTGACATTTTGAAAGTTGCAACTTTGCTGCTTTAGTGTGTGTTTTATTTTTGTAAATATAGATAAATAGAACATCTACAAAATATATTCATTCAACAGTAACTTTGACTACTTAACAATAAAGGAAATAGTAAATGGATCTGTATGTAACATGACCAGATATGAGAATATGTTAGTTGAGTTTTCAGATAAGAATCTCAAACATTTAGCCACCAAAATACTTGTCCTCCCTAAGAAAACAGTTTAATTTTGAAATAAATATTACTAATAACATGAAGCTCTGATTATTCATCAACATTCTTCACAGAGGAAAATAAGAAATGTTTTCAATGGAAACAACTTTCTATAGGTATTCAAATATTTTTAATCCAGTTGAAAAAAAAAACGAAAAGACTGACTCAAAATGCTGTACCCAAGGGAGTAAAAAAAGAATGAATGAATAAATGAGCAAACAAAAAACAACTTGTTCACAAAATAACAGTATATATGATTTTAAATGGATATAAACATTGATGCAAAGTTTATTGGTATGTGGAATAATTTCCATTAACAGTTGTCTAGTGAGAACTGTGTATAAAAATAAAATAAAATAAAACAACTTATCCTTTGTACATTACAATTATTTCAGAAATGTAAGACACAGTGCTACTAAGAATGCAGCAGAGCCCTATAATGAACAATAGATTATGTATCAGGAGATTTGTGTTCAGGTCCTTGCTGCAGTATTGACACCGACATTAACTTCTTTAGTATTGGGTTCCTTAAAATAAGAATAATAAAGCCTGCCACAGTGGGTTGTTGTACAGTTTAAATGAGACAATGGTTCTGAAATTGCTTTAGATTTATAACACTCATACATGTACGACATATTACTATTAATAATGAATAACTTTAAAAATAAAATATTCCTGAAAAGTGCCATAATTTTTCTTTTATGAGTTTGCACTATAATTATCAGCTAATCCTTTTACTGAAAAGTTTGGCCCAAGGAGAAGTCTTGCCCTATTTTTTTTTATGATAGCATCATAATTTAGGAGGACTATTAGAGTGAAGTTTCTATTTTCTACATGTGACATTTTCTAAAGCTATTAGATTTATTAGTTTGTTTCACAGGTCATCAAGAACTGAACCATATAAAATTCACTTGACCAGGAAGGAAGAAAAGCAGAGGCAAGGCAAAAAGAAAAGATGTCTGAATAGTCAAGATTGGCAAGGAACCCAAATCAACTCAGTTCAATCTATTTCGCTCAGTACTTATAAAAAATTACTTTAAATACTGCTATCCTATTTCAATTAAGTAAAATGTAGAGCAAGACAGAGATACAAAGTGTCTTTGTCAGTGGAAGAAACCATGCAATCCATAGGCAACTATGCCCTACTCCTCCCCCAACCCTTGGAAAGTAAATTAAAAAAAAAAAAAGAAAGAAGGAAAGAGAAAAAGAAAACATTCAGGTAATTGATTTTCATGTGAGATGACACAAGCAATCATTTGGCAATAAAGTGTCCATATTGATGGTGAAGAGGGTTGGTCAACTACTAGATAAGGCAAGGTAGTTAGTTACATGGGACTTTGTTTTGAGCCCTGTTGCTTTTTTGCTTTAATAGAATTTCTATTATTCTATGCTTATTTATCACTGCTGCAAGGAAAGTGACCATTAATTTTTAAATATATCATATATAAATATCTTAAATATATCTTACATATATATCTCTCTTGCATATTTACAAAGTAATATATATTTATACATTACTTGTATTTATATTTAAACATATTTATATATATATATTTGCAGGAGTTGACAATGTGTGGGTGTATGTGTGTGTGTGTGTGTATATACATATAAGTTCTAAAATACATTCTTCGAACAATAAAATTTAAGTTGTGAATGGCCCTGAGACTTGCTTTTATTCATGATAGTCAACACTGAGTTTCGTAACTATGTGCTCTTCTCCATGCATTGTAAATGCTTTCCAATATCCTTTCCCTCACAGCATCATTGGTTTGCAGATAGGAAAATAGTTTAGAAAATGAAACCTTAGTGTCTTTATTTCCTACACTCAAATTGACTTCTAAGATAATGAAATAATATTTCTGAAACATGATAATCATATCAGAATAACTATACCTTAATTACATAATCTACCATTATATTCTACTATTGAACAGTAATTGCATTTATTTTTCTATGTATGCATATTTAGGTCACTTTCTAAAGATTTCAAAAGTTGTTTAGGTAATTTGAAATGTTATCGATTAAGAAGTTATAATGAGTTATTAATTCGAAAATTGATTTTTATGGCTAAATCTCTGACCTGAATATTGGGAGACCAAAGAATCAAAAAGATGTTCCAAAAATAAATTAAATCATTTTAATTTAAAATAAGAGAATGTTTTATACTCTGCAGAAATGGCACATAAATCCTATCATCATCTTCACCGTTCTCTAAATTCTAAAAAAATGAGGAAGAGTTTGCATCATATGTAACAGTTCTAGTACAAATGTGAAATGAATAAGCCTTCAATCTACAATATGTACTGTTCTCCTTAAAAACAATATACTTAAGAATTAATTAAATCAGGACCACACATTATTTTTAGGCTAAATTATTTATCCAGAATCTTTTCCTTCAACTTCTTGATTTTGGCTTGCTAATTTTTAGACATTTCTCAAACATTTCCCCCAAAATTAAGAAGAAAAATAGATGAAAAAATTATATTATCAAGAATTCCTATTTATCATTATTTCTCTAAGACTTCATGTTCCTGTAGTCCAGAAACTGTATAATAAATAGCCAGGATCCCTTTGGTGACTCTAACTTTATAATTTGAAAAAAAAAGAAAGCACGATTTATAGTCTTAAAAGCCTTTGTGAGCATACTGGGGCAGAATATGTGACATTGAGACTGTTTTGGAAAATTCAATAACTGTGCTTGCCTTTAGGAATCACCTATTGAACCTATGACTATGCATCTTTTTAAAAGAATCAACCAGAACTTGCTATATTTTTAGATCAATAGAATGGTTGAAATGAATATCAAAATTAGGTTTGGATAAGCTATGAATTTAATTTTTTCATGCTCTTTTAATTTAGCCTGGAAATTGATTGTATTGTTAATAAAAAATGCTATTACACATTTTTTGTACTCTATTTGGTCCCTCAGAAATTTTAAATCTCAGCATCAAGTGTTAAAAAACAAACTCTTATGGTGGTGTAGTCATTTCAACTAGAAGAGCTGAGATGACTCATTCTGATCTTATCCACACAATTGTCAATGTTCTGACAATAGAAAGGATATAGTTTAAAAACTAAAAGGTAGAGGAGTTTTCTTTTTAAATTCCAGGTTGAGCTGGTGGTAAAAGCACTTACTGACAATAGAAACCACTGATGCAGAATAAATCATGGCTCCCAGGAAGTCATTTTATAACTACTTTCCAGCTACTCCACGTTTTAATGAGTTTAATGATCAGTATACGACCTCCACCTTCTTGCAGATATGGGCTCTGTTTGCTTCTACTTACAGATGACAAGTCATTCCTAAGAGATTAAAATCTTAGTCAAAATGTTAGTGAAGATGTGTTGAACCTGTATTGCTCTTGTGATGTATCCAGTTTGAATGCATGGCTCAAACTCCCTCTATTTCTTGTGAGCCACTACCTGGCCATCAGAAATAGGTTTCAGGCCCAGAAACTAAAATATGGGTTGTATTTTCTTTACATAATTTCAAAAAAATTATATTGTTAAAATACACATAACTTAAAATATACCATGTTAACCCTCTGAAGTGTAAAAGTTTAGTAGTGTTTAGCATGTTCACATGGTTGTGCAATCTCCAGAACATTTCCATCTTGTAAAACTTGAAACTCAGTATCCATTAAATATCAACCCTTCATTTCCTCTTCCCCCCAGTTCCTGACACCCACCATTCTCCCTTCTCTTTATATGAATGTGACTGCTGTAGATACCTCACATAAGTGGAATCATGTAGTATTTGTCTTTTTGTGGCTGGTTTATTTCACTTAAATAAAGTCTTTAAGGTTTATCCATGTTGTAGTAGACGACAGAATTTCCTTCCTTTTAAGGCTGAATGATATTACATTTATGTATATACCACATTTTATTTACATATTCATCTGCTGATGGACACTTGGATTGCTTCCCCCTCTTGGCTATTATGACTAATGATGCTATAAACATGGATATACAAATCTTTTTGAGATCCTGCTTTCAATTCTTTTGGATGTATATACATAGAAGTAAAATTGCTAGTCACTCAGTAATTAATTTTTTCAGCACTATTGAGGTAAAATTGACAAATATAATTATATACATATTTAAGGAACACCCATACGGTTTTACCTATGTATTTTTTTCTTACATTTAAAAAAATCTTTTACGTTGGAACGACAACTAGAAAACCAAATAAGAAAACTAAGAAAAAGATTATTTTGTTTGGAGGACAATGATATAAAAAGGAACTTTGGTTCCTTTATTTGAATAATTGAATATTACTCGATTCAATAATTGAAAATTATTATTTCCAATATGTGAGGAGTCATGAAAGCTGAAACCCAGTAGAAATTTCTTGGGTCAATGCTGCACTGTAGCTCAAATAGGTAGCTTGTTACAAATATACCTGTTTTTCTAAGATCAGCCCTGGAAATTCTGGTTCAGTAGGTCTAGTTTAGGATTCAGAAATAGATGTTTTTTACAAAGTGCTAGGTAATTTGAGTGCTGCCTCACCACTGACTAGCATTTACATAGCTAACATTGAAAACAAGATTTCTGTATTAATAGATTAAATATTTAATAAAAATCTATTATGTGCTACCAGTAAAATGTATAAAGGTACTGGGTACTTGAAAGTGATTTAAACAAAAATATTTGTCCTCATGAATTTATCAGTCTTAGTGAAGAAGACTTAATGTAACATATAAAGATAGATATGCATATAGAGTTACTAATTCCTGAATGCTAAGAGCTCCTTAGCCCTGGTTTGGGTCTGAGGGTGGTGAAGGGTTCGAGCAGAGTGCAAAGGCACAGTTCTGATGAATTGAGTCTAACTGCAATGAATGCCGTGCTGTGCCATCCTGAGTTCTCCTTCAGAACTGAGGCCCTAAATTTTTTAGGTGCTGGGAGTATTGGTGTTTGAGGGCTCTCCTTGCTGAGTGTCTCTCTGGAATTGCCCTGAGCCCAACTCTGTTCCAGTAGCCAGCCAATAGGAGGTGCTGGTTATAAAGGCCTCTCCACCTTGCCCGAAAGGGGGTTAATTCAGGACAGCTGCAGAACTCCCCTGAGGCCTCTATTGTTATCACACCCAGTGTTCAATCCTCTTTCCTGCACTACTTCACATGGGGATTGATCTTTAGGGCATTCCCTGTTAAATTGAACGCAAATGAATCTGAGTCTGTTTCTAGGCAACCTGACCTAAGACATCATAAAATAACCACAGAGAAGCCTAAATATTCGGAGAATCCGGACTGTGTAAATCTCAAGACCACAGACCATCCACTGTCATCACACACAAGCCCAAGGGAGAGGAGCGCAGCTCTGCTCAGTGGGCTGGTGGGTCAAGTACAGGATGCGAACAGATATCCTTCACCCAGTGTCAGCAAGCTAAGACTATGCATCATCCCTGGGAGGTGGGAAACCTTTAACTGTTTAAATCCCTACATGAACCATTTTTGAAAATCAGAAGTAACTGAATTCCTTTAAATTGATAAGATGCACTTTTCTCCATCAGTACAAACAAACACTTGTGAACTAAGTTGGGTGCAACTGTAAAGAAATAATTACAACTTTGTACATCTACATCTCATAGCTGCTTAAAAATCATCCCTGAAGCTGGACAGAACAGTGTATGGAGACTTACACTGTGAACTTTTGCTCCAAGAAATACCAGAGGGACATACTAGGAAAACCAAAAGAATTCAGACCCTTTGAAAGAAGTGGTTTGCCACTGCAAATTCTGAGAGATAGCCAAAAAACTGGGAGTGTCCAAGGTGTGAGAGGGGGAAAGTCTGCCAGTGAACACACATCCTTACTAGGAAGCCTGAAAATCCAGATCATGGGAGAAGGATTTAACCTTACCTAGAGCTGAAATAAATTTAGAGAGCTGAGTAAAATATAAAAGTAGAAGCAGCAGCAGGGAAGAGCCCTGTAGGCACTCCTGGTCCTCAGGGAAGCTCAGGGACCCATTCCAGACCGTATCTCACAGGGGCCCTTGGGGAGCGTTGCCAGTGGAACTGGGGAAAGACTACAGGAAGAAGGAAACTTTCAGCTGAACTTTGTAGTAATTTCAACTGAGTGAAAATTTTTCAGGGCAGAATCTGGGGGTGGAGGGCAAATGGGAAGTGCAGATATGAGCACAGAAGCCATAGTAGGGAGAGGTGAAGCTGAAAGCCCTGCTTGATTTCTCGGCAGAGAGACTGGTAGCTTGCGGCAAAGTCCCAGCCCTGCTCGCTGGCTGCCTGGATATAAACTCAGTGCTGCTGGAGGGGCACAGCAGGAGACTGGCCTTTCTGGCTGTATGGGAGCTGGGTGAGGCCTGGCACTGCCAGCTTTCCCCCACTTCACTGGTGACCTGTAGGATGCAGCAGAGGCAGTCATAATCCCCCTGGGAACATAACTCCATAGGCCTGAGAACCACACCCCAAAAGCCCTGCCCAAGGAGAGTCTGAGTTCAGGCATTCCTAACCCTGCCCTCACCTGATGGTTTTTCAGTACCCACCCTGATAGTAGAAGACAAAAGACATAATCTCTTGGGAGCTCTGTGGCCACACCCACCACCTGAGAAACCTGAGTACTTATCCAGGTGACCTTAGGGCAAGCTTGTATCCCTTCTATACTACCACAGCTGATGCTGTCTTGAAAGCATCACCTCTTGGCTGGAGGCCAACCAACTCAAGCCATTACAGCAACTCATAAAAGAACAACCCTGCCCCACAAAGGAGAAAAACAACAGCTAACTTTACCACCTGTAACATCTTGTCTAACCAGAGATCCTCAGTATGTCTACATGACAACTTTACTGCCAGCACAACCAGCATACGAGAAAACAAGTGCACTAAACAAAACGAAAGTCAAGGTCCCACACAGAGTCCACCTCACTCCACTCCTACCTCCAACAGAGCAGGTGCTGGTATCCACAGCTGAGAGACCCGAGGATGATAACCTCATGGGGCTCTTTGTAGACACTCCCTAGTAGCAGCCTAGAGCCAGGCAGCTCCGCTGGTTGGCTAGACCCAGAAGAGAAATATCAATTGCTGCAATCTGGCTCTCAGGAAGCCCCATCCCTAGGGGAAGCACCACATCAAGGGAGTACCCTGTGGGACAAAAGAATCTGAAGAGCAGTTTTTGAGTCCCAGATCTTTCCTCTGACATAGTCTACTCAAATGAGAAGGAATCAGAAAAACAATTCTGATAATATGACAAAAAGGGCTCTTTAACACCCCCAAAAGATCACCCTAGCTCACCAGGAATGGATCCAAACCAAGAATAAATATCTGAATTGCCAGAAAAAGAATTCAGAAGTTCGATTATTAAGCTACTCAGAGAGGAACCAGAGAAAGGTAAATATCAACATAAAGAAATTTTAAAATGCTACAGGTAAATAAAAAACAATCACAACTTCTGGAAATAAAGGACATACTTAGAGAAATGCAAAATGCACTGGAAGGTCTCAGCAATAGAATCAAACAAGTAGAAGAAAGAACTTCAGAGCTTGAAGACAAGGCTTTTCAATTAATTTCATCTGACAAAGACAAAGAAAGAAGAATTAAAAAAAATATGAACAAAGCTACCAAGAAGGCTGGGATTTTGTTAACCAAACCTAAGAACAATTGCTATGCCCGAGAAAGAAGATGCATCTAAAAGTTTGGAAACCAAATTTGAGGGACTAATTCCCTCAATAAATTTCCCTTGCCTTGCTGGAGATTTAGGCATCCAAATACAAGAAGCTCAAAAAACACCCAGGAAATTCATTGCAAAAAGATAACCAACTAGACAAATAGCCATCAAGTTAACTAAAATGAAGATGAAAGAAAGAATGAAAGAATCTTAACAGCTGTGAGGCAAAAGCATCAGGTAACCTATAAAGGAAAACCTATCAGATTAACGGCAGATTTCTCAGCAGAAACCCTGCAAGCTAGAAGAGATGGGGGTACTATGTTTAGCCTCCTTAAACAAAACAATTGTTGGCCAAGAGTTTGGTATCCAGCTAAACAAAGTCTTATAAATGAAGGAAAGATACAGTCTTTTTCAGACAAACAAATGATGAGAGAACTTGCCACTACCAAGCCAGCACTACAAGAACTGTTAAAAAGGAGCTCTACATCTTGAAACAAAACCTCAAAATACACCAAAATAGAACCTTCTTAGAGCATAAACCTCACAGGACATATAAAATAATAACACAATGGAAAAAAAAAGAGTATTCAAGCAACAACTAGCATGATGAATAGAATAGTACCTCACATCTCAATACTACAGCTGAATGTAAATGGCCTAAATGCTCCACTTAAAAGATACAGAATGGCAGAATGGATAAGAATTCACCAAACAAGTATCTATTGTCTTCAAGAAACTCATCTAACACATAAAGACTCATATAAACTTAAGGTAAGGGGGTGGAAAAAGATATTCCATGCAGATGGACAGCAAAAGTGAGCAGGAGTAGCTATTTCTATCTCAGACAAAATAGACTTTAAAGCACCAACAGTAAAAAAAAGATAAAGGATGACGTTATATAATGATAAAAGATCTAGTCCAACAAGAAAATATCACAATTCTAACTATATATCTACCTAACACTGGAGCTCCCAAATTTATACAACAATTACTACTAGACATAAGAAATGAGATACATGGCAACACAATAGTAGTGGGGGACTACAATACTCCACTGACAGCACTAGAAGGGTCACCAACACAGAAAGTCTGCAAAGAACAATGGACTTAAACTGTACCCTAGAACAAATGGACTTCACAGATATTTCCAGAACATTCTACCCAGCAACTGCAGAATATATACTCATTTATCAGCTCATGGAACATTCTCCAAGATAGACTATATGATAGACTACAACACAAGTTTCAATAAATTTAAGAGAGCCAAAATTATATCAAGTACTCTCTCAGACCACAGTGGAATAAAATTGGAAAACAACTCCAAAAGGAATCCTCAAAACCATGCAAGTCCATGAAAATTAAATAATCTGCTCCAGAATGTTTGTTGGGTCAACAATGAAATAAAGATGGAAATAAAAAAATTCCTTGAACTTAATGATAATAGTGATACAACCTATCAAAACCTCTGGGATACAGCAAAAGTCATGCTATGAGGAAGTTCACAGGATGAAATTCCTACATCAAAAAGTCTGAAAGAGCACAAATAGACAATCTAAGGTCACACATCAAGGAACTGGAGAAACAAGAACAAACTAAACCCAAACCCAGCAGAAGAAAAGAAATAGCAAAGATCAGAGCAGAACTAAATGAAATTGAAACAAAAGAAATACAAAAGATAAATTAAAAAGCTGGTTCTTTGAAAAGATAAATCAAATTGATAGACCGTTAGTGAGATTAACCAACGAAAGAAAAGAGAAGATCCAAATAAGCGCAACTGGAAATGAAATAGGAGATATTACAGCTGATACCACAGAAACACAAAAGATCATTGAAGGCTACTATGAATATATTTATGTGCACAAACTAGAAAACCTAGAGGAGATGGATAAATTTCTGTAAATATCCAACTCTCCTAGATTAAATCAGGAAGAAATAGAAACTCTGAAGAGACCAATAATGCAGTGAGATTGAAATGGCAATTAAAAAAGTTATCAACAAAAAAAGTTCAGGACCAGCTGGATTCACAGCTGAATTATATTAGACATTCAAAGAAGAATTGGTAGCAATTCTACTGACACTATTCCAAAAGATAAGAGAAAGAGGGAATCCTCCCTAAATCATTCTATGAAGCAAGTATCACCCTAATACAAAAACCAGGAAAAGACATAACAAAAAAAGAAAACTACAGACCAATATCCCTGAAGAACATAGATGCAAAAATCCTCAATAAAATAACTAGCTAAGCAAATCTAACAGCATATCAAAAAGATAATTCACCGTGATCAAGTGGGTTTCATCCTAGGGATGCAGAGATAGTTTAACATATGCAAGGCAATAAATAATAATATACCACATAAACAGAATTAAAAACAAAAAATCACATGATCATCTCAATAGACCCAGAATAAATATTTGACAAAATCCAGTATCCCTTTATCATTAAAATGCTCAACAAAATTGGCATAGAAAGGACATACTTAAGGTAATAAAAGCCATCTATGACAAACCCACAGCCAGCATTATACAGAATGGGGAAAAGCTGAATGCATTCTCCATGAGAACTGGAACAAGACAAGGATGCACACTTTCACTACTTCTATTCAACATAGTACTGGAAGCCCTAGGAACAGCAGTCAGACAAGAGAAAGAAATAATGACATCCAAATCAGCAAAGAAGAAATCAAACTGTCACTGATCATGGAGTAGAAGATCGTATACCTAGAAAACTCTAAAGACTCATCCACAAAGCTCCTAGTACTGATAAATGCATTCAGTAAAGTTTCAGGATACAAAATTCATATACACAAATCAGTAGTACTGTTATATACCAACAGTAACCACACTGATAATCAATTCAAGAACTCAACCCCTTTTTATACTAGTTGCAAAAGTAAAATAAAATACTTAAGAATACCTAACCAATGAAGTGAAAGACCTCTACAAGGAAAACTACAAAACACTGCTGAAAGAAATCATAGACAACACAAACAAATGGAAACACATCCCATGCTCATGGATGGGAAGAATCAATATTGTGAAAAGGACCATACTGCCAAACGGGATCTACAAATTCAATGCAATTCCCATCAAAATACTGTCATCATTCTTCACATAACTAGAAAAATCAATTCTCAAATTCATATAAAACCAAAAAAGAGCCCACATAGCCAAAGCAAGACTAAGGAAACAGAACAAATCTGGAGGCATCACATTACCTTACCCCAAACTATACTACAAGGCTATAGTCACCAAAACAGCATGGTACTGGCATCAAAATGGGCACATAGATGAATGGAACAGAATAGAGCCCAGAAATAATGCCAAATGCTTACAGCCAATTGATTTGTGACAAAGCAAATAAAAACATTAAGTGCAGAAAGGACACCCTACTCAACAAATGGTGCTGGGATGATTGGCTAGCCACATGTAGAAGAAAGAAACTGGATCCTCATCTCTCACCTTATACACAAATCAATTCAAGATGGATCAAAGACTTAAATCTAAGACCTAAAACCATAAAGATTCTAGAACATTGGAAAATGCTTTGAGACATTGGCTTAGGCAAAGACTTCATGGCCAAGAACCCACAAGCAAATGCAACAAAAACAAAGATAAACAGATGAGACTTAAAACTCAAAAGCTTCTGCACAGCAAAAGAAATAATCATCAGAGTAAACAGACAACCCACAGAGTGGGAGAAAGTCTTCTAAAACTATGCATTCAGCAAAGTACTAATAGCCAGAATCTACAGTGAACTCAAACAAATCAGCAAGAAAAAAACCCAAAGAATCCCATCAAAAAGTGGGCTAAAGACATGAATAGACAATTCTCAAAAGAAGATATACAAATGGCCAACACACATATTAAAAAATGCTCAATATCACTAATTATGAGGGAAATGCAAATCAAAACCACAATGGAATACCACGTTACTCCTGCAAGAATGACCATAATAAAAAAATAATAGATGTTCTCATGGATGTGGTGGTAGGAATGTAAACTAGTAGGTACTGCTGGTAGGAATGTAAACTAGTACAACCACTACAGAAAGCAGTGTGGAGAACCAATAGTAGATCTGCCACTTGATCTAGCAATTCTACTAGTATGGATCTAGTATGGAAAACTAATAGAAAATCTACTGTTGATCCAGCAATCCCACTACTGGGTATGTACTCAGAGGAAAAAAAGTCATTATACAAAAAAGACACACACACATGTTTATAGCAGCACAATTCACAATTGCAAAATATGGAGCCAGCCCAAATGCCCATCAATCAATGAGTTGATTAAAAAAAAATGTGGTATATATACACCATGGAATACTACTCAGACATAAAAAGGAAATGAAATAATGGCATTCACAGCAAACTGGATGGAATTGGAAACCATTATTCTAAGTGAAGTAACTCAGGAATGGAAAACCAAATGTCGTATGTTCTCACTTATAAGTGGTGGCTAAGCTATGAGGATGCAAAGGCATTAAAATTGTACAGTGAAATTTGGGGACTCAGGGAGAAGGGGGGCAAAAGATAATTGCTGGGTACAGTGGGTACAGTGTACACTGCTCAGTTGATGGGTGCACCAAAATCTCAGAAATCACCACTAAAGAAGTTATCCACACAACCAAACACCTGTTTCCCAAAAAACCTACTGAAATAATGAAAAAAGTCATCCCTGGCCACTCATACAATATTTCACAGAAAACCATGCTGTATGTCATCATCGAACTTCTTGAAAAATGGTTTTTCTATGCCTGCTGCTTAAATTTTTTAAAAACATTTCTTCACCAGTAGAAATCATGCTTGTAGCTAGGAGTAATTTTAAAATATATAGGTCATACTAATGTGTATTGGTTACATATCAGTCCTGATTATTCTTCAGTCTGCTGAAAATATAGTCTCTGAGACCACCAATGATCAATTGATTATTTATTTAACACAAACGCTTTTTTATCATTTCTCTATAATCTTTAGTATGATGCACCCTCTATACTTTCCTGTTTAACGTATATCTATTTAAAGGAAAGTCTTTATCCCCATGCTAAAACGTTTTCCATGTACCGCTGTTCCTACAAAACAACTCTCACATCAGTTCACTTTTTCCTTTTCTATCATAATTCTACATCAAACTTTCATTACTTCTTCCAGGAGTATCTCAGTAATGGTATCTCAGTAATTGCTTCCTTATTTATAGTTTTGCTTTTCAACTCTTCAAATAAGGCTATTGTATGTTCACTCATTTAAAAAATATTTATTGAGGGCCTATTATGTACCAAGCAATTTGCTGGTGCTGGAGAAATAATACTGAACAAGACAGACAATGATACTGCTTCCATGGAACTTAAATTTTGGTCAGAAGGCTTATAGGTCACCAAAACACTAAAAAATAAAATTGCAAGTAGGTGATGGAAAGTGACTTAGTGACTCCTTGTGGTGAATAGAGTTGATCTCTTTTGGGATGTGATAGATAAGCTGAGATCTAAATGAATAGAATCGAGCCATGTTTTGCAGAGAAGAGCATTTCTGGAAGAGGAGACAGCTCTATGCAAAGGCCCTAGAGAATGAATGAACTTGGCATGTAGGAGGAGGAACCAGAAGGCTTATGTGGGGACTCAGAAAACAATACCTCAAAATGAAGGCCTCATAAACAGCCTCAGAGGTTTTTTCCCGACCTTCTTCTGCCCTTCTGCCTCCCAGTCTCATTCTTCCCAAAGGCTAGCCATAGAAATTAGAATCCCTTTCCCCAATGCTGGTCACAGAAACCAGAACCTATTTCCCCAAAGCCAACCACAATACCTAAAAATATTACTCTAATTTTCCCCAGATCCTTTGTAAAATTTGGCTATAAAGAAATTATCTGACTTATCTTGTTTGACTGTAGGTCATAAGATCCTCATTTCCAAGAGGGTCCTTTCCCACACCCAGAAGGAAGAAATGCATGCCCAGAGAGGTCAAGTAAAATCTAGACAGATAGGCCTTGCTGTTTTTTCCCCCTTAGTTTGTTAGCATTAGATCGTACCCTTTTTGTTCAATCATATTTCTGCATAGCGATTTGTACTTTGTTGAGCCTAAGCATAAACATAAACCATTTCTCCTATATGTTTGGGTCTTCATTCTGAAGGCTCCTGTGTATACACATTAAATAAATTTGTATTTTTTTCTCCAATTAACCCGCCTTTTGTGAGTTAATTTTTCAGCGAAACTTCAGGAAGCCAAGGGCCTTGGCCTGTGTACTCATGAGTAGTGGTGAGTGGCTCAGAGGCCAGGATGACAGCTTGGGTTTTTAATGCAGTGGGAAGTTATTGAATTACTGTAAGCAGGGAAATGCATAGTAAGATTTTTTTTAAAGCATGATTCTGGTTGCTGTATGGAGAACTGACTGGAGAAAGGCAAGGGGAAGCAGAGATTGACCAGAAATCTGCTGAGTCATTCAGAATAGAGACATGGGTTGGCGTGGTAAGAGTGGTAGAGAGGAGACACAGTGGTGGGGATAATGGAGAGACCATTTAGAGATATTTAGGAGATGCTGATAAGGTCATTTTAGAGCACAGCTCTAAACTTGTCACTTCTGTTATAGGACCAACAGGTTCCTATGTGGTAGTGCAGTAACATACCAATATACTGAGACAGCAGAGTTTTCAGCAGAGAAAGAGTTTAATGATCGTAGGACAGCTGAGGGTGTTGATAAGAGGACACCCTCAACTCCATCTCTCCAATGAGTTTGAGTCGGTTTTTATGAGGATCATGGAGGGTGAGTGGCTGGAAAGTTGAGGTCATTGCTTGGTTGAGGTGAGGAGGATGGAATCATCAGGATGTGGAAACTGCATTCTTTGTTGAGACAGCTCTTCATGGAGACATTCATATCAGCTGACATCAGTAGTTTCACTGGTATGCAGGTGCTGAATGAATATCTCAGAGGGAAAACTTAATGTCTCGTAATGTTCAGGTTGTTATCCATATAGCAGTTAAGGGGAACTATAATCTAGGGTCCACATGACTCTGGGACAATAGGCTCCAAATGACTGTGAGGAAGCATGCCGGAGAGTATGCTGACCTAATGATAATGCTGAATGTGCTGCGAGCTTGGTGTATTTTTGTTTCTTTCCCTCTCTTCTTTCCGGATTTATTGCTTAAAGTTTATAGGGATGGTTTTACTCCCAACTAAACTTTCATTGTGTTTCTAAGGCCCTCAAATGTCTGAGTCAGACATTTGTTTAATCCTTAATGTGAGCACTTACCCTGTCTGCCTTGCTGGGGAGGAAGTGTGCACTTACCTGGTCCTCTATTAGCTTGTTATTTTCAGAGTCCAAGCTCTGAAAGTCCAGACCCACAGCTTTTTCCTTGTAGTTAAAATTATACTGAAATATAGTCAGTGTGTATAGGGACTCTAATTCTGGATTAGAGGAAAACAGTAAAAGAAATATAAAGCTCACTGGGCCACAAAGTATTTTAAAGATTCCATGGCCTGCTCATTACCAGAGGAAAATATCCTTTCCTCTGCTCATTACCAGAGGAAAATATATTTAAGCCTTGAAGAATGTTAAATAGGAAATAGTTATAAAATCAAGAAAGGCCATTGTTTTGATAGGCCAGCACATACCCAACATTCACGCATCAATACTGAAATCTCTGGAAATATTTCTGAGCAATGTGTGCACTTATGTACTACTTTTTCCAAAGTCCCTCTCTGTGAAGTGGCATTGGTTAAAACATCCCTGGTCTATGGAGAAATGACTTTTTGATAGACTGATTCTAGCTCCAAAGGACTGTGTTTGAGTCATTCCTCCTTGTAAAGCAAATAAATGAATCTATGCAAGAGTTTCCTTGAAGTGTTGGAACCCAAATCTCACCATCACTATGGATAATCACATATACATTGTTGTGAATTAACAACTGAAATATGCAGTTGCCACTCCGAAATTGTCTGTTCTGAAAAGTACAAATTGTCTGTTTTAACAGAATTTTCATGTTAATATAATTATTTGAAAAATTACTCATAAATTTGAGATATGGGAAAAAAGTAATTGAATTTACCTGAAATGCATAACTTGAAAATGACATTATAATCACTTAGAAAAAAATTTCCTTTCTTATCATTCCCAGAACCTAATTCTCAGCACAGTCCTGAGACAGTAATTTATGCCAGTTCTCATTTAGCAAGACCTTTCAGTTTAAAAAAAGTGAAAATAAAGAAACATAAATTAAATCATTAAACTTACACAAATGTGTTTCCAAAATGTCTGTATTTTCTGAAGAATATACACATTTACAAGGCACGTAAGATGGGATAAAATCTCATTTTAATAGATGTTATTTGACTTGTGTATGTGAAGCTTTGAGTTATGTGCTGTATGGTGAAGACTGTACAGGCAAAGACAAATGGAAAATAAGAGGCCTCGTCCTCCCTGTTGAAAATAAGGGGAGAGACTCCATCCCCCCATTACTTCTTTTTTTTTTTTTTTTTAGAGCATTTACTTTTAAAAAAGAACAAACTTGTGAATCAATTTTCAGTCTCTTTGAAGTGAAATAAGCCTCTTAGCTTTATGACCCAGGAATATCTTTCTCAAGGATCTGGGAACCATTTCTGAAATGTAATCATCAAGGAAGAAGCACCCCTATCTATTGGTTTCCCTGGGAGGGAAGAAACCTAATCTTGATGGGCACCTTGCTCCAAAACTACCTTCCATAGACTAAGTTATTGAGACTGATGACTTCGCAGGTAGGAAGTGTGGGCTGCTATTGCAAGGCAATGTGCTATTAAGAGTCAATTGTGCAGAATTCAGAATTAGTTGAACAATAAACTGATGAATAGGACATGTAAGAACAATACAAATTAATCTACCTGAAAATTAATGTACATTTTACCTATCTCCTGGAATAGGACCAATATCAACAAGGTGTGAGTTTTTTTTTTTTTTTTTTTTGAGACAGAGTCTCGCTCTGTTGCCCAGGCTGGAGTGTAGTGTACCATCTTGGCTCACTGCAACCTCCACCTCCTAGAGTCCTAGAGTTCAAGAGCTTCTCCTGCCTCAGCCTCCCAAGTAGCTGGGATTACAGGCACGCACCACCATGCCAAGCTAATTTTTGTATTTTTAGTACAGACGGGATTTCACCATGTTGGGCAGGCTGGTCTTGAACTCCTGACCTCACGTGATCCATCTGCCTCGGCCTCCCAATGGGCTAGGATTACAGGCGTGATCTGTGCTTGGACTCTGTCCTTACACCTGTTTCCCTTTTAATGATCAAATTTTCCTTGGGCATTACTTGCCCATTCTGATGTAAACTTTATTGCCTCTCGCACTTAATTTAATCTGCCCTCTGTGCTGATGTTTTCTGTTTAGAATATTACTTTTTTTTTTGGTTAAATGTATCCATATAGTGTACCTGTCTGTACATTGTTGAATTCACTTCTGTAACATTTTTGTAAATTCCATAGTAGTGTACATTTTTTAAGTATCTGTATTAATTTTACATGCTAAATTGTTAGATGAAGTGCCAACTAGAACCACAAGTCTTTTCACAAAAAACTAATACATATATATATATATATATATATACTACTCTATGTACATGTTCAAACTAGATATATATAGTTTAAGCACTCATGATCCTGTATTGAAAAATTGTTTAAGTAAAGACATTTTATGGTAAAACAATTGCATAAGAAATATAACATAGGAACCAAAGTCAGGATGAGCCAAATTCAGGTAAATAATTTCAAGTATTATGATGATGAGCTAAGTGCATTAGCTTGCTATAATTAGATTATCTAAATTAAGCAATATGTAGGCCATGTCCTGTTAAATATTTAATAAGGTATTTTGCTTCCATAGATGTTTTTCTTTAAAGCTAATGGCCAATTAAGTTTTCCTGTGGTTAATCTAGTAATAAGAACTTTAATAAATAGCAATTCTTGGGACAATCTTAGGATTTGACCAACCCTTCCCACACAAGTACTTTAATGCCACATCACGACAATGTGACTCAGGAGTCTTTTTGCTTCTTTAACTTTTAATTACACAAACTCTCATGTTTTACATTCTTTTGAGAATCTTGGTTCCATTTATGTAGGTGGCAATTTTGAGCATTTAAACGTTATCCGAGATTTCTGTAATATTTAGTTTGCTATTACTTCATGAATATTTACAAGCTTTCTCCATTAAATCCTTTCCTCTTGAAAGATTAATCTTGGGCCTGGACTGAAAGTGTAAGAAGGCCATGCTGCTCTTGACCGTGACAGAACTCCTGCTGTGGTTGGGAGCAAGTGACTTAACCTCTGCCTGAGTTTCAGTCTGTAACATTTGATGCTAACGTTTAATCTACCCCACATGATGTTGTGTTCTTCTAGAATACAGTGTAAGTGCTCAATACTTCTTTATGTCTTTACTAAAGGTAGTTTTTGCCTTATTAAACTAACTTGATTTTTGGAAAGTCATGGTGCTTAAAAATCTAAGGACTTTTCATTCTTTAATATACACAGTTTAGGACACATTAATGATGCTTTGGGGTAGAGAGTTTGTTTTGCTCTGAAGCTCAGTTTCTTAGAGGCATACTTCCAATCTGTTTCATCATCCCTTGAATGAAGGATCAAATAGATGAGCCAAAGTGCTCACATCTATGAGTTGAATGTTGTGATTTGAAAAATGACTAATTTTAATCAATGTTCACCATAGTTATAACTTGAAGTTGACTAAACTGTAATTCAAATAGTAAAGAGATAGTTCATGAGAACTGTCAGAGCACTGGAATAAATGACCTGTAGCTCCTGAATTTGTAAGGCAACATAAAATATTATGGAGTTTTTAAAAGGCACATCAGAATGAAATGAGTTTAGTAACAGTCTAGCTGGAGTTGTGAAGAATTTTGGATTATTCTGAGCTTCACAAAGAAGCCCATGATACATGGGATTTATATAAAGTTATAATTTGTGATACAAATAGTTTTACCAAGTCGATAGTGTAAATAGCTGGAAGGAGTATGTATGCGATTTGTTGACAAGGTGTTCAGTACATTATATTTGTGGTCGCTAACAAACACATAGTACATATCTATTACTCCCATAAAGTGTATTTTAATGAGTAAAATTCTTTGCAGTAGGAAATGTATGCTTGCTAATCATTTGGAAACTAAGGCCATTTATATTATCTACTGTGTATTAAAATGCTAATTCTTTAGTGACTGCAATTTTTATCGAAACTACAATTGTACCTGTGTTCAGATGCACCATTATAATGAAATAATATGGTAAAATAGTCTCACCAACTATAGTCAACTATAGGAGGCTTATACATATTTTGGGAAGATAGTTTAATTTTTTTAAATAAGGCAACTCTATCTTATTAGTAACACCTGGATCATATTTATGTGGACTACAGCTACAAGGTCTATATGCTGAGATGGCATCCAAGTATATTGTGGTCTCTCATTTAGAGAATTTCAATAGAAATTCACGGACAATTGATGAAATAGGGATCTAGATATGTCTCCTGTAAGTACATACTTAGCAACTTCAGTGTTTTGTGAAAGAGAGTATTTCTCTCTCATTCTGACTGATGATGAATTTTTCTTTCTCTGAACTGCTTTAAGACTGATTTTTTTAGTGTTTCTTTGTGTATTTCAAAGATTTTATTTACTTTACTAAGCTTTAAGATTTGGGGGTCCATTTTACATATCCACAATAAGTCTAGCAAAAAATCTTGGCATGTATGAGTTATGAGAAATATCCTTTATGTTTGAAATTTTTGATTAATAAAGCTGCATTTGATAACTAAATAAGGTTTTTAAAAATGTTGCCTTTTTATTTTGAGGTAATTGTAGATTCACTTGCAGTTGTAAGAAATAATACAGAAATTTCACATACCCTTTACCCAGTTTCTCCAAATGGTAACATCTTGCATAAGTGCAGTACAATATCACAGTCAGGAAATCACATTGTTACAATCCATTGACCTAATACAGATTTCACCAGTTATGCATGTACTCATTTGTGGAAGTGTGTGCATGTATATTTAGTTCTACCAATTTTATCACATGTGTAGAGTCATGTGACTACTGTCACAGTCAAGATATAGGACAGTTTCATCACAAGGATCTCTTGTATAGTAGTCTACTGGTTTTGACAATTTACCACTATTTGTGAAACATAGGGAACTTACTTCTATTTAGGTCTCTTTAACCTCCCCATGTTAACACTATAATTAACTATTTCCTCTACATACATTGAGCACCGCATCAGATGACATTTTAATCTTTGCTTCAACCGTCAAATATGATTTAAGACACTCATAAGGATATTCTATTTACTCCTATTTTTGCCTCATGCAGATGTACTTTTTTCCTTTCTGAAGTTCCAAGCCGTCTTAAGTTATCATTTCCTTTCTTTAAAAAAACAAAAAACAAAAAAAAAAACTTCCTTAAGCTGCTCTGTAATGGTAGATTTGCTTGATTTTTTTTTCCTGAACATTATTTTTGCTAGACATGGAACTCACAGTTGGTAGATTTTAAAAAAATTATTTGAAAAATATTGTGCTACTTCCTTCTGGCCTCCATAGTTTCAGGTGAGAGACTTATATTGGTGTTCTCCTTTACAGGATGTGTCATTCCTCACTTCCTGCTTTCAAGACAATTCTTTGTTTTTAGTTTTCAGAGGTTTTGTTTTGCTCTGAGATGGGGGCCCTCTCTGTCACCCAGGCTGGAGTGTAGTGATGCTATTATGGCTCACTACAGCCTCGATCTTCCAGGCTCAAGCCATCCTCCTGTCTCAGCCTTTGGAGTAGCTGGCACTACAGGTGTACATCACCATACCTGGCTAATTTTTCTATTTTTCATAGATACAAGGTCTCATTATGTTGCTCAGGCTGGTCTCGCACTCCTGAGCTCAGGTGATCCTCCTGTCTCAGCTTCCCAAAGTGCTTGGATTATAGGCATGAGCCACCATGCCTGGCTTAGCTTTCAGAAGTTTAACAATGATATGTCTTGACATACATTTCTTTGAATTTATTATATTTGGGATTTACTCAGCTTCCTGTAAGTTTATATATTTTGACCCATTTATAAATTTTTCAGCTATTTTTACTCCAAATTTTTTTTGGTTGTATTCCCTCTGTCCTCTCTTTCTGTAAGAGAGGTAAGAATTATTCTGATGGTAAGAATTATTAGCTCTTTTGGCTACTCTTACGTAGTTCCCTATGCCTACGTTCATTTCTTTTCAGTGTATTTTCTCTGTTTTTCAGATAGAGTGACCTATCCTCAAGTTCACTGATTCTATCCCATTGAGACCATGCAGTGAGTTTTAAAATTTGGTTTTAGTATTTCTACTCGTTGTAAATAGCTTCTATTTCTTTGGTGAGATTTTCTGTATTTTCATTTGTTGCATGAGAACTCTTTACTGTTAGGTGAAGCATTTGTACAATGCTTTGAATCTTTTTCAGCTAATTCCACCTTCTGATTATTAGCTTCTGTTGATTCTCTTTTCTCATTCAAGTTACTTTCCTGCTTTATGGTATGATGAGTAACTTTTTATTCTGTCCTGGATATTTTGGATATTATATTATGAAACTCTGGATCTTATTTGTTTTAGTTAATTCAGGGTGCTATAACAAAATGCCATAGACTGTGTAGCTTAAGTAACAAACATTTATTTCCGACAGCTCTGGAGGCTGGGAAATCTAAGACGAAGGTGCTGGCAGATTCAGTCTTGTGAGGGCCTTCCTCCTGCTTTGCAGATGGCTGACTTTTTGCTGTATCTTGACATGGTGGAGAGAGATCATCTCTCTTGAGTCTCCTCTTATAAGGTGCTAATCCTGTCATAGGAGCTCCATCTGTATGACTGAATTACCTCCCCAAAGCACCACCTCCAGTTGCCATCATCACCATAGGGATTGAAGCTTCAACATATGAATTTTGGAGACATGCAAACTTGCAGTCCATAGGAACGTTTAATCTTTTATTTTTATTATGTATTGTATTATTTATTTTATTCTTAGCCATCTCCTGGTTGAGATATAGTGGAGGACTAGATAGGTGGGCGGGTTTGGTGGAAGAAGGAGTGCAATACTGACTAGCCCCACCTTGCATGGCTTCATCAAGTCTTATTTATGCCAGACTAAGTAAGGTTTTTACATTTAGAAATTGTCTTGCAAATGTGCATTATGTTACTTCAATGTCATTTTAGAAGGCAGCCATAACTATAACAAAACTTTGGAGCAAAATAGATATCACACAGTGATTTACTTATGAATAATTTTTTTTCATAAAGAGCTGCCCATTCTGTGTTAAAAATTTTGAGGCATATAGCCTTGAAAACCTGTTCATCATACATCGAGTTGATCATAGAACTAAGCTCTAAAAATGCAGCTCAGTCGATATAGTTCCATTAAGCTACAACCTTATATAATGTAATTATGTGATTCTCATCTGCACTTATTTTATAGCTTTTCAGTTAACCTGAATTTATAAGTAGTTGCTTAGGAGATTTAAAACTCGTATTTACTCTGAGACTCAAAATAAAAATTAGATGTATCACCCAATGCCTTCCCTCCCAAATGGATATATTTCTCTTTGTAACCCACAAAATTAATAACATACATATAAAAATTACTGAAAATGAATGTTTGCATAATATTAGAGTATAAATGTGTAAAAAATTTATACTATAGAGTACACATTTATTTTAGTATAAAATTTTTTTAAATGACCACCTTTGTAAATATATTTGGAGGCCAACACAACATTAAAACAAGCAGTTTACTCTAACTAATATAGATATTACTAAAACCAGAATGAAATGTGACATTCAGCTGGGTGCGGTGGCTCATGCCTATAATCCCAGCACTTTGGGAGGTTGAGGCAGATGGATCACGAGGTCAAGAGATAGAGACCATCCTGGCAACAAGGTGAAACCCTGTCTCTACTAAAAGTACAAAAATTAGCCGGGTGTGGTGGTGCGTGCCTGTAGTCCCAGCTACTCAGGAGGCTGAGGCAGGAGAGTCGCTGGAACCTGGGAGGCGGAGGTTACAGTGAGCTGAGATTGCGTCACTGCACTCCAGCCTGGCGACAGAGCAAGACTCCATCTCAAAAAAACAAAAAAAAAAGAAATGTGACATTCCCCAAAGTCTGTTACTCTTGATAAAAGCAGATCTTTATAGAAGTGAATATATTTTGGCTGTTGGGGATGGAGATGTTTATAAATTCTCCTGGCATTTTCTTACCAAAATTTACCACTAGAACCTATGTCTTCTTATGAGTTTGTCTTCATAAAACAGGAAAGTGACAACTTAGAACATGGTAATCACCCTTTCCTTTCGTATTTTTCTGCACTACCAGAGAATATCTAAAAATAATGACCACAGTGATTCTTCAGCTTCAGAGAAAAATGAGGATTATAAGAAAGTAACTTCTGATATGCCCAGGGATTTTTTGAATAATTGTTACATAACTATTTCATAGACACTAAGCCCAATACTACATCTGCTCTGTATGACAGAAAGATGCTGAACAGGGACCTAATAATAAGACTGACACTTCTGATGCTTCAAGTCACACACTGTGGATGAATCATGAAAGCTGGTGTTAGGTATGACTGATTAAATGATGTATTAGAGGGTTTTTCAAGCTTTGTTGTTTTTCACATTCAATCAGTTCCCACAGGGGTGGATCCAGTAGCTGTATTTTTAGAAAAATCATCAGGTAATTTTGATGTGCAAAGAATTTGCCTCATTTTATAAGAACATAATAAGCATATGCTTATCATTATAAATCAGGGAGGGAAATCATTATGCAGTTTCAGGAGTTCTGGCAGAAACTTATAATCGAACCATTACTATTCATTAATTTACTCTTCATTGAATTCAATAATTGTGCTTAAATACTTATTCATTGACTGCTGCATTTCAGACTTCAGATTCTGTAAGTTTCTACTATAAATCCCTCTTACAATGACCAACCTATAAATGAATCAGCAGCTTCAATAAACTGATTAGAAATTAAAAGATACAGTATCCTGCAGGAGAGAATTTTAGACTGATTGAAAGGCACTTTATTTTTTAGCTTAGCTATTATCTTTTAGGAAGTCACTGTGATTTTACATTTTATTTTCAAACTACAGTTTCAAATTGAAAACTAACTGAACATGCTTTGAGAATTATTTTTCATGTTTAAATAATCACATAATGATAACACTGAAAGGAATCATGTAATATAAGTTTAATCTTTTGCACATGAGGGAACTGAGGTGCAAATAAGTTATTTTCCCAAAATCTTAGCACTAGCAGTGGCTGAGATAGAATTTAGATCTAAATCTCTACTAAGAGTTCACCAGTATCGCTACTACATTGTTACCATTTTAAATTAAATATTTAAAATATTTCTGTATCACTAAGTACAACTAATTAATTATTTTTTGAGATAAGGTCTTACTCTGTTGCCCAGGCTGGAGTGGAGTGGCCTGATCATAACTCACTGCAGCCTCGAACTCCTGGGTTCAAGTGATCCCCCCACCTCAGCTTCCTGAGTAGCTGGAACTACAGGTGTTTGCCTAATTTTTTTATTTTTTATTTTGTAGCTATGATATCTCACTATGTTGCCCAGGTTTGTGTTGAACTCCTGGTCCCAAGCGATTCTCCCACCTCAGCCTCCCAAAGTGCTGGGATTACAGGCGTGAGCCACTGCACCTGGCCACAACTATAATTTATTAATAAAATTTAAAAGAAAAATATAACTTATTTCTAGAAATCCAAGAGACAGAAATTGACTCTTTAGCCAATTCTCATAAATTCATCTATTTTGTAAAATTTGGTACTCTTGTAGTACATTCTATGGACCTTTTGCAAAATTTGTAAGGTCAAAGTACATACTGGAAGTGAGTAGAATAACAGTTGTTTAAGAAGGAATTGGGAGTACAGAATATTTGGATTACAATTGTTTTTTCACATTTCCATCTACACTTTTGTATGAGAGATTAAAAATCAGTCTAAAAAATGCAGCAGTGATGACAGAGATTCAGATCCGTGGAAGTTACACACTGAGTCAAATTTCTATTAGTTGTCATAACATACAAAAACGCACAAACGGTATAGTTTATTACTTTTAGATGTTTTATGCAATTCTTGGCAAGCTTTGAGGTTCTCAGAGTGTTTTGATAAGGGATAGTCACCTCTATGAGGCCAACTAAAAAGGGAGAGGATATTTCACCACCACATTTTGAATTAGAAGTAGAACCATCTTTAATTTTTTTCCCTTAGATTTGAAACTCTAGTCTTGCTACTCAAAATGTGGTTTGCAGATGAGCAACCTTAACATCAATAGAAGCTTATTAGAAATGCAGACTCACAGGTTCCAATTCAGACCCAGAGAATCAGAATCTGCATTTTAATTAGACTCCCATCTACACATTGATGATTGAAAAGCAAAGTACTAAAGGCATTTTCCCACCATCCCTCCTCCACCTTTAGAGGCTGAAGCTCTGTTTCTGTCCAGCAGCAGAACCGTATAGTATATAGAGTGCTGGACCAATCACACAGGACACCATTGTCCTCTGGAGGACAAAAGCGGGAGGAGTCTAAGGTTTCAAGGGCCAAAAGACACAGCAGAGGGGAGAGAGGACAGGAGAGAATTTGGTGGCCACAGATAAGGATACAATTAAATTTACTGGCCTAGAAAGTGTTAACCAGCTAATAGTAAGACTGTGCTGGATACATTAAGCCTCCTCGCTTCAGCAGTCAGGAGTGTAGAGCTGGAGTGACACCTTCTCATCTTTGCCAAGTTCCCTGCAAGCGACTGCCCTGCCTCTTGACCGATGGTACTTGGAACTCTTCTTTGAGTCTCTTTTCTTCTTGCTTTGTCATAGATTTGTCCTATGGTTACCTCACCTTTTGCCTATATTTTAGCCTTTTCTCAACTTGTGAGTCTTACCCTTCAGCATGTGAGCATGCTTAATTTGTTATACTGTAAAAACCTGCCAGGCATCCACTCTGATTGCTCTCTTTCCCTTTAGCTACCTTTCCTAGGATTCCTGAATTCTGTCTTCATATTACAGTCACTCCCTTGCTGTCTAGCTAGCTACCAGGCGCCTCCATGAGGTGTTCAGTGAGGGTGTATGATGGTTAACATTGAGTGTCAACTTGATTGCAAATGATGCAAAGTATTGTTCCTGGGTGTGTCTGTGAGGGTGTTGCCAAAGGAGACTAACATTTGAGTCAGTGGACTGGGAAAGGCAGACCCACCCTCAATACGGGTGGGCACCACCTAATCAGCTGCCAGTGCGGCTAGAATAAAGCAGGCAGAAGAGCATGGATGGACTGGACTTGCTGAGTCTTCTGACCTTCATCTTTCTCCCATGCTGGATGCTTCCTACCCTTGAACATCAGACTCCAAGTTCTTCAGCTTTTGCTCTCTTGGACTTATGCCAGTGGTTTGTCAGGAGCTCTTGGGCTTTTGGCCACAGACTGAAGGCTGCACTGTTGACTTCTCAACTTTTGTGGTTTTGGGACTCGGACTGGCTTCCCTGCTCCCCAGTTTGCAGAAGGCCTATTGTGGGACTTCACCTTGCGACCATGTGAGTCAATACTCAATAAACTCCCCTTCATATATTCATCTATCCTGTTAGTTCTGTCCCTCTGCAGAACCCTGACCAATAGAGGGCATATGGAGAGAATGCTGAGAAAAGACTTGGTTAATTATCTCAGTATCAGGTTCTCAAAAGAAAATGTCATGAGAGTATGAGAAAGAAATTTGGATTTGTATCCTGATGCTGTGAATCAAAAACTTGGGTTTTATATTTAACTTATTTAATCCCCAGTCGTTACTTCTATATAGCAAGGCTGACAATATCTTCATGAAGGAATCGTAATATTACGTATCTTAAAGAGCTCTTATTTCAAGAGCTTTGTACAGTGCCTGACAAAAATAAGGCAGTGAATACATTTTATTTTGGTTGCCCACTTCTTTCATACAAATACAATTATGTTGCTATATACAAAGAATATAGTGCTTGGTTCTGTGGGATAAAAGATAATTGACACATTTTCTTTCTTAAAGAGCTGTACTAGAAGTATGTACAGGTAAAATATATAGGTTAAAAAAACACAGAGAGACCTACATTCTAGCTGGGAAGAATTTTGGAGGGAGAGAGTTTAAGGTGATCCAAATAGCAACCGAATCTTAAAAGGAGAGTGAATATTTGTCAAGAGGATTGAGCTTGGAAGGGGAGGGTATGAGGAAACAAGGCTTTACTCAGAGTCTGAATTTTAATTGAGGACTCATGGACTAAAAAGCTATTAATGCCCTTAATATAGGTTCTAACATTAATCAAATAATTGCATTTCTGGCAATACTTCCATGAAGCTTTCTAAACAGGGGGCATTCTTATCAAAATGCAGCACGGAACTCACTGCCTATTTAGCTAAACTTGCTGATAAGCCTCCTCTGAGAAGAGGTTAGAGACCTATTTCAGAAAGTTTTTTTTAAAGGTCAGTTAAGGTTATGAATAATCTCTAGCTACATATCATATGTATCACATTTTTGTCGGTTAAACCTGGTACCAAGTAAGTGTTGGAAATATTGGTTATCCTGAGTTAGCAGTTCAGGAAACGAATCTGTAACCTTCATGAATTTGGTCATGCAATGTAATTGTCCTTCCTAGTAAAAGTACTTTTTCTGTTTGACATAATCTATTTCTGACATAAAAGTGAATATCTTTTAGTTTTTAGTAATTTTCCTTAGCCGAAGTTCCAAGACAGTGTCTGTTTAAACTTTTAAAATTGCTCTTTCTGTTAGTGGTAGCAACCCATTGAAACTCTCAAAATATTATTTACATTTGAGTTAGTGGGAAACAAAAAATGTCTTGCAAAAATAATCAAGTTTTAATTCAAAACACTGTTGAAAAACACTTGATTTTTCTTTTTGGAAATTTACCAGAATTTAAGCCAAGGAAAGATAATAAAATTATTATTATGTATGGGTATATTTGATATTTAAAAAATAGTGTATTTGATGTTCTCTTAAATGTTACATATATAACATTTTGATGTTTATTAGTTCTTACTAGCAAGTCTAAGATTAAAAGCATAATAGTAAGTTAGATATGTGTCTTTGACTGAATTCTCCCACCAAGCATGGGACTTGGCAGCCTCTTTGTTACTGTTACCACCTCTTTGCGCATGCAGACACACAGTTGTTAAACAAATTTGGTGACTTGAACTATGCTGGATTTCAGACACTGGGATAAACGTACTTCCCCAACCATGACTTTTATTTAATAAATAAGATTAAAACCTAAGCATGTTATATTAAACATTTAGTATGACCCAAGTAGTTTTACATATTTTTTATGTAATTCTTCAGGCAACTCTGGTATTACCATCTCCATTTTAGAATTAGGGAAACTGAATCATAGGCCAGTTAAGTAGTTTTCCCATGACTGCACATTCAGTAAGATGCCAATTAGAAATAAAGACAAAGTTTTTCACCTCAAATGCTAAACTCTGAACTATTATACTGCGAGCATGTGTTAGATCTATTTGGATTTGAAACAAAAATTTCTTCCCACTAATCTTTCAGGTGTATTAAGAAATTAATTAAAAAGTTTCTTCAAATTGCCAACATTTTTTAAAATAAAAAAGTAATATTGAATACTATTGTACATGTCAGGATTCAGACTGCTTACTCTGAGTGACAGTGCAGCCAAACTAAAATATAGAGATAAATTGGATTTTGAAGCTGACAGAAGTGTGAGTTTCTGAGTTATCATTTATGATCTCCATTTTCAATTTTTTTCCTTCAAAAAATCTCATTGGTTTTATTGAACACCTCTATAAGCCAATATTAGAAATGTGCACTTAGATATAATATCTATAAAAGTAAATATCACACTAATGGATTTTATATTTTGGGGATCTACATAAAAGTCATTTGATAAAAGGGTTTGTTAGTTAAGAAAAAATAATACGCAATTTTTTCTTAACCTAACCTAAGCTGTGTAAGGTGATAGCTGTGATGCTGACTTTATGAGTGAATAGACCGCTTCCGTGTTCCCCATTGTTATGACCCTATAGCCTAACATAGTACCTGGCAGGTTAGAACCACTCAATGGATATTTGGAAATAAATGAATGAATGAAATTTCAGCCTTCCATTATAAAATAAAACCTGCTTCCTCACATTTGTGTAAGAATGCTCTAACATTAAAATGCTTAGATATTCATCTTTCAATTTCCATATTTCTTTTGAGGAACACCAATGCCATCATCATATTGCCTCTGTAATCACTTTTGTTATTGGTACAAGTGTTGACATAGAACTTTTTCCTTAACAATCTGAAGATAGTTGAAATAAAAAAGAGATAATTTTTAAAAAGTCCTTAAGGTAGGAAATATCAAAAGCAAAATAAATTCAGTGTTTACAAGATAAACCTTATCTTTCCAGCCTATTTTATCTCCTAGTCTACACATATTCTCTTTGAATGCATTGCTTATGAGTTTTGTCTAGAGAGCAACCATCCTGGTAAACTTCATACTCAAGAGAGTAGGCAGAGGTCTTCCCTTCCAGTCCAGATTTTTCACTCCTAGTCTCACAAACTTTTATTACTCAAATTGTCAATACGAGCCAGAACTTGGATGAGTAATAACACACAGTCCATATTACTCCAAATGATTCTTTTAAAAGAAACCACAACTAGTCATCAAAATGTAATTATTTAAAATTTTCTACATCAGTATTTACCTCACCTTTTGTTTTTGTTTGTTTTTACCCACTAAATAAATAATAAAAAAAAGCAAGGAAAAATGGAAAGGCAGACCATGGATAATTCATAAAATTTATTTACACACCTAAATTGAAGCCAACCAAGCTCTTAATTATTTAATTTGAATTAAATGATGATTATTCTTATTAAGTAATAATAATTTGATTACTGGTGTGGGAACACTAACTCATTCTAGAAATTACGAGACCTAGGTTAGAATTTGTCCATGCTAATGTTACTACTGTTTTCTCACATGTAAAATGCCATAACAGCAGCTTGGTTAATTTCCCAAGGCAGTTTTTTTTTTGTCTTTGTTTTTGACAACATAAGGTCCTGACTACATGGGCCAAGGACTACCTGTGTCTTGTTCACTGATTTATCCCTAGCCCCATCTCCTTGCTTGGCATATGGGAGAGATATGTGCTTCATAAATACTTATAAATGAATAAATGAATGAACGGGCTATCGAAGTCTTCAACGTGACTTTATGCATCTTACTGACCTTGCGGTACAATCTGACTCTTTCAGAAAACATGCACAGGTAGATTTTATAAGTTTCAGCAAAGACATTGAACTCTCAGGCCTGGTACAGATTCTTGGGTCTGCTTCTCTTATCTTTCTCACTATTAAAATGATTAATACTGGCACACCACAGAGTGTTGTTGTTAAAATGAGACAATGTAAATGAATATTTCATTGTATTGTTATTGTTGAAGATATTATTATTTTGTAGTTATTATATAATGTGATCTCAGAAGTGAGATAGAGTAGCATGAGCATCCAAATATTGTGCCATCTCTGTTAATAACTGTGTATTCATTAAGCTTCTCAGGTGTCTAGAAACTAATATGTAATATGAAGAGTTTGAAATAAACAATCTATAAGGTGCTCCAAGATACTTTAGGGCTTTAAAAATGCAGAAAATTTCTTCCAGTAACATATTAGAAATTATTTTATAAACTATTTTTGGGGTATGAATTGAAAGATTAATTCTCCATTCTCATTCATTTTTACCCAGACTCAGAAAAGGAAAAAGCTTATAGCATTTTTTTTCTATTTATTATGCCCCTGCATTGCAACCTTACAACCAACTACATATGTAAACACAAAAGACTTCAGGTCAAATTTCAAATTATTTCATTTTTAGTTCAACTCAAATAGACTCTTTCTGATGCTGCTTCAGTCTCTCTCAGTGGGAAACCATGGAGTTTATATATTATTCATCCATTTAAAAACCCTGAGGCAAGACTCCTGCAGAGAGTATTCAGTAATTGGTCTCTAGATGCTGCTGATGCAAAGTACTCTAAAAGTCCTTAAACATCCCAAGAACACAGTTCCATCTGTCTCTACTAGTTGCCTATGTTGGAAGCCACAGCAGATTTTTTACCCACATTTTAACTCCTCTTTTTCAGTATCTAATTATTTTGTATCCAATATGTAGCATGGTAAAGTACATGCAAATGAATAGAATAACATCTTGCAAAAGTGATAATTACTATATTATTTAATGAAAGTATAGTGTAACCAAATGTTCCATCCAGAAAATCAGTGTGTGTTAGCCGTAAAATGGCAGTGATTTTAATTCTTCTCTGCCAACATATTCCTGGTTGAATAGCAACCACTTAGAGTATGTAGGTGTGCCTTTGCATTGAAAGAGTATTCATTAGGTTTAGTCCCATATTATACATTTAGAAAAATAATGCCAGGAATTCTATGACAATGAATAAGAAAACATACAAATTAACAGATAATGACACTAGTATTAATTTTTTAAATTTTGCCTAGTCATATTTATTGCTCTGTGCGTATAAACACATACATATAATACACATATCATAACTATTCAGGCATATGTACCTCTATCATTTCAATCACCTATGTGTTTATTATATGTAGAATATATATAACATACATATTTACATACACATGCGTAAATCAATTTAGAACTAATTTCAATTTTTCTTTTCTAAAGTTCGAAAGCTTATTTTTTCCTTGAAAACTATTATCTCACTATTTGTTTATGGGTTTGCTAATGTTTTTCTTTTCATATATCTGAGCGTGTGTGTGTGTCTGCGTGCGTGCGCATGTGTATGACTCAATGGTAATTTCAATTGTTTTGGAGAATTATACTATAGAAGTGGGACAATTGAATGATAATTTTCTCTGGATGACTTTCCAGGTATCTGTAATACTGGCATTGAGATTAATTAGAGAAGGACAGAGAGTGTCCCAGAGAGTAAGAGACAAAGAAACTACTTGGTATAATAAGGTATGCTTGAGTATAAATGCGAACTGGCAAAGTTACACATCATTTCACATTTTATTTTCAAATTCTTTGCAGGTATTTGTAATTCTGTTGTCTTGAGTAGACGAATGGAATGGATAGGACATTAGGGATATTCAGAAATGCCAGTGTTGCTAGATCATGTCCTAAGCATATAATCTTGTGAACAGAGTGCTGCCTCTTCCTTTCCATCCACAGAACTAGTACCCACCCCCCACCCCCACCCCAGGACTGCCTTCGCAGTTCTCTGGCATCTCAGCTACGGAGTGCTTACCCACTGTGGTGGGGTTCTGAAATCTGTCTGTAAATTCTTTGACGCTTCTATCAAGTGTTGGAGGTCTATGTCCCTTCTCACTGAATTGAATCTAGGTCATATAATAACTATACAGGTTATCTTCAAGCAATAGAATACAAGAAAGTGATACTATTTAGCTTTAGTGGGTACTAAAATGAAGGCCATGCAGCTTCTTCCTAGTTTCTTGGGTCACCTGCCTTTGGATTCCTGAGCTGCCAGGTAAGCTGTCTTACTGTGCTGGGCTTTCTACAGTATGAAGCGAGGTCATGGGGACAAGCCATGCTTATATGCTCCGGCTAATGGCCAGCAGCTACCCGCAGATGTATGAGTAAAGATCTCTGCAAATGAATTCATCCTCTAGTTATCTATTTACCCCTAGACACCATCTTCCCAGGTGAGGCCCTGGCCATCACGTAGCAGGGGAAGCCATCTTTACTAGGCCCTATCTGCGTTTCTGATTCACAAAATCCATGAGCATAATCAAATAAGTTAGAGGAGGCCTGTTCTGGAGCAGTAGTAATCAGAAACACACTAGTCTTTGTTTAATGAAACTTATCTCTTCTAAGTCTGTAACAAGGCACAATGAGTTCATTTGCTAAGACAAGTCCTGAAATGTTCTAGTGAGGTAGCTACACTGAGAAGGCCCCTAGACACCTCCACGGGTTTAGTCTATGACTCTCCAGTAGTCTTAAGTTCCAAATGTGAATTTTCATGACAACTTGAGAGTACAATAATAGTATGCACCATTATCATTATTCAAAATAATAATTAAAGATAATGATTTTGGAATAAGCGGGAGAAAATGCCTATATATGGCAGCCTTGCTCTATTCTCTGCTGCATTTTAAAAATAATTCTATGGTAGCACCTAATTCTCCAAAACTTAAGGAAGAGGAACTTATGATCATGTAGGGTTGAGACATGAACACCTTCCAGGTAACAGTGACCTTAGAGGTATTTATCATATTTGTTACATAGGTTCTCTGTTTCAATTTACTAATATATTGAATAGTTTATTCTTTATGCATTGAGGAATGAACTGCCACAAAGTAGGTCACTAAATTAAGAAAAACAAAACATGGTCGGGTGTGGTGGCTCACACCTGTAATCCCAGCACTTTGGGAGGCTGAGGCGGGCAGATCACCTGAGGTCAGGAGTTCCAGAACAGCCTGGGCAATGTGGTGAAACTCCGTCTCTACTAAAAATACAAAGAATTAGCTAGATGTGGTGGCCCACACCTGTAGTCCCAGCTACTCGAGAGGCTAAGGCAAGAGAATCGCTTGAACCCGGGTGGTGGAGGTAGGCAGTGAGCCAAGATCACACCACTGTACTCCAGCCTGGGCGACAGAGTGAGACAAGAAAGAAAAAGAAAGAAAAGAAAAGAAAAGAAAAGAAAAGAAGGAAAGAAGGAAAGAAAGAAAGAAAGAAAGAAAGAAAGAAAGAAAGAAAGAAAGAAAGAAAGAAAGACAGAAGGAAAGAAGGAAAGAAAGAAAGAGGAAAGGAAGGAAGGAAGGAAGAAAGAAAGAAAGACAGGAAGGAAGGAAGGAAGGAAGGAGAAAGAAAGAAAGAAAGAAAATGAAGATTTTCACTTTTATCTTCTACTACGTTCTTTTGTATTTATTCTTGTTTTTTTTATTATACTTGAATTACTCTTGAACTTTTATTTGAAAATTTATTACTTAGCCCAGATTGAGCTTCTTAGGTTTGCAGTCAGACCTTGCTGCTCAATTGCATTAAGTTACAAGTATATAGATAGCATTGTACAAATTTTATAATTTATTTAATGAAATAGGTGATTTATACATTTGCCAATCTGAAGAATACTTGTATCTGAACATATTGATTTAGTCAGCTTGAAGCAAGTTTTACTGTATTGAGGTATTTTGTTTATCTTTGAGCATCTTGAATTTACTTCAAGAAAGTGAAATCTACTTTCATAAATGTAAAAACGGTTGTGAGAGGGAATTTTGGGGCATCTGTTTTTATGCATAAGAGCATTTCAGCAGGTTCTCAACAGGAAAGCAGAAGGCTATTAAAGGACAGATTGTGCATGACAGAGGAAATATGCGTAGAATTCTTTAGCTGTTTTAAATGCAAAATCAGTCTAGCAGATTCCAAAAGAAATGCACACTTGTCTACAAGGTCATCATAATGGTGATCTAGGCTGAAACTGGAAGCAATCTAACATTGTCTGTGGAATGACAGTTTCTAATGAGACTGGCATTTATGAACATTTCTAATGCCCCACTTTATCCTTCCACTCAAGACAACAAAATTGGAAGTGGTTTTAAAGAACTTGAAAATAAGATGTGGAGTGATATAAGTATAGTTTTTCCATTTCATATTTATACCCAAACATATTTCAGCCAACAGTTTCCACATAGCTCATCTCTCTAGGAAGCTTAATAAATTATCTGGAGGCTAATAGAGACCCAACAACTTTCTTTGACTTTATATCCCTGTATTCTTAGGGTCGACACTTTCTATCTTCTTCAAATCAATCAGTTTCTCACACACTGATCTGCAGAAATGTGACAAAATGATTCTATATATTAGCTAATTTTTCCCTTGTTGCTGGGAGCCTTCTTTTTATTCCTTATAGACCAAAGTGAAACACACAGAATAAAAAATTAAAATATTTCAGTGTCTACTATTAGACTAAAATCTCCAGCGCACATCATATCTTGATCATTGTACTCTGAGCAGTTTAGATGCTACCTGTCACTTGGTAATTGCTGCAAAATATTTGTTTAAAAATGGAAATAAACTTTAGTCAATGGTGAATATAAGAAGCATTGCTGAGCCATCCATAGATGGTTTACATGCTCTGAGATAGAAATTGTCCCGTTGGTGCAAAACAGACATACTACAGCAGACCTTCAACGCACATCCCTTTACTGTTTACAAACCTTACTTTTACAACATAAAAACATTTAGAACCATTTCTCACATGAAAGTAAATTATAATAGTGTATATTATAGTTTCAAGATGTCAAAGAAATGAAATGCTAGTACTGCAAAACAATGCCCCAGGACATATTCATTTTGCCAGTTCTCTTTTTTATTTGGAACATATCTTACTCCAAATGTCAACTCATTTATAGTATGATGTAAATTATATTTTTGTGGTTAATTTTCACAGACACAGCAGGCACATAATAAATATTTGATTAATTAATTAAAAACTAATTTGTGATAGAGGAATAATTTACAGGGTAGATCTCTGAATAGATCAGTAGCTCCTCCATTTGATCTAAAATATGCGTTACATTGCGACCCAGAACATATACTTAGATGTGTAAAACATATATAAAACATACATAAAACAGACGTTTTATAAAACAATACATTATAGTATTGTATAGTAACATTATGCGAGATGTACTCTGGTATTCTATCTCATTATAGCTTATTATTTCATTTTTAAAACACTTGTCACAAATCACAAAATTGAACTGTTTATCGTCTGTCTCTTTCAGGATCTGCAATTTGAATATTCTATGTGGTACACAAACACCAGTTGTTGAATAGAGTAAGGATGAAATATAGGTTACCTGAAAAAAAATGGGGTAGAAAACTAGAGACAATACGGTAATCTAAAGTTATCCTCATTGTTTTAAGTAGAACAAATTAAGATACTTGTTTCTCCATTTGCATATGTGCCCCACAATGTTTTTATTATTACTGGGACTATCATTTGTTACAATCTACTTATTTTATTAAATAAAAATACTAATGAAATAAAATCAATTCTATATTTCTTTCCCAATTATGCTCTTTATATTAAAAATGCAGATCCTATTTAAAGTAACACGAGTTAATTTAAAAGATAAATTCATTAATAAAACACAGCCTTTAAAACTATGTTTTCATATGACACAAATTTAAAGCATAATTATGCTTTTCCTCCAAAACAAGGTTATATTGAGTCCTATTTCTAATTCTGTCACTATCTAAAAATACCTTAAGAGAAAAATCTTATTCTTCTGTTTTGTGTGTAAATGGAGAATAGTAATTTCTACTATTTTTATAAGGAACTAACATATTTAATCACTAATAAACCTTTAGAGAAGTCTCTACTAGAAACATTTACTTCTGTCTGTGATGCACTTAATAAGGTGCTACTGCTATTGACATTTCAAAAACCCAGTCTGGGAAACATAAAATCAATGCTGAGTCACCTTCTCATCAGTGTCAATTATTCAGCAATCCAGAAAAAAAATCATTAAATAATAATCAACAGCACCACCAATGTTTCCAACCAGCGCTTTCAGTCGGAATCAACAGCACCACCAATGTTTCCAACCAGCACTTTCAGTCAATAGCACATCATTAATCACTCCCTAAATATACTTCCTGTTACACTGATATCTTTACTGTAATTCCAAACAGGTGCTATTATATTAAACATTAAATATTATAAAAGTGGTCTGTTTCTCAGGAAAACAGATCACAACCACAGAATATATTTTCCTAAAATCTAGTCACATTGTTTTTTGTTGTCGTGAATGGACAATATTTGTGGATCTAATACAGACTATTATGAGTATTTCTAATCTGGTGCGAGACTATCTAAAATCTTTTACATAGCAGATCAAAAATCTAGCACAAGTGTTTATTAAGCTAAGTAATATGAAAAGGAATCTGTTTCAAAACAAGGAGTATGTTCTCCTTCTTCTACAGCTGTCCCTGAAATAATTTTCATCTGCCTCTTTCTTCCTTAGAGACCCCCACAAACCCAAAGATTAAACTTTTCCTTCGGTGAAGATCCTACGAAATACACATCTCTGCTGTCTGAGCTCTAAACTCATATTCCTTATTGTCCCTTAAAGATATCCAGTTAGAAATTCTGCTGCCCCTTACATTATTTATATCTTCATTTCTAATTTATTTATTTTCATCCACCTTTCTAGTCTCAAAAGATTCTTTTTTTCCTAACTTCTCAATTTCACTTAATGTCCCCTGATGTCTTCCGACTGGATGTTGTAGGTTGCAGTCATTTCACTTATTTTTGACTCTCCCCCTTGTATCTTAAGTTACCAAATATTTCTTACATCCTTCCTTCTCTTTTCAGTCACTGCCGTCATTTCACTCAAGACTTCAAAAAACATTAATAATTAAACACTCACAGTCTTCTCCCAGTTCGTTCAATTTTCTATTGTTTTTCACTTTTAATAGTTTAGACACTGCTGCAAATGAATTTTTTTCATCTCAGAGTAGAAATCACTGTTGCTGAAAAGATTGTGGATAATTATTGATAGTCTAGTGAATCACAAAGGCCACTACAAAGACTCATTTATGCTGAACTCTTTATATACGTGTCCAGATTTGCTTTCCATTATTCCCCCAGTATATTTGGAAATCAGACTATACATTACTCTTCTACTGCCGATTTTCACCCCTCTGCACTCCCTTCACAATGTTCTCTTTTCCTGAAAACCTACTGCACTCACAAAATTCTACTTCTCCTTCAAAGTTTCATCTCAGGTATTATCTTGCTTGTGAAAGCTTCCCTTATCCCCTCCCCTGACCTCTGCCTCTTTTGAAACCTCTATATTGGTTTATGGAATTATATACTTGAGTAAGTGCTCCAAAAAACCCACAAATCCCCAGACTCCAAGACATTTAGTAAGTAATTTTCCATGCAAAATTAAACATTAAATATTATAAAAGTGATTAGTGTATTATACACACAAACACATATGTAATATTTGCAATTTTTCAATTGTCCTCTCCTTTGAATGCTTCATATATATATATACATAAACTCATTTAATCCTACGAAATTGTACTTAAAGTATCCCCATTTTACAAAGCAGAAAAATTTGTAATAGAAATTATAAATTAAAAATGTAAAATGATATCTTTAGAGTTTTTATAAATGAATTAATTCATTCAATAAGTATTTGCCAGGTTTTTACTTTGTGCTGGGTACTTTGCAGACACTTAAGATACAGTAATGATTAGGACGACATTCTTGGTGGAGCTTAAATTTCAGTGGAAAAGATGAATGATGAAGGCATTGCCAAATAAAGAAGTATTTCCTAACAAAGTGTCAAACTATCTCATGTTTCTGCAGCATACAAATTACCAAAAACTGAAAAGAAAAGTTAATCCTAAATGTTGAGAGTCTAGTGTATTTAACTTGTGGCATTTTTCTAGAATATCTTAGAGTATATAATTGTTTTTACTTGCGTTGTTCTCCTGGTGGTGGATTGAGTGCATTCATGTACTTGATGAGTGCCTTCTTTTAACACTGCCCTTTGCAGTATGACATTACAACTCTTCCCATCAATTTGTAAAGCCTATTTCCTCATCCTTGAATCTGGCCCTAACTTGATGAGAAGTGACAACGTGCTGGTGGCCCTCTCTCGCTCTCAGCGCCTCCTTGGGCTCGGCATCCGCTCTGGCCACGCTTGAGGAGCCCTTCAGCCCGTTGCTGTAATGTGGGAGCCCCTCTCTGGGCTGTCGGAGGCTGGAGCCAGCTCCCTCTGCTTGCGGGGAGGTGTGGAGGGAGAGGCGCAGGTGGGAATCAGGGCTGCATGAAGCGCTCCTGGGCCAGCGCGAGTTCCGGGTGGGTGTGGGCTCGGCAGGTCCTGCCCTCTGAGTGGCTGGCCGGCGCCACCGGCCCTGGGCAGTGAGGGGCTTAGCACCCGGGCCAGCAGCTGTGGAGGGGGCGCCGGGTCCCCCAGCACTGCTGGGCCACCTGCGCTGCGCTCGAATTCTCACCTGGCCTCAGCTGCCTCCCGGTGGGGTGGGGCTTGCAGCCCACCATGTCTGAGCCCCCTGCGGTGGGCTCCTGGCAGCCCGAGCCTCCCCGACGGGCACTGCCCCCTGCTCCCTGACGCTCAGTCCCATCCACTGCCCAAGGGCTGAGGAGTGCAGGTACTGTGTTGGACTGGCAGGCAGTTCTGCCCATTCCCCTGAAACAGGATCCATTAGTCAGAGCCAGCTGGGCTCCTGAGTTGGGTGGGGACTTGGAGAACTTTTATGTCTAGCGGGAAGATTATATATGTACCAATCAGCACTCTGTGTCTAGCTCAGGGTTCGTGGATGCACCAATCAGTGCTCTGCCTCTAGCTAATCTAGTGGGGACTTGGAGAACTTTTATGTCTAGCTAGACGATTGTAAATATACCAATCAGCACTCTGTGTCTAGCTCAGGGATTGTAAACACACCAATCAGCACCCTGTCAAAATGGACCAATCAGCTCTCTGTAAAACGAACCAATCAGCTCTCTGTAAAATGGACCAATCAGCTCTCTGTAAAATAGGCCAATCAGCAGGATGTGGGTGGGGTCAGATAAGGGACTAAAAGCAGGCTGCCCAAGCCCACAGAGACAACCCTGGTCCCCTTCCACACTGTGGAAGCTTTGCTCTTTTGCTCTTTGCAATACGTCTTGCTGGTGCTCACTCTTTGGGTCCGCACTGCCTTTATGAGCTGTAACACTCACCATGAAGGTCTGCAGCTTCACTCCTGAGGCCTGCGAGACCACAAACCCACCGGGAGGAATGAACAACTCGGGTCGGGAGGAAGGAACAACTCCCGACTGGCTGCCTTAAGAGCTGTAACACTCATCGTGAAGGTCTGCAGCTTCACTCCTGAAGCCAGCAAGACCACGAACCCACCAGAAGGAAGAAACTCCGAACACGTCCAAACATCAGAAGTAACAAACTCCGGACACACCACCTTTAAGAACTGTAACACTCACCGCGATAGTCCACGGCTTCATTCTTGAAGTCAGTGAGACCAAGAACCCACCAATTTTGGACACGTTGTGACTTGCTTTGACCAATAAATATGGCAAAAATGTCAATTTGCCACTTCCGAGAGTCCAGGCCCAAGGGGCATTGTGTGCTTTGATCCTTTTTCATGCACCCCTTCCTAGGCTAGTCTAGTGGAGGACATGAGATCACATGGAGGAAAGCCTGGGTATTATGCCAAGGCCAACTTGAACTACAGCTAGCCAGTCTCCCAGAACATGTGATAGAGTCAACCAACTCAGCAAGTTGCCTGCCTAATCCACATCTGACCACAAACAAATAAATGAGACCAGTAGATACCAGAAATACTGTTTAGCTGACCAAGAAACTCATGAACAATAATACATTCTTACTATTTTAAGCCACTGGATTTTGGCATGATTTATTGTACGGCAGCTGCTAACTAATGCTCTACAAAAAAACCAGTGACTTTAGAATGAGGTTTCTATTTCACTCATCCCTTTTTATCTGTATGATCCCTAGTATTTTGTCTTTTACATCGTAGTTACTTAATAAATAATAGCTCAATTGATTTCAACTATTAAAGGATTTGAGCATAGGTCTAATAAGATAAGAACAGCTTTAAAATGAGCAATAGCTTTAAGTCTAAATGAAGTCAGAATTTACATTAGTTAAAAAGACCAGAGGCCACTAAAGAGACCACGAGTTATGACTTTTTTTTTTTCTTTTTTGAGACAGGGCCTCGCCCTGTTGCCTAGGCTGGAGTACAGTGGTGTGATCATGACTCATGGCAACCTCGAACTCCTAGGCTGAAGTAATCCGGATCCTCCTGTCTCAGCTTCTCAAGTAGTTGGGACTATAGATATGTGCCACCACATCTGACTAATTTAAAAAAAAAACATTTTGTAGAGACATAGTCTTGAACTCCTGGCCTCAAGGAATTTTCCTGCCTCGGTCTTTGAAAGACCCAAGGTTATAGGCATTAGCCACTGTACCCAGCCTGGCCACGAGTGATGATTAAGTAAAAAAATGGGCAATCCTCTGGCTAGAATTGTCAACAGGTAATAAAAATGAGGGGTGTTTTGCTATGAGTGCCTCTATTTATGACATGTGTCTCTGATAAGAGAATCAGTAAACCAACATTTTGCAGGTTAAATAGTTTTATCAAACTCTATGGAGCTTGATAGCTATAAGAAAATCCTGTGTTACTTATAAAAAGCACACAAACACTTCATAACTTAACTCTCTAATAAGATTCAGATTTTTAGTTGTATTTTGTTAAAGTGGGTCATCGACAAACACATGAAGCGAGAAAAGCTGATTCTTTTTCCTTTTACTTCAATAGCTTTTGGGGTTCAAGTGGGTTTTTGTTACATGGATAGATTGTATTGTGGTGAAGTCTGGGGTTTCAGTGTACCCATCACCCAAATGGTGTGCATTATACCTAACAGGTGATTTTTTAATCCTTTGTTTCCCTCCCACACTCTCTCTTTCTGAGTCTGCAATGTCCATTACACCACTGTGTATACCTTTGTGTGCCCATAGCTTAGCTCCTGTTTGCAAGTGAGAACATTCTGTTTCTGGTTACTTCACTTAGGAAAACCTCCTCCATTTCCATCCAAGTTGCTGCAAAATACATTATTTCATTCTTTTTTAATAACTGAGTAGTATTCCATGGTGTATGTGTGCATATATTTATAAAACAATGAAGTGTGTGTGTGTGTGTATGTATACACACATCTCATTGTCTTTATTCATTCATCTGTTGATGGGCACTTAGGTTGACTCCATATATGTGCAATTGTGAATTGTGCTGTGATAAACACATGAGTGCAGGTGTCTTTTTTTAATACAGTGAATTACTTTCTTCTGGGTAGATACTTAGTAGTGGGATTCCCGGATGGAACAGTAGAGCTACTTTTAGTTCTTTGAGAAATCTCCACATGGCTTTCCATAGAGGCTGTACTAATTCACATTCCCACCAGCAGTGTATAGGTATTCTTTTTCACCACATCCACACCAACATCTATTTGTTTTCTGACTTTTAAAAAAATGACTATTCTGACTAGGGTAAGGTGGTATCTCACTGTGGTTTTAATTTACATTTCCCTGATAACTAGTGATGTTGAGCATTTTTTCACATGTTTGTTGGCCATTTGTACATCTTCTTTTGAGAACTGTCTGTTCATGATGTTTGCCTACTTTTAATGAGATTATCTGTTTTTTGTTGTTATTGTTGCTGATTTGTTTGAGTTCCTTATAGGTTCTGGATATTAGTCTTTTTTCAGAAGTATAGTTCATAAATATTTTATCTCACTCTGTACATTGTCTATTTACTCTGTTGATTATTTATTTTGCTGTGCGGAAGCTTTTTAGTTTATCTCATTTATTCATTTTTGTTTTTGTTGCATTTTCTTTCAAGGTCTCAGTCATAAACTCTTTGCCTAGGCCTATGTCCAGAATAGTGTTTCCTAGGGTTTCTCCTAGAATTTTTATGGTTTCCAGCCTTACATGTAAGTCTTTAATCCACCTTGAGTTAATTTGTCTATGGTGAGAGAAATGGATCCAGTTTAATTCTTCTGCCTATGTCTATCCAATTTTCCTAACACCATTTGTTGAATAGAGTGCCCTTTCCCTAGTGCATGTTTTGTCTGCTTTGTCAAAGAGCAGCTGGCTGTAGGTATTTGGCTTTATTTTGGTGTTCTCTACTCTGTTCCACTGGTCTAAGTGTCTACTTTTACACGAGTCCATGCTGTTTGGTTACTACAGCCTTGTAGCAAACAAAGTTAGGTAATGTGATGCCTCCAACTTTGTTCTTTTTGCTTAGGATTGCTTTGGCTATTTGGGCTCTTGTTTGGTCCCATATAAATTTTAGGATTTTTTTTTTCTAATTCTGTGAAAAATGACATTCGTAATTTGACAGGAATTGCATTGAATCTGTAGATTGTAGTAATGGTAATTAGAAAAGCTGATTCTAAGGGCATCTGCCTCTTTTGGAATGAACTCCACAGGTACAAAGAGTGCCTCTACCCAACAGGCAGCCACTACCTCCAGGTCATTATCTTCTGGGCTGATATCTAAAGCCAGAACAATGAATAGAAAAAATAATGCAGAAGTTTGTTTCCACTAAGGCCATGCATTTCTTCCTGTTTTTTTTCTACTGCATATTCTATTTCTCCAATAGAAAACTTTGATGGGAAAAAAATCACCTCTGATTTTTTTACAGCGTTAAAGAGTCAATTGTGTTTCCTCCTCAGTATGTATCTGATTTTCAAAGAGACACAGCCTACAACAAGCATCCAAATTTAAAATTAATAAAATAAATGTAATTGTTTACTCTCCTGTTTTGTTATTAGATGAATTACAAATCACAGCATGGAATTTGACCTTCCCTGAGATCTGTTGTTCATCATAGGCAGAGAAAAGTGAGGTTAAGGTGGGAGAGTGAGCACAGCCAGCCAGTTAAGTCTTTTACCATCTTACCATGTGTTGCTTCTGAGTGAATTTCTGGGAGTAGGTTTTCAACATATAAATTTGCCGTGGACACAACATTCAGATCATAGCAAATGTGTATGTACTGAACAGAAATATACATTATCTGTGTCTAAGCCTGAAGCCTGTCTAAACTTCTTATAACGCAAGAAAGATAATCAAATCTACTATACACAAACTATTCCCTAGAATGTTCCTTCTTACATTATCCTAAATTTTATTTGCTTTTTTATCTTCTATAGATAGGCAGGTCTGTCAATGCCAGCCTCCTACTTCACCCTAGTTTTTATAATATTTTTAAATATTAAATAATATTTATTTAATATTTAATAATATTTTAGGAGTGCTCTCTCTCTCTCTCTGCTTTACACATGTATCTTTTAAAGTCTCTTAAGCCATATTATTGAGACCATCCTGGCTAACACAGTGAAACCCCATCTCTAGTAAAAATACAAAAAAGAAATTAGCCGGGCGTGGTGGCGGGCGCCTGTAGTCCCAGCTCAGGAGGCTGAGGCAGGGGAATGGCGTGAACCCGGGAGGCGGAGCTTGCAGTGAGCCGAGATCGTGCCACTGCACTCTAGCCTGGGCGACAGAGCAAGACTCTGTCTCAAAAAAAAAAAAAAAAAAAAGTCTCTTAAGCCATATTTATGTTTGTTTGATATAGTTAAAATAAATAGAATGTACTATTTGGAAAATATACTTTCTCTAAATACTACACAAATTCAGGCATTTTACAGTTGGAAGAAATATTCTACCTTATTAATCAAGTTGCTTAATAATATTTTTCCATTTTCTCCTAATAGAAAAGTACAAGAACACATTCTCTGCTTGGGTGAACATTTCAAATACCTCTCCAGTTTTTATGTTTAAGGTATCAAATTCACGGTAGTTTATTCAGCGCTCCATGAAAGATACATACACAGGACACACAGTGTGCTACCTGGTCATACGATGACGCGGTTGCTTATAAGTGACAGAGAAAGCCTATCCAGCAGGTTTTTAACAAGTAGGTATAACAGTGGAAGTTGGGAAGGTTCTCTCAAATGTAGACGGCTTCAAGCTTAGACACAGATTATATATATTTCTGTTCAATACATACATATTTGCTATGGTCTGAATGTTCATGTCCACTGCAAATTCATGTGTTGAAAACCTACTCCTCTATGTGATGGTATCGGGATGTGGGGCCTTTGAGAGGTGACTGGGGCATAAGGGTGAACACCACATGAATGCAATTAGTGCCTTTGCAAAAGAGGCCTCAGGAAACTGCCTTGCTCCTTCTGCCATGTTAGAACACAGCGAGAGGGTGCCATTTCTATGAACGAGGAAGTGTCTTGATCTGGGACTTCCCATTCACAGCCTCCAGAAGTGTGAAAATACATTTATTTTGTTCATAAGTTACCCAGTTTATGATATTTTGTTTTAGCATCTGGAATGGACCAAGACAGTTTACATTGTGTTGAAGCTCCAATTCGACTGGATATCAGATAGGTGCAGTCTAAGGAACTACTGGTGCTTGAGGAGCTGCTGCCATCACTTATAGTATTGCAGTTATATCTTTAATTCACTAAAAAAATTATTATGGCATCCAGATGCAAGTAAATGCTGCAAAAGGCAAATTAGCATAAAGGAATATTTTATTATAAAACACACTTTTCATAGAATAAGCCTGAGGGTTGATTGGACACATTATTCAGAGGCCTTAAACTAAAACTTATCTGGATGGATCCCTGGATAGAAGTATGACATGATTTCGTTATCTGGAGATTTCACTTTGATTTTCACTAAAGGCTGATCATGCTCTACATTTCACTAATGGCTGACTGTATTCTAAACTTCTCTAAATTCTCTAGATTTCTAAACATCTATTAATTCAGATCCCTTATAGGATATGAATTTTTAAATCTAGGATTATATGAATTCAAGAAAATTCCCATGAAACAAAGTTACTAAGAAAAACATATAAATATATTTCTGTCTCCAAATTGAAAATGCCGAAAAAGTAAATTGTACATACCATAGTTTATAACCACTTGGAAAAACACCTGCCTAAATGCCTTTTTGGATGTCTAATACTGCACCTGTCCACTCAAATTGGAATGCTTTTTTTTTTTTCTGCCAACCTTGTCCATGACTGAATTGTTCTACCTGAAAAATTAAAATCTATGAAAATAAAGATTGGAGGGAATCATGAGATACTTCCAATTACCTGATCGTATCATAAATAATTTACCATGAATCATAACACATAAAGTAAATGAAACTTTTCTTACTGAGAGATTCAAAGAAGAAAGACATTATTGAAAAGTGACCTGGTGGTCATTTTGGTTTCCCAAATAAAAACACTGTCTGAAAATACATTAAGGACAAAATAAGCAATTTTGTAGGTGTGCAGAGAGATGTGACACATTCTTTCTATTAATAAATCACAACATTTCAACATTTTGATTTAACTATTCCTTTTATTGCCCTTCACCAACTCTAGAACGAAGGAAATCAATAAATAAAATTACACTCAGCACCTCATACAATTTTTTACCAGCTGAGGGCACAGCTATCCAATTATGATTTGAGATTTGCTGAACTTTTAGCACCATTTTTTCAATTTATTCAGAAGACCCTTTTGGAAGCTTATTTGGTAGAGGCAATAAGTTTTGCATTAATGTAAATCAGTATTGATTGTGCTATGAACTGCAGTAAGGAATACAGTGCAAAAATAGAACAGCTGTCTTTTATTTTTTACTGGATCACAGAAAAATGACCCAAGAGAAAAACTTTCATTCATTCCAAGAGAATCAAGAGAATAATATAAAACAAGAACTATTTATTAAAAATCTATAAATATTATATTCCTTTTCCAATAATTATTTTCATCTAAGTGATATAAGAAAGTAGGCAAGTATAAGCTCTGGAAATGCCAATATTTCTTAGAAGATTCTTCACTCTTATATATGAACCAAAAAGAAGCATCTTACCACAGTGCCAATGTATAGTGATTAAGTTATCACTGATTATAGTTCTGTCATTCAACAAATGTTTTCTGTACAGTTAGTATATGCCAGGCTCTGGGCATCCTCTGGGATACCAATGGGCAAAACAGTTTGGGAACATTGCCCTTGGAGAGCTTACATTCTACCATAGGAAGACAGTATAAAAATTAGAACTTAATAAATAATTAAATTGTATAGTAGATTAAATTATTATGGCAAAAAGGAAGCATGAATCAGGAAATCAGGGGCAGGGGTGCTAGGGTGGAGACAGGGTGGGGCCGGCAGCTTGCAATGTTCAGTAGGATGTCCAGAGAAAGACTCACAGAGTCGGTGAGGTCTGAGTGGAGTTGTGATGGGTGTGTGAGAATTGGAATTAGCCAAGCAAATATCTGAGAAAAGAGCACTCTAGGCTTAGGAAAGAGCCTGAGGGCTGCTCTGCGTTGGGAGTATGAAGGACTCATCCAAGGAACAACGAGTAGGCTTGTGTGCAGGATCAGAGTAAATGAAGGATGGGGGAAAAACTGGTAGAAAAGCTCAGAGAATGGAGGGATGTGTAGGCCATTTCAAAGATGTTAAAGATGGAACACATTGCAGAGCTCTGTGCAGAGCAGTGGCATGATCCAGCTTTTAGGTTTTAAAAGGATCACTCTGGCTACTGTGTTGAACATAGACTCGAAGAAAACAGTGGTGCATTTGTATTAATCTGAAGTCTAGCGGAGGATTTGAGAATGGAGATATCAATTTGAGATATCAATTTGGGAGTCAGAGGCATACAGATTAACTCAGGAAGGGAGCAGTTTAGACAAAGTGGTGAAAAGCACTGATATTTAAGTCCTGAGGCTTTTCAACCTGAAGAGGTAAAGAAGAGGAAAGAGTAGCAAAAGAGGCCAAGAAGCAACTACAGACATAGGAGGAAAACACACTTTGATATTTTGGAAGCCTTGTAAAGAAAGTCTATCTTGAACTTCAGGTGAAACATTTTGTATATATGTGTCATCACCGTGACAATTAGTCAACTTAGATAAGCAACCAGAAGTGATCACTGGCTTGAGTGACATGGAGGTCATTGTTGTCCTCCCTAGGGAAGTTTCAGTGGAGTGATACCAAAGTGGTTTTAAGGTAAAATGGCAGAAGAATCCAAAACAGTGTATATGATACATAACTCTTTTGCACCATTTTGCTGCAAAACAACGAAGGGATGGGGCAGTAGCTGATACAAGCAGTGGAGTCAAAAGCAGTGTGTGTGTTTGTTGATTTTAAAAATGAGAAAAAATAACAGCAGCCTTATATGCTGAGTGAGCCAATAGAGAGTAGGCAAATGATGTAGAAGGAGAAGGGGAGAAATATTGGAGTCTTGAGTAGGCAAGATGGCCTGGGATAGTGCGTAGATTGGCCTTCAATGGTAGCACACATAGTTTATTTGTGGGACAAATGATGCAGAAGTTGTTAGGTGTAGTGGGGAAAGGCTGAGGACAAGTACAGGAAGCAATTATCAGGCATTTAGAAAATGCTTAATTCCATGTCTTTGGAAAATTCAGATATATCAAGAATTGAATTTATTCATCCACATCAATAATTTTGTACCTGCCACTTACTAAATCATGGCCTTTAGCAAAAACGCTAAACACTCTCCTCCTTTCTGAGGGCTGCAGTAACAAAGTACCATAAAATGGGGGGCTTAAAGCAACAAAAAACTTATTCTTTTACAGTTCTACGGGCCAGGAGTGCATGACATGGCATGCTACTTCTGCCAAGACTCTAGCAGAGGATTCTTTCTTGCCTTTTCCAGCCTCTGGTAGCCCCAGGCATTCTTTGGTTTGTGTCAGCATAATTTTAATTTCTGTCTCTGTCTTCATGTGGCCACCTTCCCTCTGTGTCTGAGTCTTCGCATAGTCTTCTCTTCCTTCCTGTGTCCAAATTTACCTTTTAAATGGGCCTTATATGGGAATAAGGGCCCATATCTACTCCAGTATGACCTTATCCTAACGAATTACAGCTGCAATGACCCTGTTTCCAAATAAGGTCACATTCAGGGGTATGGGTTGGGGGTGGTTAAAACTTAAACATACATTTGTATGTTTAAGGACACACTTAAACCCATAAAATCATATGAGCTCAGTTTCCTCTTCCATAAAAATTTGATACACTACCTGTTTCACAAGGTTTTGGCAAGTATTAGATGTACAATGTACTAACTAAAGGGTTCAGATTCAGGAGTCAAAATATCTCCATTGCTTTCAGTGTGGATACAGAACAATTATTGAACTTCTTCATGCCTTCTGCAAAATGGAGATAATAATAATTCACATCCCAAAGGGCTAGCATGAGAATCAAACTAGAAAATATGTACAGAACATTGAGTGACCCATGCAACTCTTAGACCTATGCCTGGTATGTAATAGTGACTCAATAAAGGGAAACATTGATTATGAGACTTTAGAGGTTTCCCTTCCTTTTCTAAAACTTCTATGAATTTGCAATAGCATATATAGCATGGAGATGTTGTACTATAGCAGATTAAAATAAGCAGGTAGTTAGAGGGACCAGCCCTGAATTTCTTTATCCTTATCTGAACATTTCCCAGGAAGTATGACTGTTACATTGTTGGATATTAGAGAGAAGAAAAAGAAAAAAACTGAATTGTTGGCTAAGTAAATGAGTGATGTGAAAATTAAGTGAGCCAACTGAAATTTAGTCAGCTCTCATCATTTTTGGAAGCTGCATGAATTCACTCAAATGTGTAACATAATAAATAGTGAGCTCTTACTTTCTAAGCGCTGTGCAAAAAATTCTAAGAGCCTAAGCCCTGTACACAAAACTTTATCATTATATATCAAGTCAATTCTTATTGATTCACTGTTAGTTAATTTTTACAGTTTCAATGAATATTTGAAATAATATACAGAAAAGGAAAAATGGTTTAGACATGCAAGACATTCAGCTAGATCATTCCTAGATCACTACATATTTGTTGGGTAAAAATGTGTCATAAAAAAAGAAGAAAGGGCAATAGCTAAAAAAATTTGGCTAAATACAGAAGAGAAAAAAAGCATTGAAAGAGAACAGTAATGTGATTGGATTCACAGTGGCATCAATAAACTGCACAATGAGTTGGAGAAAATGGTAAAACATAAACAAAACAAAAGGAATTAAGTTTGAATGGAAAGGGAAAGGTTACCTTTAAATATCTAGGACTAGTGTTTTGCAGTAAAAATAAAGAAATTCATTTGATTGCAATAAAATACTAACACTTAAGAAAGGCAGGTGGTTAGACAAGATAGAACTCTGGAATTGGGACTGAAGCTCTGGATTCTAGTCAGTTCTTAGCGTTGACATTAAAAATATTGATCAACCTGCATGCAGGAACATTGAGGAGGCTTCCTGCTGCCCCATGGGTTCACTCTTTGGTTGCTAGATCAGGAAAAGGTCCCTAGGTGTTTCAGGGTAGGAATCAGGAAAACTTAATTGCAGAGGTGGAGTTAAGACCCTGGGAGACTAGAGGAAATGACTATAGTTGTTTACCAGCTGCCTCTGAATCATTTTCTCATTTTATTAACTGGTACGTACAAACTGGTGCAGACCATCTGAATATCAGCCTTGAGCTATGAACTGGGTGAAATACGCAAACCTGGGTGTTGGGGGGATGGACTTGAGGATCCCAGGGGACCTTCTTAGCTCCAACATTCTGAGTCTGTGTGTGTTGTGTATGTGTGTGTGCAGGCCCATGCACACGAATACGTGTATGAAGGTTATATATCTCATGTATAGAGATACTTTGATTTTTAGATTGCATGAATTGTGGAATCAACTGTTCCGTTTTGGGAGAAAAGTCCTTTAGGGTGGTTAATTGTAAGAAGCCAACTAAAACCTTTTTTTCCTTTTTTTAACAAGTAGTAAGGCTTTTCCAAAGTTATTAAAGCACGGTTGTCAAAATCCATATGGCTTGCAATACCTTTGCGCTGTGCTACTTATTGAAAATTAAGACAATATACTGGCACTTCTTATAGACTGTGCTTACCAGGTTTCAGGCCTTCGGTTGATTTTGGAAGTCCTTTTTATTATAAGCATTATGTTTTCTGTTTGTTTTTGAGTAGAATTGTGCTGATGGTATGTTCAATATCTATGGCAGATGGTATAAAATACACATTATGATGGTGAAGAGCAAGATTACTCTTTCTGCACAGATTAATTCAGTTAATTATTCACTACCTATTAATTAAGTTTTTTCTAGGTAAATGCACTAGTTAAGTGTGACCTTTGGAGTCCAGTTGGTTTTGAATATAGATATTACTAAATTTCAAAGCCTCTTTTCCAGCTTCTGTGATGTGAGGACAATGATACCATCTCTCTCATAGGGTTACAAGGATTAAATCAAATAGACCATACAATATACTTAACATATTGCCTGGTGCTTAGGGACTGTTTAATACATGTTAGCTATTCTCTTTCTGTGCCTAGCATTGTGCTACACCTGGATCAGTCCATGCCGTGTACAACTTTACAGTTCTTTAAATAGGGCAGTCTCACTTGTCCTCATTATTGTCTGCCATTTCTGAAAAATATACATCATTTTCCAGCTTTTTGCAGCTGTGCTACATTTCTTCAAGGTGAGCCTTGAAAAGTCTAACAATAGTAGTAAATCCAGCTCTTCTCGTTCACTACTGGCTGCCTAGGTCATTTGTGATCTTCAATCTACCATTTATTCATATCACTGCTGTACAATGTAAAATCAGGATCAAATTAGTTTTCCTTAAGAAAATTATTTTTTAAATAAATAAAATAACGTGAAAAGCAATTTAAGCAAACATTATAGATCCACCAATAATATTCAGTGTGTCCTTTAAAATAGGAATGCTGACTTCCTTAGGATAATATTAAATAAGAGCACATAGAAACTGAAGTTTCCAACATTTCTTTTATCTTATTTTTTCAGGGATAAGGTCTTGCTCTGCTGACCAGAGTGCACTGGAGTGCAGTGGCACAATCATAGCTCACTGCAGCCTCCAAATCCTGGGCTCAAGTGTTTCTCCTGCCTCAACCTCCAAAGTAGCTGACACTGCTTTGATAGTTTGGAAGTGTGTGCACCATCATGACTGGCTATTTTTTTTTTTTATTTTTTGTAGAGATGAGGTCTCACTATGTTGCCCAGGCTGGTCTACACCTCCTGACCTCAAGTGATTCTCCCACTTTGATCTCTCAGAGTGCTGGGGTTTCAGACATGAGGGACCGCACCTAGCCCCAACATTTCTTTACTGTAACACTGTGGTTATGTTTGTTAAGGCAGCGATTCTGCCTGACTTTCCAAGATAATCTACCTCTATATCCATGCATATTTTCCATCATTTCCCAATAGAGACCTTCTGTTTCAATGAGTCCAATTGTGTAACCATACCCTTTAATCTTCTCATGACCATTCCTGTTCTTTGTCCCCAGACTTTCCTTCCATAGACTTGGCTCAACTCATCTCCAGGTGGGTCCCATGCTCTGTCAGGAGAGGGTCATGGGTGAAGAGTCCTCATTTGCAGAACAAATGCCAACCAATGAATCCTTGCCATTCTTAGGATTAAGTCTCATAAAAATAGTAATAATAATTTCTTAAGCTTTTTAGTCTCCCTCTAATGCTCCCTGTTGGCAGAGCCTAACACGAAGCCAGCTGAAAAGGAAGAATAGGTTTGTAGAGTTGTAACTCTAATATGTTAGAGAAGAGTGTAGAAGGGTGGGCTCAGAATAGGGAGATGCTAATTTAATATTTGCACAAATACCAAGACCATTCAAGGCCCATTTAAGTCCCACCCGCTCAATGTAATCTTCCCTGAAAATACTTGCTTCGATGTCTCTCTCCTAATTCTAATTCCTTTTGTATTTCTTGCTTGACTTACAACCTACCACCTTATTGGGCATTACAGTGTTCTCAAGTTGTGTCATAAACAGTAGGACTATTATAGGAGGAGACATTTCTATAAAATATATAAATAGATCAAATAGTTTCTAACATTTCTTATTTGACTAATAATTATATATATAACCTTGCATCTTCAAAATGAATATAATCCCCTTACAGGAAGGACAATTTACTTTCATTTCATTTGTACCCAATAGATTATATAACAATAACAGTCATATAGTAAATGTTTGAAAAAGACTAATTGGAATTATTCTTCCAAACCATATATTTCTAATAGTCTTAAGCAAAATATAGCTCCATCAGATGTCTCTGCATTTTAAATTACTCAGAAATCCTAGCATTATGGAAAGAAACAGAAGTTGGGATGGGGATTTCATAGATAGTTTTTAAAAAATGATTCAATAAAATTGTCATAGTAAGGTGGAATTCAACAGCTTATTTTAAATCACAGTATTGGGAAATGTAGGCTGAGTACAGTGGCTCATGCCTGTAATCCCAGAACTTTGGGAGGCCAAGGGCGGAGGATTGCTTAAGGCTAGGAGTTTGAGAACAGCCTGGGTAACATCTCAAGACTTTATCTCTACAAAAAGTAGATAAATAGCAGGGTGTGGTGGTGTATGCCTATAGTCCCAGCTACTCAGAGGCTGAAGTAGGAGGATCACCTGAGCCCAGGAGTTCCAGGCTGTAGTGAGCTATGATCACACCACTGTACTCAGCCTGGGTGGCAGAGCAAGATCCTGCCTCAAGTAAAAAAAAAAAAAAAAGAAAGAAAAGAAAAGAAGGAAAGAAGGAAAGAAAGAAAGAAAGAAAGAAAGAAAGAAAGAAAGAAAGAAAGAAAGAAAGAAAGAAAATGTAAAATGCTTTTATCTCTCAACAAATGTTCAGAAAGTAAAATATTTCAATAAGCTGATTGCAAGGATGGCTTCAATTTTTCTTTCCAAATTCTTATTTTAAATGCCATAAATACAGAAAGGGGTAAAGTTTCTTTCCCCACCTCTTAAATGTGGGCTAGTCTTATGACATGCTTTGGCCAATAGGAAGTGGTATAATTGACAGTGTGCCAGTACCAGGAAGATACCTCAAGATACCAGACATACTCTCTTTCCCCCTCTCCCTGTGAACCTTGACACTGCCATGTGACAAACCGAGCCTGCTGGAGGATGAGCGACTCCATGATATGGGAGGGCCAAGGGACCCCAACCATCAGCCAGTCAAGCTGCAGAAATAATCTCTCAGGAGACTCGCAGTTGCATAGGGTAGCCCAAATGATGCCAGAACTATTCTCTGAACCCTACGAAATTTACTGAGTAGCTGAATCATGTGCTAAACAAATGGTGGTGTTTTAAACAACTAATTGTTGAGGCTTTTATGCAGTAGCTAATTGATTCAATCATGCTAGTGGTTTTAGAACAATTTGTATACATCTATGTAGGAATAGATTCATTCCAACTGTAGCCTGAATTGTGCTGGTTTTAATTATCACGGCCTTTTCTCTTTTATATTGCTAAAGTTTTCTTCTAGTTAGCTTACAAATAATCTTTTTCATTCTAGTGTACTGCTTTGAGTTTCTATGCCCTAAGAGTTGATGTATTGATTAATAAGGCATGTTAGTGACTTAGAGTAGTCCAGTTAAATTCTGGGCATCCTCCCAGACAGTTAATAATACAAGGTGGAAGTTTCTAAGCTAAAATCAGTTGCAGCGTTACTAAGGAACACTTGTGCACTGTGCAGCAAAGTGAAATGTAAATGCAAATCTCGTAAGATTCGAAACCTTTCAGAGGAGGTCTATAAGCATACTGAGATGAGAAAAAGAAAAGAAACAAGATAATAAATTTGCAGTATAAGACACTAGTTATCTAAAGTCTCACAGGCAATTTTTAAAAGAAAATTACCTGAGATAATCCTATTTATATTTCCTCCTGGCTTTGTGAACATTTGACAGCAGTTCATGGTCCAATCTGAGCTGCTGTTAGGTGAAAGAAGTTTTATTTTTCTTCAAATGTACCAACTGATGGATCAGTGACATTTATGAGTACAGACTTCTCTATTAATAGCGTGTTTTTTACTTCTAAGAAAAGTGTAAAAGGGAAACCAAAGGCCAATGCTTTTCACAAAGCATCTACTTTTATTTCTAATCTTTGTCTTCAATGTAACTTTAATTAAGAGTGCGCTGTACTTGTCAACTCCAGCCTAGCTGCAAATCTTGAGATACAAGACTAAGAAAATGAAAAATAAATAAAAAAATTTATTCTTTTCGTTAGGTATTACTTTTCCAGAAATTAAAACTTTACCTCTAATGTAGCTGCTATTTTAAAATTACAAGTGGAAGTTCATAGGACCTTGTTTTTGAAATTCAACTATCACATTACTTTTGTACATTTTCAAAAATAAATTTTAAGTTAATTTATATTTTATTTATGTAAAAGAAACGCTTTTTAGGAAGTGATGTCTTAGCTTTGTTCAGCTTTGGATTAATTCTTGCCATCTTGTGAGATTTTGCTAGACAGTCACTGAAGCTACTAAAGGAAAAGTAATCATTTCATCGTTCCTTCAAAATGTTACTAAAAGTTATTAAAGACGCATTTTATGACATAATCTCATTTTGTTGAAAACACACTCAATGATTTTAGTATTTGTTACAAAAACATTTTAAGAAATGAAGACACTCGAAAATTTGGGACAGTTTTTTAAAAAAACTGACTTTTAGGATGGGAAACCAATCTGTACAATATTAGGAAATATAATTTTGAAGAAAAGCCATAAAGCATGTTGCAACATCTTAGTAAAAATTATTACATATTTCTAAATGCAACTGCTGGACATTTTTTATAAAAGGTGTGGATATGATTCAGAAAAACTTGTATTATTACCCTGGGTTGTTTGACAGACTACTTGTTATGATCTTCTCAAACTCAGGACAGAACATTTATATAACAAAGACCAGGTATGTAAGATTATTTGCATATGGAATCCTAAGTTTTGATCAGAAATATATGTTAGGTAGTTGGGTGGCATGTTTGGAGTTTGCTATTTTTGTTTCTTCATATTCATGCCAGGATTCCTACCTCATTTAATTAGTAAAGGGCATCAAGTATAAAAACATAAATTTTTAAAAAATCTCACAATTAATGAAATACCAAGTACTAGTTTCTTTTTCTTTTTCTTTTTTTTTCTTTTTTTGAGACGGATTCTCGCTCTGTCGCCCAAGCTGGAGTGCAGTGGCTCTATCTCTGTTCACTGCAAGCTCCGCCTCCCAGGTTCACACCATCCTCCTGCCTCAGCCTCCCGAGTAGCTGGGACTACAGACGCTCACCACCATGCCCGGCTAATATTTGGTATTTTTAGTAGAGATGGGGTTTCACCGTGTTAGCCAGGATGGTCTGGATCTCCTGACCTCGTGATCCACCTGCCTCGGCCTCCCCAAGTGCTGGGATTACAGGCGTGAGCCACCGCGCGCTGCCAGTACTAGTTTCTTAAATATAGCAGACCATCAAATGGAGATATTGAAAGACCCATGCACCACTGGAAATATTGTCAGCATGCTGAACCCTAGATAACAAAGTAAAAGATGTCAAAGATTGCATTAATCATGTTCAAGCCAAAGAACCTCAGCCGAGGAAATAAAAATCAGTATTGTTTTTTTCATTACGATGTTTCACTTAAAAATATTTATTCCAAGTCTATGCCTCCTTGGGTTCATTGCTGTGCTAAGTGTTGAAGAACACACATTGAGTTTTATAAATGTAAAATTTTATGACAGGATTCAGAAAAATAATCTGAAATTATTATATTAAAACCTATATATCAGAGATTTTTTGTATATAAAAGATAGTTGGAATTAATTTCTCCAGCTTAAAGTGTACATAGAATTGTGCTTTGATTTGCTTTAATATAACTTAAAGAAATTTCATTCAGCTTGAAATTATTATTATTATTATTATTATTTTTGAGACAGAGTCTCACTCTGTCTCACCCAGGCTGGAGTGCAGTGGTGCGATCTCGGCTCACTGCAGCCTCTGCCTCTTGGGTTCCAGAGATTCTCTTGCCTCAGCCTCCTGAGTAGCTGAGACTACAGGCATGCGCCACCACACTCGGCTAATTTTGTATTTTTAGTAGAGACAAGGTTTCACCATGTTGGCCAGGCTGGTCTTGAACTCCTGACCTCAGGTGACCCACCTGCCTCAGCCTCCCAAAATGCTGGGATTACAGGCATGAGACACCATGCCTGGCCTCATTCGGCTTGAATTATGACCATATTAAAATTTCTAGGTCTTTATCAATAGGAAGTACTTAATGTTCACAAAATATTTAGAACAGTGCCTGGTGCATAATAAATTCTCAATATTAGTCATCATCATCATTATTATTACTATTATTATTACCCCTGTTCTGCAAGTCATAATTTTTCTACTATTTATTGTATTGTCTAAACCTGGCAAGACAAAGAAAAACAAAGGGCCAGGTGCAGTGGCTTGCACCTGTAATCCTAACGCTTTGGGAGACCAAGGTGGGAGGATTGCTTGAGGCCAGGAATTCAAGACCAACCCAGCCAATGTAGCAAGACCCTGTCTCATATAAAAAATGCCATAAAAGGAAAAAGAAAAGAAAAAGACAAACAAAGAGCATCACTCAACCTGGACAGAAAAGAATAAGATGAAATAAGATCCAGAATTCCTTGTCCATATCCTTATCCAGGTTCCTTATCCGTAGAAAGTAACTATTATTCATAAGTGTTAGCTATACGGGCAAACAGACAATGGTTGAAAACTAATAATATATACTATTTAAAGGTAAAACAAAATATTGTGGGGGCATTTATCAATAGAAAATCATGCAAGTATGAAATAATCATCCACAGATTGCTTGCATATGAAAAGGGTACTTTTTCAGAAAAGCCTTTTCTAATTTCATTGACTAAATTAGGGTCTTCCAGTTAAATATTCCCTTAGTCCCCTGGAATTCTCCTTCATATCCCTCATCACATTGTTATTAATTAGTTAATGATACAATTATTTATTTTGTATGTATCTCTCTAATTCGGTGAAGGACTCCAGGAGCCTAGTTACTGCATCTTTCTGTCGCATCCCTGTAATCTAGTACAGTGCATGGCATAGAGCAGGTGAATACATGAAGAGATGAATGAAATAGAAACACGCATTTACAAAGCACGGTCAATTTCTTGCTTGTATTCTAAGCGTATTTCACTTTTTCTGGCTACATACCGATATAGGCATTATAATTATGAGTAATCCTGACACATCCAAAAGTCTGACTACTAGTCTTCCTTCAGGTTTTACTTAAGTGTTCTTTTTTTTTTTTTCTGTCTCTCATTTTCTGAGAATGTTGATTTTTTTAGTGTCATCCTATGCTCCCTATGAGGGAGAAAGAGGTTTGCTTTCTCCCTCATTTGATATTATTTTTTTCCTTCCTGCTCTAGAAATAGCAAGATGATATATTTTATATTTATTTTTCCACTTCAATCAATAACTGCAGTTACAATCCTTCTAAGCTCTTGTGTTTTTTGAAACAGCTCTCATTATTTATCTTCCTGCATACAAGTTACAAAGCAAACCATGAGGAAAATAAACTGATGGTAACCAAATCAGGTTTTAGATATCTTATAATGATCTAAAAAGGAACTGTAACAAAATTGGTGTGTTTAGGCAGTCCTTGTATTTTGTGGATATGACACAGACAGAATTACTCACTCTTTACAACACATTTCATTATGGTCCTCACACTTTTCTGGATTGTCTTGTTTAAGGTGCTTGTTTGGAGTATCCTCACCCTAAATTTCTGTCTTCTGAAATCCTACCTGCTGTCTAAGGCTGAAAGGAAGTATGCAACTTTTCCTTCTCCTCTTCCCTTCATCTTATAGACGCAATTCCAATTTATTCAATTGGGCAACACATATTTCTTGACACATCTGTTTTCCATGTATTGTGCAAAGCTTTAGTAATATATTAGTGAAAAATATATAATCCAGTACTCTTGAAACTTGCAATCCAGGGATTGCATGGCATATTAAATATTATGTTGTTTTAAATAAGCAGTTATACTGATGGAGCTGTATAGATAAAATCATTTGGCAGGCACACTCCCTAAGGAGCGAAAAGTTTACTGAAAGTGACACTGTAGGTTAGCGGATCACTAAGATTCCTAAGATTGGAAAACACATCAGAGAAGAAGCTATCTGTTTTTGATTTTGTTTTACTTAGCTACCTGGGCCAGGCCTCATGCATAACATCCTGTCTCTATAGGTAAGCACACTTTTTATATCTTAAGACCCACACAAGGCAGCTGTAAATAATACTAGTCTTTTGGTGCTTCTATTAGTCAGGATTACCTACAGAAACAAAACCAGCAGAACAGAATAAAGAGATGGATATATAGGTATAGATATAGATAACAGGGAATTAGCTCACATGGATATGGAGGCCAAAAAGTCCCAATATCTGCTGTCTGCAAGCTGGAGAATTATGAAAACTAGTGGTGTAATTTAGGTTGAGTCTGAAGGCCTGAAAATGAGGGTGAGGTGCTGATGGTGTAAGTCCTCCTCTGAGCCTGAAAGCATTAGAACCAGGAGCACCAATATCCAAACACAAGAGAAGATGGATGTCTCAGGTCAAGGAGAGAGAGCAAATTCACCCTTCCTCTGCCTTTTTTTTCTATTTAGTCCCTTAACATATTGGATGCTGCCCAGTCACATTGGGCAGGGTCATCTGCTTTACTCAGTTCTCCAATTCAAATGCTGATCTCTTCCAAAAACACCTTCACAGACACATTGATAAATAATGTTTTACTGGCTATCTGGGCATCCCATAGCCCAGTGAAGTTGAAATACAAAATTAACCATCACAGATCTATAGTTCCACTCTTTGATCTTTGAATAGTGCCCAAGAGTGCCCAAAAGCAAGCTAAGTAGTAACTCTGACCTTATAAGCAAAAACATTCAACTGAATATACTTTATGTAGTATTCATTTATTCTCTTTTACAATTTAGTAAAGCAATAGGAAAATTCTAGCTCCTCTTAGTCATGCAAAAAGAATCAAAGGAAGGGATATTTATCCTTTTTTGGGCCAGAGTGAAACACTGTTCCCCTGCAATAAAAGTGGCGAGAGGAGCAGTGTCTACAACAAGAAGCAGTAGAAAACTCAGATGCCTAAAAGATAAGAGTAATTAGTAAGTTCTGTGGTCCAACCAGACATTTCACCTGCCTGAGCTGCACATTTTGCATTTTATTTTAGCTATAAAATTTATCTTCCCTTATGAGAAAAAAAATCTTTTATTTCTTATACTTTAAGTTCTGGGATACATGTGAAGAACATGCAGGTTTGTTACATAGGTACACACATGCCATGGTGGTTCGCTGCACTCATCAACCCGTCACCTACATTAGGTTTTTCTACTAATGCTATCCCTCCCCTAGCCCCACCCCCCAACAGGTCCCAGTGTGTGATCTTTCCCTCCCTGTGTCCATGTGTTCTCATTGTTCAACTCCCATTTATAAGTGATAACATGTGGTGTTTGGGTTCCTGTTCCTGTGTTAGTTTGCTGAGAATGATGGTTTCCAGCTTCAACCATGTCCCTCCAAAGGACATGAACTCATCATTTTTTATGGCTGCATAGTATTCCATGGTATATATGGGCCACATTTTTTTTATCCAATCTATCATTGATGGGCATTTGGGTTGGTTCCAAGCTTTTGCTATTGTGAATAGTGCTGAAATAAACATACACGTGTACGTATCTTTATAGTAGAATGATTAATAATCCTTTGGGTATATACCCAGTAATGGGATTGCTGGATCAAATGGTATTTCTGGTTCTAGATCCTTGAGGAATTGTCACACTGTCTTCCACAATAGTTGAACTAATTTACATTCCTACCAACTGTGTAAAAGCACTCCTATTTCTCCACATGCTCTCCAGCATCTGTTGTTTCTTGACTTTTTAATGATTGCCATTCTAACTGGCATGAGATGGTATCTCACTGTGGTTTTGATTTGCATGTCTCTAATGACCAGTGATGATAAGCTTTTTGTCATATGTTTGTTGGCTGCATAAATGTCTTCTTTTGAGAAGTGTCTGTTCATATCCTTTGCCCACTTTTTGATGGGGTTGTCTTTTTCTTTTAAATTTGTTTAAGTTCCTTGTAGATTCTGGATATTAGCCCTTTGTCAGATGGATAGGTTGCAAAAATTTTCTCCCATTCTGTAGGTTGTCTATTCACTCTGATGATCATTTCTTTTGTTGTGCAGAAGCTCTTTAGTTTAATTAGGTCCCATTTGTCAATTTTGGCTTTTTTTGCCATTGCTTTTGGTGTTTTAGTCATGAAGTCTTTGCCCATGACTATGTCCTAAATGGTATTGCCTAGGTTTTCTTCAAGGGTTTTCATGGTTTTAGGTCTTACATTTAAGTCTTTAATCCATCTTGAGTTAATTTTTGCATAAGATACAAAGAAGGGGTTCAGTTTCACTCTTCTGCATATGTCTAGCCAGTTTTCCCAACATCATTTATAAAATAGGGAATCCTTAACCCATTGCTTGTTTTTGTCAGGTTTGTCAAAGATCAGATGGTTGTAGATGTGTGGCATTATTTCTGAGGCCTCTGATCTGTTCCGTTCCATTGGTCTATATATCTGTTTTGGTACCAGTGCCATGCTGTTTTTGTTACTATAGACTTGTAGTATGGTTTGAAGTCAGGTAGCGTGATGCCTCCAGCTTTGTTCTTTTTGCTTAAGATTGTCTTGGCTACATGGGCTCTTTTTTGGTCTCATATGAAATTTAAAGTAGTTTTTTTCCTAATTCTGTGAAGAAAGTCAATGGTAGCTTGATGGGGATAACACTGAATCTATAAATTACATTGGGCAGTATGGCCATTTTGACAACGTTGATTCTTCCTACCCATGAGCATGGAATGTTTTCCATTTGTTTGAGTCCTCTCTTATTTCCTTGAGCAGTGGTTTGTAGTTCTCCCTGAAGAGGTCCTTCATATCCCTTGTAAGTTGTATTCCTAGGTATTTTATTCTCTTTGTAGCAATTGTGAATGGGAGTTCACTCATGATTTGACTCTCTGTTTGTCTATCATTGATGTATAGAATGCTTGTGATTTTTGCACATTAATTTTGTATCCTGAGACTTTGCTGAAGTTGCTTATCAGCTTAAGAAGATTTTGGGCTGAGACAATGGGGTTTTCTAAATATACAATCATGTCATCTGCATACAGAGGCAATTTGACTTCCTCTCTTCCTATTTGAATACGCTTTATTTCTTTCTCTTGTTTGATTGCCCTGGCCAGAACATCCAATACTATGTTGAATAGGAGTGGTGAGAGAGGGCAACCTTGTCTTGTGCTGGTTTTCAAAGGGAATGCTTCCAGCTTTTGCCCGTTCAGTATGATATTGGCTGTGGATTTGTCATAAATAGCTCTTATTATTTTGAGATACATTCCAACACTGGTTAGTTTATTGAGAGTTTTTAGCATGAAGGGGTGTTGAATTTTATCGAAGGCCTTTTCTGCATCTATTGAGATAATCATGTGGTTTTTGTCATTGGTTCTGTTTATGTGATGGATTACATTTATTGATTTCCGTATGTTGAACCAGCCTTGCATCCCAGGGATGAAGCCGACTTAATCCTGGTGGATAAGCTTTTTGATGTGCTGCTGAATTTAGTTTGCCAGTATTTTATTGAGGATTTTCACATCGATATTCATCGAGGATATTGGCCTGAAATTTTCTTTTTTGTTGTGTCTCTGCTAGGTTTTGGTATAAGGATGATTCTGGCCTCATAAAATGAGTTAGGGAGGATTCCCTCTTTTTCTGTTGTTTGGAATAGTTTCAGAAGGAATGGCACCAGCTCCTCTTTGCACCTCTGGTAGAATTCAGCTGTGAATCTGTCTGGTCCTGGGCTTTTATTAGTTGGTAGGCTATTAATTACTGCCTCAATTTCAGAACTTGTCTATTCAAGGATTTGGCTTCATCTTGGTTTAGTCCTGGGAGGGTGTATGTGTCCAGGAATTTATCCAATTCCTCTAGATTTTCTAGTTTATTTGCATAGAGGTGTTCATAGTATTCTCTGATGGTAGTTTGTATTTCTGTGGGATCAGTGGTGATATCCCCTTTATCATTTTTATTGCCTCTATTTGATTCATCTCTCTTACCTTCTTTATTAGCCTGGCTAGCAGTCTATCTATTTTGTTGATCTTTTCAAAAAAACCAGCTCCTGAATTCACTGAGTTTTTGCAGGGTTTTTCATATCTCTATCTGTTTCAGTTCTGCTCTGATCTTAGTTATTTCTTGTCTTCTGCTTGGTTTTGAATTTGTTTGCTCTTGTTTCTCTAGTAGTTTTAATTGTGATGTTGAAATGTCAATTTTAGATCTTTCCTGGTTTCTCCTGTGGGCATTTAGTTTTATAAATTTCCTTCTACACACTGCTTTAAATGTGTCCCAGAGATTCTGGTACGTTATGTCTTTGTTCTCATTGGTTTCAAAGAAAACCTTTATTTCTGCCTTAATTTCGTTATTTACCCAGTAGTCATTCAGGAGCACGTTGTTCAGTTTCCATGTGGTTGTGTGGTTTTGAGTGAGTTTCTTAATCCTGAGTTCTAATTTGATTGCACTGTGGTCTGAGAGACTGTTTGTTATGATTGTTATGATTTCCATTCTTTTGTACTTGCTGAGGAGTGTTTTACTTCCAATTATGTGGTCAATGTTAGAATAAGTGCGATGTGATGCTGAGAAGAATGTATATTCTGTTGATTTGGGGTGGAGAGTTCTGTAGATGTCTGTTAGATCTGCTTAGTCCAGAGCTGCGTTCAAGTCCTGAATATCCTTGTTAATTTTCTGTCTCGTTGATACGTCTAATATTGACAGTGGGGTGTTAAAAAGTCTCCCATTATTATTGTGTGGGAATCTAAGTCACTTTGTATCACTCTAATAACTTGCTTTATGAATCTGGGTGCTCCTGTATTGGGTGCATATATATTTAGGATAGTTAGCTCTTCTTGTTGCATTGATCCCTTTACAATGATATAATGCCCTTGTCTCTTTTGATCTTTGTTGGTTTAAAGTCTGTTTTATCAGAGGCTAGGATTGCAATCCCTGCTTGTTTTTGCTTTCCATTTGCTTGGTAAATATTCCTCCATCCCTTTATTTTGAGCCTACGTATGTCTTTGCACGTGAGATAGGCCTCCTGAATACAGCACACTGATGGGTCTTGACATTTTATACAATTTTCCAGTCTGTGTCTTTTAACTGGGGCATTTAGCCCATTTATATTTAAGGTTAATATTGTTATGTGTGAATTTGATCCTGTCATTATGATGCTAGTTGGTTATTTTGCCCGTTAGTTGATGCAGTTTCTTCATGGTGTCAATGGTCTTTACAATTTGGTATGTTTTTGCAGTGGCTGGTACTGTTTTTTTGGGTTTTTTTTTTTCCATATTTAGTGCTTCCTTCAGGAGCTCTTGTAAGGCAGGCCTGGTGGTGACAAAATCTCTCAGCATTTGCTTGCCTGTAAAGGATTTTATTTCTCCTTTGCTTATGAAGCTTAGTTTGGCTGGATATGAAATTCTGGGTTGAAAATTCTTCTCTTTAAGAATGTTGAATATTGGCCCCCACTCTCTTCTGGCTTGTAGGGTTTTTGCAGAGAGATCCTCTGTTAGTCTAATGGGCTTCCCTTTGTGGGTAACCTGACCTTTCTCTCTGGCTGCCCTTAATATTTTTTCCTTCATTTCAACCTTGGTGAATCTGACAATTATGTGTTTTGGGGTTGCTCTTCTCAGGGAATATCTTTGTGGTGTTCTCTGTATTTCCTGAATTTGAATGTTGGCCTGCCTTGCTAAGTTGGGGAAGTTCTCCTGGATAATATCCTGAAGAGTGTTTTCCAACTTGGTTCCATTCTCCCCGTCACTTTCAGGTACACCAATCAAACATAGGTTTGTTTTTTTCACATAGTCCCATATTTCTTGGAGGCTTTGTTTGTTCGTTTTCATTATTTTTTCTCTAATCTTGTCTTCACGCTTTATTTCATTGAGCTGATCTTCAATCTCTGATATCCTTTCTTCTGCTTGATCGATTTGGCTATTGATACTTGTGAATGCTTCACAAAGTTCTTGTGCTGTGTTTTTCAGCTCCATCAGGTCATTTATGTTCTTCTCTAAACTGGTTATTCTAATCAGCAATTTTTGTAACTTTTTTTCAAGGTTTTAGCTTCCTTGCATTGGGTTAGAACATGCTCCTTTAGCTTGGAGGAGTTTGTTATTACCCACCTTCTGAAGCCTACTTCTGTCAATTCATCAAACTCATTCTCTGTCCAGTTTTGTTTCCTTGTTGGCAAGGAGTTGTGATCCTTCGGAGGAGAAGAGGTGTTCTGGTTTTTGGAATTTTCAGCCTTTTTGCACTGTTTTTTCCTCATCTTTGTGGATTTATCTACATTTGGCCTTTAATGTTGGTGACCTTTGGATGGTTTTTTTGTGTGAATGTCCTTTTTGTTGATGTTGATGCTATTCCTTTCTGTTTGTTAGTTTTCCTTCTTACAGTCAGGTCCCTCTGCTGCAAGTCTGCTGGAGTTTGCTGAAGGTCCACTCCAGACCCTGTTTACCTGAGTATCACCAGCAGAGGCTGCAGAACAGCAAAGATTGCTGCCTGTTTCTTCCTCTGGGAGCTTTGTCCCAGAGGGGTAACCGTCAGATGCCAGCTGGAGCTCTCCTGTATGAGGTGTCTGTTGACCCCTGCTGGGAGGTGTCTCCCAGTCAGGAGGCACTGGGGTCAGGGACCCACTTGAGGAGGCAGTCTGTCCCTTAGCAGAGCTTGAGCGCTGTGCTGGGAGATCTATTCCTCTCTTCAGAGCCATCAGGCGGGAACTTTTAAGTCTGCTGAAGCTGCGTGCACAGCTGCCCCCTCCCCTAGGCGCTCTGTCCCAGGGAGATGGGAATAAGCCCCTGACTGTGGCTGCTGCCTTCTTTCAGACTTGACCTGCCCAGAGAGGAGGAATCTAGAGATGAGGTCTGGCTACAGTGGTTTTGCCGAGACGCGGTGGGCTCCACACAGTCCAAACTTCCCGGTGGCTTTGTTTACACTGTGAAGGGAAAACCACCTACTCAAGCCTCAGTAATGGTGGACGCCTTTCCCCGACCCAAGCTCGAGTGTCCCAGGTCACTTCAGGCTGCTGTGCTCGCAGCAAGAATTTCAAGCCAGTGGATCTTAGCTTGCTGGGCTCCATAGGGGTGGGATCCGCTGAGCTAGACCACTTGGCTCCATGGCTTCAGCCCCCTTTCCAGGGGAGTGAATGGTTCTGTCTCGCTGGTGTTCCAGGCGCCACTGAGGTATGACAAAAACTCCTGCAGCTAGCTTGGTGTCTGCCCAAATGGCTGCCCAGTTTTGTGCTTGAAACCCAGGGCCCTGGTGGTGTAGGCACCCAAGGAACCTCCTGGTCTGCGGGTTGCTAAGACCATCAGAAAAGTGTAGTAGCTGGGCCAAAGTGCACTGTTCCTCACAGCACAGTCCCTCATGGCTTCCCTTGGCTAGGGGAGTTCCCCAAATCCTTTCGCTTCCTGGGTGAGGTGATGCCCCACCCTGCTTCTGCTCACCCTCCATGGGCTGGACCCCTTGCCTAACCAGTCCCAGTGAGATGGGCTGGGTACCTCAGCTGGAAATGCAGAAATCACCTGCCTTCTGCATTGATCTTGCTGGGAGCTGCAGACTGGAGCTGTTCCTATTTGGCCATCTTGCCAGGCACTGAAAAAAAATCTTTAAAAAAAAATGCCTGCATGATGAAAAGGATTTCCTATTTTCATTTGGCTTATTGTGAAGTCACTTGGAGCTAGCAATGGGGCTGGAGAGCTACACTGGGAAGCCTGAATACACACAGGACAGGAGACTATTTGAACTAGTCTGAGGAACTAACCTGAGCATCCAGGTTGATGTACAATATAGAGTCTAAAGCTCTGGTGTGATTGACAGTTGTTGATACCAGGAGTTGAGACAGTGGAGTGGCAGGGTACAGCAGTGACAAGTTTATTCTATGTTGGACACTTGGGCACCAATTATTTCTAATCTTTCCATAACTAGTAGAATTCTGCCCAGTGGGCTGCAAGTACAGGAGATGGATTCAGTTTCTGAGAATGGATTTGGCAAGAGCCCAGAAGGATGCAAAGGCCTCTGTCAAAACATCTATGTACCTCATGCATCTTGGAATGGGGATCCAAATGACACTTTGTTTTTTAAATAGACCAACTTGAGAAACAGAGACATAATGGTCCTAGAAGCTATTGCATTGTATCCAGATTTGGGTGGATTTTAGATTTAGAAGAAAGACCATCTTTATCAACGGGACTGAAGCTGATGATATATTTTTTGACTCAATTATGTTTTATCAGTAAACTGGAATAGGACCAAGGATGGAGGTGGGAGATCATGAGCAAATGTAGAGGAAAACACATGAGGGCAGTTTTCCTAATTCCCAAGCTACAGTAAATCTTTTTCTGACTCCCTGAAGCCTCTTATTATTTTTTTTATGGGATTCATTCCATTGGGCTTTGAATAAAATTTTACAGTTATCTTTTCCTCCACTGAAACATTATAAATGTGCAATGGGCAGGCTCTGGAATTTGTGGAGGACATAGCACCATGCTTGCCTGTAGGATGTTCTCAGTAAATATTTCTTAAAGTAGATTAATTCCTTCATAGTATTGTTTACTATATTTCTGTAAGTTGTACAGTCTTATTTATTTTACGAATGGGGCATGTTTTCAGGGATGGAACTAACAGTCTATGTCATGTTTCTTGCTGTCATTTAGTACTCTGGACTTATTTGCCTCTCTCCTAAGGGTGTCGCAGTGGCCTGTTGAATTAGAAGAAAAAAGCAGATAAATGCATTCAGCATCTTTGCCAGAAAAGGAAATAAAAATAAAACATTTTATTAAGTCCTTAACTCCCAGTGTATCCTCTGTAACTTTCCTCCTCACATGCTGGGAACTTTTCGTATTTTAATGATGACCTTTTGTACAGCTCATGACAAATTTCAGATGGTGAAAAGCATTTAAGCAAGGAGGTAAAGGATTAAGTAGACTGCAAATATTCCTTGTTGATCAGAGTTGTATGTGCCTCTGCTTTTGTTTCCTCTTAATACAACTGCAGATGTGTCATTTAAAACTCATGTAATTAGTAGCAACTCTAAGTAAATCAGCTTTAAACCCTAATGGTTTCAAGGAGAGAGTTAGTTGCATGATTTATAGCTAAAATAATCAGCATTTCAAGCATAATACTTTTTAAAATGAAAAGTCAGACCTTTTCCATGCATTCCTTTTTAAAATTCTCTGTCTTCTTATTAGGGTAATTTTATGTTCCCCAACTAAAAACTTGCCTTCATTAGGCAGATTAGCATTCATAGGATGTAGTGATTTGATAGTGCTAATGGCTTCACATTGCACATCTTTTTTTTTTTTTTCTGAGACAGAGTCTTGTGCTGTCACCCAGGCTGGAATGCAATGGCGGGATCTCAGCTCACTGCAACCTCCGCCTCCTGGGTTCTAAACGATTCTTCTGCCGCAGCCTCCGGAGTAGCTGGGACTACAGGTGTGTACCACCACGCCCAGGTAGTTTTGTATTTTTAGTAGAGATGTGGTTTCACCATGTTGGCCAGGCTGGTCTCAGCTCCTGACCTCAGGTAATACACTCACTTCGGCCTCCCGAAGTTTTGGGATTACAGGTGTGAGCCACCGCACCTGGCCCTCACATCTTAGCATTACATAATCATTTAATTTCTGGGAAAAATTTACCTGTCAATGCTTTTCTTAATATTCTTTTTCTTCCAGAATGTTTTGGCTTCTTAGTGAATACAATAGATTATGAATTTACGTATATAAGGTCTTACAGAAAATATTTGTACTAACACATCAGGAATTATTACAAGTCAGTAGTTAGTTTGTACATGATATGAATCAGTTTTGTTGTAAACTTTTTAAAACAAAGCTTGTTATTATATTTAAGACACAATTTCAGTTATTTAAAGAAATATTCTCACCTATTTTCAAAACTCATAGGAGCAGCTTCATCTGAGTATCCTAAGAATAGAGAAAGATTTTATCCACAAAAGATATTCATCCAAAGAGTCTCCTTGGTAACACAGAACAACTGTTTTGAATAAAGATCTTATAAAACATATAGTACAGACTTTACATCTTAGAGTACAGAGCACTGAGGTCCAGAGGGGTTAGTAATGTATCTCTGGAAACATAGCTTGTTAGGGGTAGGGCAGCCCAGTCTAATTTTTTTTTTCTTTCGCTGCTGTTTTAGTTTTGTTTTGCACCTTCACCATTTATTTATTTTTATATATATAAATAAATAGTGAAAATACGTGTATGTGTGTGTGTCTTTTTTTTGTTCACTTTTATAAGTATAGATTCATCTGTCTTAATGAAAGACTTTTCAACACTCCATCCCATGGTCTGTTTAGTGTAGTTGCTATAGCATTGAATTTCAATTACGTTTGTGGACTCATGGACAGTTATATCAGGAAATCACTCATTTATCAATTTCGTTTGCAGGTTTCATTCTGGAATACTCTGAATTCAAAAGATTATGCTTACATGGGTTTTTTGGAAACAAATTTAACTTTTAAAATTTTATTTATTTATTTTTGAGACAGAGTCTTACTCTGTCACTCAGGCTGGAGTGCAGCGGTACAATCACAGTTCATTGCAGCCTCAACTTCCCGGGCTCAGAAGACCTTTTTGCCTCAGCCTCTCGAGCAGCTAGGACTACAGGTGCACACCACCATAAACAGCTAATTTTTTTAATTTCATTTTTATAGAGACTGGGTCTCTCCATGTTTCCCAGGCTGGTCTTGAACTCCTGGCCTCAAGCAATTCTCCAGCCTTGGCCTCCCAAAGTGCTGGGATTACAGGCATGCGCCACTGCACCTGGCCCACTTACATACATGTTTTTAAATTGTTTGCTGATGACTTTTCTTGCAAGGCATATAATATTTATAATAAGGATATCTATATCTATATATATAACCACTTCTTCAAACAAATACTATAGGCATCACTGACCCATCTTGCATCTGTATAAGCTGAAGAAGTCAGATCCCAACCTCTTTTCTTCCTCACTACTCTAATCCTTACCACTTTCTATCAACCTCTAGAATCTCTTCCTAGTGCCCATATTTTGTAACACTTTCTGCCCATTAAGAGACTTGAGGTCTTAACTATAAAGGTTAAATGGGTCTTTGTGGTTTGCTCTAAGAGCTAAGAACTATTATAAATAATTTAATATGTGAACATTTGTTTGAATTAGTGACTGCTCTGGGAAACCCGTAGTCAAATTCTTCACTATATCTCCTGGTAACGTTCAAAATACAGGAAACAAATGGGATTAGTAAATTTGCCTATTATATGTGAAGCATGTGCTCTGTGTACATCTCCCAGAAGACAATATCTAGATGACTCACAAAATGGAACATACAGTGTTGGCTAAATTACCATGAGAATCTTCCCTTCCAGAAATTATGCTTGCTTGCAAATTTAATATCGTCAATAGAGAATAGAGACCTGTTTCTAGAATCTACAAAAAACCTTCACAGGATGCATACTGTGTGCTGAACAGAGTCTGGGCACTGGGAATGCTGTGGTGAACAGATTCCCTGACATCCAGAGCACACATTATCATAGGCAAAGACAGACAGTAAGTACATAAATGAATAAATACAGAAAGGAATTACAGAGACTAATAATAATAAGTGTCATGTAAAAGATAAAATAGGTTAACATGAGAGAATGACTGGAGTCTATTTCAGGTAGGAAAGACTTCTCTGAGAAGAAAACATTTGAGTTGAGACTTGAACCAAAACATGGAAGCAGCCAAAGAATGTTCCCGGCAGATAATCTGCAAGTGTTAAATCTCTGATGCACGTATTAGCTCTGTTTGTTCAAAAGACAAAAAGGAAGCCAGTATGGCAGGCACCTTCTGTGATGATGGAGAGAAAAGGAATGAGGTTGGTGAGGAACACAAGGAACTCACAGGCAATGGCCAATCATTTCATCTGATTACAACTGAAAGCCATTGAAGGTTTAAGCAGGAGGTGACATATGCTGGTGTATGCTTTTACACACATAACTTGGATTCTGTACGTTGAACTAAATGCAAGGGACAAAAATAGAGGAAAGGAATTAAATTGTGATGCTGTTACAGCAGTTCAGTGAAAGATGACAATAGCCTGTGCAAGGATCATGTTAGTGGAGATGATGGCAAATGAAGGGGCTTGTTGATAGACCACATAGAGTGGGGAAAAAAGAATGAGATGAAGGATTACTCTTAACTATTTGATCTAATCCACTGGATGGGTGGTAGCTCCATTTAATGTAATGAAGAAGATTTAGGACAGAAGAAGTCAGTTTAGGGGGAGGAAGTTTGTTTGTTTTTTTTTTTTTTTAATGGAGTTTCGCTCTTGTTGCCCAGGCTGGAGTGCAGCGACGTGATCTTGGCTCACTGCAACCTCTGCCTCCCGGGTTCAAGCAATTCTCCTGCCTCAGCCTCCTAAGTAGCTGGGATTACAGGTGTGTACCACCACACCTGGCTAATTTTGTATTTTCAGTAGAGACAGGGTTTCTCCATGTTCGTCAGGTTGGTCTCATACTCCCAGCCTCAGGTGATCCAACCCCTCGGCCTCCCAAAGTGCTGGGATGACAGGTGTGAGCCACAGCACCCAACAGGGGGAGGCAGCTGAAATAAGTAATTTAATCTTGGCCATGCTAGGTTGGAGTTGCCTACTGGACTTCCAAAGGAAGATGCTGATGAGAAAGTTGGATGTATAAACCTGAAATGTGGGAGAATATTCTGGGTGAAAGACATTAGTTCAAGAGTCATCTGTGTAAGCACAGCATCTAAAGTCATTAATAGGGATGAGAAAGGAAGCTTACATAGAGAATAAAGGATAATAGAAAAAAATTCCTGGGAATCACACTATTTAGAAGTTTGATAGGAGAGAAGTACAGAAAAAAGACTAAGAAAGAACGGCCAGTGTTGTAGACAGAAAATCAAAAGACTGGATTTTTATGGAACCTGGAGAAGAAAATATTTCTGGCATCTAGGAAAACTCAACCAGTCAACTAGCTTCAAAGTTTAAGTTTTTTAAGGATAGAAAATTGGCCATTGACTTTGGCAAGATATAAATCACAGGTAGTCTGGAAGGAGGTATTTCAGTGGGGTGGTGAGAATGGGAACTTGCTTGGAGAGGGTTAATGGAAGGTAGAAAGTGTAATAACAACTCTGGGAATTTTCTTTGAAAATGTTTCCTTGAAGGTGAGGTCTATACCTTCATAATGGTGGTACTTGGAGGGATACTTAAATATCTTTTAATTAGATGGTCTAAGACATGTTTAGTACATGGACGGAATGACCTGGTAGGAAGGTAAGAGGTACTGGTTGCAGAAGAGAAATGCTCTAGGGAACTTCTTCCACAATACAAGAAGGGGCAACATCTGAAGACCAATGGAGGGATAAAAGCAAGGCTATTTTCACTATTGTAAAAAAGAAGCCCAAATGTTTGGATCCCAGTGCAATTCAGATTGTGGAATCAATGGCCAGAAGATAGTGTGGCTTCCTTCAGCTTGTATCCATATTCTCCATAAAAGGTAAAGTTAATTAGTTGAGGGATGAGGGGCTAAGTTCTAGAGATTCAAGGAGGAAAATATGAGATTATTTTCTTATTAAAAGGGAAAGTGAATATACTTAGTAAAGTGAGATCTGATTTCCCAGTGTTGGTAAGTTAATAAGATTATAAGGTTGTCACTCCTAACAATTTCTGCCCCTGGTGAGGTAATCAAGGCATCAGAAAAACTCCCACTTTTAAGCAGGTTCCAGAAGGGCCTGCATAATTTCATGGTTATGAACTTCTTGTCTGCTCCCCAAGACCAAACAAATCATTCCAGTTCAGATGGATTCTAGATTTCTCAGAGTTTTAAAATAATTCTATTTCTAGAGAAGACTAAAAAGCGTTGTCAATAATATCTAAACTTTTCCTAGCGTTCCCCAGATAGCGAATAGAGGGGACAGTAGACTGTGTGGATGTTGGTTTCCCAGAACTTTTTTCTTGTTCTGATTTTAAGAATTTAAATAAGCCTGCTTTATAAATATGAGTAACTTCTGATGTGTCAATGTTCTAAATCAGTCAGCATTGTGTAAATTGATAAAAGATGACAGAATAAAGACATTGAAGGCCAGAGTGCTATCTAAAGAAGTCTCACCTGGGTCAACTTCTAAAGAAATCTTAGAGATATTTCCAAAGATGGACACAAAACTCCAAGGAAAATAAGCATTAAAATGATTGCTGAGAAGCACTATTCCAAAGTGCTTATGAATAAACCACAGAAGTAAGATCTAGGCTGTTTGATATAACAAATATGTTTTCTGGACTTTGTCACTCACAGCATCTCACAGAACCAACAGAATCTCCTGACATATATGCTAAACCAATGATCTCTTCATGAATTGAAGAATCAGTAGCGCTGGCTCTATTCCTGATTGTCCCTAGGAAAATATAACCATGCATATGACTAGAGCAAGAAGGCAGTGACTAGAGTTAATATTCTATCATTCATGTTTTAGAAACATTAAAAAAATAAGTCAACTCAATTTTTAAATCCTACCTTGACATTGGGTATTATTTATTTCCACCCTTTATAATAATCTCCTAAGTTAATATGTTCTTATTTCAAAATAACTTACTTGCAATTGAACTTTTGGGAGACAACTTATTCCTTAGTCTAGGTTTGCCTTTAATATAAATGAAATGCATTCCCTTCTAAAGCTCTTATTTTTTTAAAACCCTAGTCTTGGTAATAAATACTGTGTGCACTTTACATGAAGTGTAGGCTCTGACCCACATTAAGCAGTATATATGCTCCCTGGTCTTTATAAAGAAATATCTATGAAATTACTTATAATGAGACTTTCTGAACTCAAGACAGTACGATGTATAGGGCCATTTTCACTGAACTCTTGACACTGGCCGTAAATGCATTAGTATCTCCATTTACTTCATAAAACTATCATTTACATTTATAGTATGCTTTTAGAAGATATTTGTTATAATAAATGGGCTTCTTCTCTGCTATCTTTAAGCCAGGTATACCTACATGAAGCTTCTATACATACTGCTCTTTCACCCCTTCTGTAAGTATGGGGAAATGTAAAGTTTGAACCTACAACCGATGCCAAATGCAGTGGCTACTTGTGAAGGTGAATTAGACTTACAAATGCATATATCTCCCTTTAAATTGCAAAGCCACACAGCCAGGAAGAGTGACATTTGATTCAGCTCAGTCTTTGAGGGCAGAATATAATGGGAGACTGATACATAAAGCAATAACTCTGAGAGGCCAAAGTGAAGGCACTGCAGGCAGGGAGGAAAGAAAGAACATTTCTGTGAAATAGTGTCTCAAATGTGGCCTCTTCTGGAGACTCTTTTCCTGCTCTTTGAACCGCTTATTTGACTTGTCATACAGCTTCATTTTTATAATGCTATTTACAGCACATTTGGCATTTTGCTGTCATGATCTCTTCACCTATCTTCTCTTCTACAAAACTATAAGATCCTCCAAGTTTATAACTATGTCCCACTAATCTTTGGGTTACCAGGACCTCAAGTAGGAATATATGTGGAATGAGTAAATTTAGAAAATGCCACTTCACACAAAGCAATATTTTTGAGAAAAATAATAGCATGTGGATTGGAGATATTAACCATCCAGGAGTCAGAGAAATTCAGACCTGCACAGAGTATATCATCCACAGTTGCAAAACAATAGACATCTTCAAAAAGTTTAGGGGTTCTTCCTGGGCTTGGGATTTATCCTTCTCTCAAGGGGACATGATGAAGGCTATGAGTGTTGCTGCTCTCCACTTCAGAGAGCAAGACTATGTAGCTTTAAATACTTTTTACTTTTGTGACAATGAAGCTCTATCGTTTTCATCATATGGTGAGGTCCATGAGGCCTATGACTCCATTTCTAGCTTCCTACACACTCTGTCATATAAAGCCTTCTAGTAAGCCAGAAAAAAAACACTTGTTTCTTGCAAGATTTAGCATGGGCTTTATGATGAAACTTTTATATATGCTGCAAACTGTGCCTAGAAAACCACCCCACTGTGGCCATTTCATTTCACCTAGTTAATTCCTAGTAGTCCTTCATGAATGGGTCAGTTCAAATCTCCTCCTCTGTAATATATTCTGTGACTTTCTAGTCAGTTTCAAATGCCTCTTGTCTGATTTCTAAGGGCAATCTCAATGTATTTTTAAAAATTATTATTCATAAGGAGCACAGATTTCTATTTAGAATCTTAGTTTTGGAGACACAGATCTGGACTCAAATTCTAATTCTGCCACCTTAAAGCTCTGTGATCGTCATAAAGGTGCCTCTTATATCTATTATCTTCCTATCAAATTAAGATGGTAATACCTACTTCTTTGGGATAATATTAAGATAAAGTGAGATTATGTATATCAAATAATTAAATGTGGATAAATTTTTGGTACATTAGAATTCAGGATTTTATTATATTATTACACCTGCTGCTTTTGTTTTTATTTTGATAGGATGTATCACACCTGATTAAAATTTTGACTTATTTAATGTCTTCTACATTGAACTTGAGGGTAGGGATAACGTCTTGTTTCATTTTATATCCCAGTATTGGCACAGGACAGGTACTCAGCAAGTGTCTGCTGGTTTAATGAAGGCATTAGAATAATAGTACTAAGCATGCATTTAGCCATCTTCTTCTCTTTTCTTAATTTATATTTTTATACCTTTTCTGACAAAAAATTTATTCACCATCTTCTCAATGAATAACAAAGGAGGAAGAGAGAAAACACACTCATACATTCAAATAATTTACAATTCACTAGGGAAAGAATAAGAAACTGACATAATTAGCTCTCAGTAAAAAATAATCATTTTACATAGGTGAAGAGAAAGAACTCTCTCTACCATAATTGTTTTAGGAAAGAAAGGCATTTACTTAATAAGTTGATCTTCCAAATAGAAGGCTCATAAAAGAATAAAAAGCCAACTTTTCAGTTACATCTATTCAATTAATTTTGTCTCTACAAAGACAGTTTTATGCTAATGATTGTGTGTGCATGTGTGCGTGTATGTCTGTCTGTCTATCTGCCTATCAATGGTTTCTTTAAAAATATTTTACTTATCTTTTTTGGGAAGCGCAAAACATGAGATAGTTAAATATGTTTAGGTTCAGAATGTACTATTTTGAATAATAAAGTGATAAAATGTTCTCATCTGCAGTTTTTTCTTCTATTATTTCAATTTTAAGTTGATAAACTTCAAGTCACCAGGCAAGATAAATCATTTAAATTATTTGGAAATGGGAACCTTCTTGTAATGACATAGCGTTATCATAAATGCAAGAATTAAAATGAGCTGTGGCTACGGATGCTGATAATTCAGTGGGCGGTGGGGGAAACCAGTGAGCAGGAGGTCCTAACTTCTCATGTCTCTAGTGGGACAAAAAGTTCTCTGAGGAATAGTGCCCTGGTTATAGGCTGGGGCTTTTTTGGCTTGCCTCTTGCTAATTTTGATGATGTTTTATGACTTAATCAACTTGTTGGCTTTTCCCTAAATTCATAGCTTAATGACAGAGTTACAGTCATGGCTGCATTCTCAGCCACATCTACCTTGAGTTCAGACTCTAGGACATCGAGAATATCCTGGCTTGGGACCAAGGATGAAGGTTAGGAAGGTGGATAATTGGTGTCCTTACTTCAGTTTTTTTTTCCTCATTCTAAAACTCTCCTAATAAATGTGTTCAGGATTTAAGAACATAGAAGCTATTAAGGATTCAATTTGCTGATGTGGAAGGATTGGATGAGGTATTTTGCTGCCTAATTTCTCTAGCTCACTGGAAAACTCTATGGAATAGCTTATCATATTATTATCTTCTTTCTCATGCTTTTTCAACAAATTTTTTTCATAATGGTTTGTCTTCTGAAACCTACGAGACATATCATGGCACAGCAACTTTTGAAAAAATATTACAATCAAAGGTACTGTTCTCATTTTTCTTTCCTAGAAATAACAAGGTCTGAGGCATGGAAGTATCTATGTTTTATAGCTTCAAACTACATGCTGCAAAACAGACAGTCCAGCTCTCAAACAACCAATTTACAAAAAGTCATTGGCCCTTCTTCAAATTTCTAGACAGGATGTTGGGGGCCACAGTCACGGGCCTACCTTAGATAATTATTGATAGCAAAGAGTTGGAAACAAGGGAATCACGAAGTAGCACAATAAATACATCATTTTTAGACTGGCATCAACATTGGGGCCAACAAACAGTGTTTTCCTTAGTTTGCCTTCTTTGTAGAATGTAGACCGTTAGATCACTTAAGGCATAAAAGATGGTTTGAACTGAGAAGTCATAACCTAAACAGTCAATCATCTAGCATTTCACAAATTACGCCCAAGCACTCCAATTCAGTGTGTTAGTCTTAAAACCTTCAGTTTATATACTCCAGACTAATCTCTTTCTCTCTCTCACCATCTCCACTACCACTGTCTGAACTCACTGATTGTCTCTTACTGGCTCTTGCCTCGATTACCAAAGCAGCCTTCTAACTGGTTTTGTCCCTCTAAAATCTGCTACCACATAGCCACCAAGGTGATTTATCTAAAATTCAATTATGCTAGGCCACTTCACTACCTCAAAGCATCCTAAAGGTTCTCTAGGATTTGCTGGGTAAAGTTCAAGGTCCTTATCTAGTTTCCCAACATCCGGGCCACACCTTTCCTTGGAGGGAATAAGTGTCCTTATAAAGATCCCATATATATAGGTTTTCAGTTTTCTGTGTTGAAAGATAAACATATTTTTAAATTTTAATAGCTTTTACCAGATTATTTCCCCCAATACTAAAAATAGCATAAAACATTTGATGCTACTGATATCACATAAGTAGTAAAGTAAAAATTGTTTGGACTTCATAGTAAACCTTGTTTTTCATATATCACCTGTGTTCTCAGTCATATCTCTCACATATAAAAAGGGGCTATAATATTACTACTTTATTAGGGTATTGTAATGAATACAAGAAAGCCAAGAACAGGATTTTTTATGTATTAAGTACTAAATAAGTTTAGCTACTTAATTGTTAATATATATGGATCATAGCTGGGCGCAGTGGCTCACGCCTGCAATCCCAGCACTTTGGGAGGCCGAGGTGGGTGGATCACTTGAGGTCAGGAGATCAAGACCAGCCTGGCCAACATGGTAAAAACCCGTCTCTACTAAAAATACAATAATTAGCTGGGCATAGTGGGGCATACCTGTAATCCCATCTACTTGGGAGGCTGAGGCAGAAGAATCGCTTGAAACCAGGAGGTGGAAGTTGCAGTGAGCTGAAATCGTGCCACTGCACTCCAGCCTGGGGGACAAGAGTGAAACTCTGTCTCAAAAAAAAAAAAAAAAGAAATATATATATATATATATATATATATATATATATATATATATGTATATGGATCATTACTGGTGATTTCTCTCCTTCATGTTTGTCAATGTTTACAAGTTTCCATGTTGAACATAATATCGCTTTACAATCAGAATGAAAAAGACCAAAATATTTTTTAAAGGTAAATAAATAAGTTAGAACTTTAAAGTCACCAATAGATAAAATCCCCTTAGTCATGTTGTACTATTAGAAAACTCAGTAGCTTGCAAAGCTTCCTTGTGATATCATCTCTATTTGCTTTAATGTTATTGGTATTTTTTTCTCTCATTAAAAATACGTATGTTATTTTGAAATTCCCTGCCATCAATTGAAATAACAATTTTTGCTAGATCTTAATGGCAAATAGCACATCATACTGATATTTGCATTCCAAGTAACAAGTGCAGTGCTTAACTTACAGAAAAGCCTTGAAATATATCGGTAACTGAATGGATGGACTCATTTTCTGACTATAGTCTCACTTTAGAGTAAGCAAGGCATGAGCGGAATACGACATAAGCTGATGGGATAGAGCATTTAATTTTCTTGTTGTCCTTTCTTGTTGAGTTTAAAGGCTACAAGACTAAGAAATCCTTTTTTTATAAGAGTAAGGAATTACAAAAGTAAAAAAATTTATCTAACATACAGATTATTTCCGTAAGTATAGTCTAAATACTTATTGAGCATTATTTATAAAATTTAAGTACAAATGATTCTTGCTTTTCACATTAATATTGTTCTTACTTCTGGTTTCAATATGGTGCTGCAGAAGCAAGCTGGCTTCACTCCCCCCAGAAGAAGTGAGAAACAAATATACAGGTGATCGAGATGATCACCAGCAATATCCCAGAACTTAAATATGAGAATGAGACAGTTCCAAAGGCAACAGAGAAGTGAGAAAACTCAGAGTGGGACATAGTAGTTGTGACCTACAAAGTTGCTGTCAACACTGAATCAGTGAATACTGAGTCAATGTTCCAAGGGGAAATACAAGGTTAGGATCCTGCGACCTTTTGATCAAAACATCTTCATCAACTGATGAACACATAACCTTGTTTCATATGTGTTTAAAAATGCATTATTTAATATATATTTCTTATAAATAACTAATTATATATGGATTTTGTTGTAATAAAAACTAGCAGAGAAGGGTCTATCATTTCCCTGATGCTGGATAATGTGACTGGAAATTTCTTTGGCTTTCAGCTTTGCAACAATACTATCAACTACACTTAAAAAAAAATCAATTCTTATCTCATGAAACTACAAATTGAGCCACATTTCCACGTCTTCCCTAGCTCCCTCATACACCATACACGTTACTGTAGCACTTGCTGGGGTAGTTTCATGTACAGATTAGAAAATTTCCTCTTTCTTTTTCTGGATGTATGTATTGTTGATTCACCAACATTAAACTTAGGGACAATCATATTCTAACACATGCCTGAACGAAATTTATCTAAAACACGGATTTTTCTCTCATTAAGCCCAGCACAGCCTTCTTTGTGCTTAGGAATATAAGACAGCATTTTAGCACTCTGCTTGGAGGCCATTTTAAACAGCAAAATCATCAGCAAACAGCACAAAAATGCAAAAATGTGGTAGTAAATAAACCACATAAAGAACACTTAAGGCATGAGAGCTGAAAAAACCAGAGCAGCATCTTGTTGGGCCTCAGCTGGGTCACTGCTCTGTGCATGCTTAATTCTGTGAATGACCACGAAAGCATTGAGTATTGATTGAAATTACAGATAAATTTTAAAGAATAGGTGAATCTGGAAACATGGAATCTATGAATAATAAAGATTAACTGTCCAATATTTCTTGATTTACAGAAATAATAATAACTATAGCAATGAAAATAATATGTCACTGACTGATGGACAATATTACTGTTTGGATATCAATGAGTGTATATTTGGATATGGTAAAGGTAGTATTGAAGATAGTACCTTTAGTGAAATAGATGGATAGTTGAATAAATGACATTGGTATGTGTGTAGCCAGCTGGAGCAAAAACAAATTTGAATTCTAACATCATACCTTATATAAAAACAAATTAGGTTGGAAGAGATGTTTAATTTAATGAAGAAAACATAAAATATGAGAAAAAATTTGGAAATATTTTTGAACCTTAGAATGGGAAGTTATTTCTAAATATGACTCAACACTCTACAACTATTAAATACATTAATAAATACACAAAAAGATAAAACTTAATGAATTATAATAAGCTAACAGTAAAAGACAAATTGATAAAAAATTTTATAGTTATATCATAAAAAGGCCTAATTTCTATATAAAAGCTTTTATGAATCAGTAAGAAAGAAATCCATAACAATTTTTAAGACTTTATTTATTTTTAAAGCAGTTTTAGATTTACAGCAAAGTTAGAAGGAAGGTACAGAGATTTCTCATATACCTCCTGCCTCTACACATGCATAGCCTCCTCCATTACCAACATGTTCTACCAGAGTGGTACATTCGTTTTAACTGATGAATCTACGTTGACACATCAGAGTCACCCAATTTCTAGAGTTTACATTAGGGTTCACTCTTGATGTTGTAAATGTATAATGACAGATACCCATCATTATAGTATCATGCAGAATATTTTCACTGCCCTAAAAATCTTCTGTGTTCTGCCTAGTCAACCCTCCCAATACCCCAACCCTCAGCAACCATATATCTTTTTACTATCTCCATAGTTTTGCCTTTTCCATTATGTCATATAGCTGGAATCATATAGTATGTAGCCTTTCCAGATCGGCTTCTTTTACTTGGTAAAATGTATCTGAGATTCCTCCATGTCTTTTCATGGCTCAGTATTTCATATCTTTTTAGCACCGAATAATATTCCATTGTTTGGATGTACCATAGTTTATCCATTTACCTACTGAAGAGCATCTTGGGTTTTTCCAAGGTTAGGTAATTATGAAAAAAGCTGCTATCACAGCTGCAAATTCTTGTGTGAGTGTAAGTTTTCTACTCCTTTGGGCAAATACCAAGAGCTGAATCATATGCTAAGAGTATGTGTAGTTTTTAAAGAGACCACTAAACTGTCTTCCAAAGTGGCTGTACCATTTGCACTCCTCTAGCAATGAATGAGAGTTCCTGTTGCTCCACATCCTTACCAGCATTTGGTGTTGTCAGTGTTCTGCCATAGAACATACAACACCAAGAGTGAGCCCTAATGTAAACTAGGGACTTCGGGTGATTATGATTTGCCAATGTAGGTTCGTGAATTTTAGCAAATGTTCCACTCTGTTGGGAAACATTGATAATGGGGGAAACCAACTGGGCAAAGGGTATACGGGAAATCTCTAAACTTTCCATTCAATATTGATGTGCACCTAAAACTTCTCTAAAAATAAAATCGACTATTTGGATTGATTTGGACAAGGGATTCAGGAATTTGGATATATTAAATGTGTATAAATATTAGAAATCCAGATGGAGGTGTAGATAATTGAAAAAACATTCTGAAGTTTAGGAGAATGGTCAGGGTTGAACATAAAAATTTTGGAATCATTGAGTTTACATGGTATTTCAAGCCATCAACTAGATAGAACCAATAAAGAAGTATAAATGAAAAGAGAAGATGATCAACAACTGAGCCTTGGAGAGTGACAATAGCAAAACCTTAGGGAGAAGAAGAACCAGCAAAGAAGAGTAAGACATAACAACCAGCGAGTCATGACGAATGTAAGTAGAGTTTGTGTGTATGAAGTCAACTGAAAAACGTGTTCCTAGGATGGTGGACTAATCTGTATCAAATGCTGCTTACAGTTCAAATAAGACATGAGTGAGAATTAGGTACTATGTTTAATAATGTGGGGGGTCACTGGTGATCTTGACATGAACAGTCTTTGTGGAATATTGGAGCAAAAGCCTGATTGGGGTAAGTTGAGAAAAACAGAAAGAATGTGAGAAGTGTGTGTGTGTGTGTGTGTGTGTGTGTGTGTGTGTGTGAAGGGGAGAGAGAAATGGGTAGCTGGAGGATGAAGTGTTATCAAGAGAAGGTTTTTAAAATTAGGAATTATAAAAGCATGTTAGTATAATGATAGAAATGATCCAGTATGGAGGGAAATATTTATAACAATGAGAGAGAGGAGAGATTTGCAAATGTAGTGTCCTCGAGAGGTAAAGAGGAAGGCTTTGCCCTAGTTAGAAGGACGGATATTCATTCATAGGCATAGAAAAGAAGTAGATGAATGCAGATGTAGGTAAGGGATGGATGTGGGAACATGCAGAAATTCTTGTCTGAGCCCCCTTTATTTTCTCAGAGAATTATCAAGCAAGGTTATAACCTAAAAGTAAGTGTGGGTAAGTCGAGAAGTATGAGGAGAAAAGAGAAGGTATAATGTAGAGGTAAAGGAGAAGGAAAGAGTGGTGGCCTAATTCCAGGCAACACTAATGTCTCATTTGAGGTTACTGATCATAAATTTTAAATGAGACCTGTCAACATGGTTGTGAATTTTTTTCTAGTCACTTTTAACTGCACTGACAGAGGTACAGAGTAAGCAAAAAGTAAGATTTAACAAATGCTAGAGTTTTGTCAAGGGCATATACTATTAATTGAGGGAAGGTCATAACGGTTGAGGATGTATGAAAACAATAATATATAATGATGAATTGAAGAATTTAAACAAGGAAATATGGGAGTGGGGACATGATTGGAGATAAGGGGCTGTGCAAAAATGTTAGAATTGATGGATTCTAGGTTGTAGTGGGACCAAGTATTATTGGAATCAGAGTACTACATGAAATAAGCTGAGAAGTAGGAGCTGGATAATGAAAGTGAGGTTATATGAGGTTTGCAGTTACAGAAAATGACAAGATCTATACTGAAAGCATGACCATATGATTGCCTGAAGGTGAGTGGAAGTCATAGTCATCTGGAGGACAGAGGTCAAGGGACTGAGAGACCACTGCATTGAAGGGTATTATAAAGATGATTATTGTAAATATTGAAATTACCAGAAAATGTAGCAAATACATTCTCAAAAGCACTGTCAATGAATCACAGCTAAAATATTTCAAGAAAGGAAGAAATGACTTCATGGCCAAAAAACACCACAATTAGTAGAAATAGTGGGAGAATCCATTGATAACACAACTTGCAAATATGAGGGCTTTTGATTAATATCCTCTTGAAGAAAGGAGTGAAAATGGTTCTTTTAACAATGGAGGAGGAAGGGAAACAAGGTGTGCTCTGCCACCCTTTCTGTCATTTGCATGCCTATCACATCTAATGGCACTTGAAACCAGCAGATGGAAAACAGAGGTGTTTAATAAAAATTCTGGGACTCAGACGGTCAATCAGCAGAGGAAGAAGGAGGTACTACAAGATGCCACTAATCCTGAAATATGGAAAATAGAAAGCCTGGATAAATTTAGATAAGGGTCTGTGTGACTTCCTGGATTATTACATGCTATTCAGAGATTGAATTCTTTTAAGACCTTATGTTTCAACATTAGGGAAAGTATAATATGGTTACTAAAAAAGAGGAGATATCTGTACTATTTCTTAACAGCACAAAATCTGGAAGAGAGGAAGCTAAGCAAGATTGTTGGCTAATAGGACAAGAAGACTGGTTTTTCAAGGGAAGCATAGAATCATTTATCACATTTCTTTTTCTTTCCTTTCTGAATTGCCTTGAATGCTTTTTGGGGGTGAGATAAAAATTTCTCTCTAGTTTGGTCCCTATCACTCCAAAATATCTTATATCTATGGTCCTCACAAATGCATAATTTCACATATTCAGGTCACATGACTGCAAGGATTTGAGGGTGAACTCCCACCCAGAGCAAAGAAAGTGCTAACCCATCATTGTGGATGTTTTAGAATTCACCTTGAACTTTCTGTTCAGTTTTAAGTACTATGCTTTAACAACCTTGAGCAAACTTAAAAATATTTTGTTAAGCTAAAAAGGTGAGACAAACAGGGACAAATGTATGATCTCATAGATAAGAAGCATAAGTATAGGTAATATAAGTCGTAATAACGATTCCATGGAGAGTTATATTGACTGGAAAGGCACACATGAAGTAGTTGGGTGGACTGAACTGCTCTACATCTTGATTTGTGTGGTGGCCTCACAAGTGTTTATATATATGTGCAAAAAATCATAGAGCTGTGTGAAGATTGGGGTAGTTTACCGTATGGAAATAAAGTACTGAAAAAAGTTTTAAAAAGCATATTTTAAAAAACTGGGAAGAAGCACAGTAGAACAGCTAGACTGCAAATCCACCAAATAAAAGTCACCCCCTCCTTATTCCATAACCTGTACCATAAGAAAAATAAGTACTAGTTAAAGTTGAATAAAGGAGGAGCCTGAGGAAAATAAGCTGAAATCTGATTATAGGGAACATGACAACAACTCCTGAAATACTTCAAAGTGGAAAAACAGAAAGCTGTCAAGAGGAGAGAGTAAGTCTGCTGTTCCTTATGGCCTCTTGAGTCAAGTAAAATCAGTGGTAGAACCAGAAGAAAAAATTCCATAGAATTATAAGGAAGAATATCACCTGAATATGGTTTAAGTGTTTTTCACTTAAGCATTGGTTTTCAACAATTTTCTCCAATTAATCTTCAGATCTACTTGTTTAAGTGAAAACTTACTTAGAAGTTCTGTTTATGAAAAAGGGGGAGTTGCTGTGGCTGAAGTAGGATGTCGGGACTTACCTGTTTCTCTCCCCCAGGTGTCTCCTGGGGAGAACCACAGTGCAAGGATGGGCAATGCCTTGCTGAATGATCAAGAGGAATTCTAGTGTCTCATTACTTCTTGGACTGAATGGTTTTAAAAATCTCTTTTATCTCATATCTTATGAGCTTAAGATTTGAGGATTAAAGGGTTTTGACTATGTCAAAAGCATCTGGTGATTTTAATGTTCCTTTCTAGTGAGTTAGTATTTGCAGTGGTAAGAGGTGCTACAGCCTTCTAATTCATAATGCTTGCCTTAGAACAGATGGATAAATTATACATATGATTTTAAACGTATTATTAACTGTAGAGACATAAGAAAGAGATTGTCATGTACGTCCCTGGATAACTAAACACATGATAAACTAATAACCATTTAGATACGGAAAGGAGACTGGCAGGATTACAGCTTCATTGCCCTGTTAAAGAGTGTGATGCTAAGGTATTGAACTTTCTTACACAACCAAAAGGAAACCTTCAATTTCACACGTGAAAGGATGGAAGGATAATCCTCAAGCCAAATGTCCAGAGTAGATAAAAACCTTGGTGCAACTGTAATTTACTTTTACAGATAATACCCCAGTTTCCCAAAACATGTTTAAAAAGGCTCATACTATTCTTATTTCTAACTTCTTTTAAAGAAGAATAGAATCAGACGTTTACTAGTTATATCTTCGGTGCTTTTCTTTCTAGGTTAAAGGAAAACCACTCGTTATATCCCATGTACAATAACTAATATAATTTATTAAAATGAAAACAATAATTATGAAAGATACTTGTTCTTGGATCTATTTTAGTTTCTGGGGAAAAAAATCTTTTCCTCGAAGAGCTTATATTTTAGTATTAAGACAGACTCATCAGCATTAAGATAGAATGTGATGGAGCTATAATGATCTCATTCAGTCCCACAGCTTTAAATCCCTACTGTTTGTTGATTTCTCCCATTTTCTCTGTAACGCCCACTCATCAACGTCTCACAGATCCTATTTCAGGACTGCAAGGGTTGAAAAATTCGATCTGGGTTTTCTACAGCATCTTCAAGACAGCATACCTTAACTAAGTTCATGTTCTTCCTTTCCCCATCTGCCTTCCAGGAAATGGTTTTATTTTTTCCTTGTTTTCTTTCTTAGTTGGTGAATAGCAACAGCAGACACCCAAGCCAGTCATCTAGGTGCTTTGTGGGCAACAGAGAACTACCAAAGAGTTTTGAGCATGAGAGCAAATTTAAAAGTAGTGCACAGATATAACAGTAGAACCCAAGGATTTATAAAGTGGAGATATAGCAGAGGTAGAGTTCAATAAGGAACCTATTATAATAATTGATGAAATTTTAACAATGTCAGGGAAAAAGAGGAGTTGCCTAATCCAAGGACCCCAGTAATTAATTAAATGCCATTCTCCTTTTACTGAGGAGCAAAAATATAAAGTAAATATTTATTACATTTACAAAGGGTATTTCTAAAGATGGATCTTGCATATAGAGCTCTGCTATAATGAATACTTAATGCTTAAAAGATGAACAGAATAACAAAGAGCTTGGAAGAAAAAATATAGACGTGAAAATAAAGACTATGGAATATGATGCCACAGAAATGAGATCAGAAAGTATATAGAGGAAAACAGTGCAATGCAATGTAGTAAACAGTTGATACAACTTATCACATATGAGTTTGGTTCTCTTAGTTCAGAAAGATATTTTGACCAATAAGCCATTTTTTTTCTTTGTGATTGCCATTACCATCACTTGGTATTAAGAATGTGTGTGTAAATGTGTGTTTTCTTTGTGTTACTTTAGGTGTCTGCTGAAACAGGAAGGCAAGTTATTCTGTGTTCTTTAATTAGGCGGTGATAAAGAAAGAATACAATTTATTGTCTACAAAAAAGGCAAGTCTATGTTCAGAAATTCCTAGATTTCTTGTATCTACTGCTTAGTTTTTCAAGCATACCCACACATTTTGAGTTTTAAGAATTCAAATTTAACTTTCAGAAAACATAATCTGTAATAGTCAATAATAACTATTTAATTACAGCATAAATATACAGTACTCAGCTTAAAGGGAGAAGGGTAATGTAATGTGTCAACTATACTTCACTTGTAGAGACATCTAATTGGTGACAGATAACTAAGGTGACTATATCAGTTTTTGACCAGAATGGAATACTTCTAAGAGTAAAAGTGAATATCCAAATATGTCTTGTATAACAAGACAAGTTATACAAGAACTCTCTTAAGCAAACTAGAATCTATATCCCATAATCGATAGATTATTATATTTTCGTCACAAAATGATAAATAATATGGAAGAATGTAAGAAAATTTGCTAAAATATATAGTTAGTACAGAGTATCTTATTACAAACGATAATGTATTAATAGTTTAGAGATCATCTAATAGTTGAATTCTAGAAAATCTTGTTTAAGGTGTCCCAGAATTAAAAACTAAAATGAAGATTACAGAGCTTATCTGTTTTAGTATTAAATGTATGTGAGTATGTAAACTCAGTGAGGCTGGGAGGGAGTGGTATGAGAAAAATAAAAGTGTTACAAACCTGTGTACTGGGACAATTTTTCTAAAAATGTGTTTGAATCAAAGCCAACTTTACTTTGCGCAACACAAATCAATTATATTCCTGAGTAAGAGAAAGTAATAGAACCAATAGTGGTAGGACTCCATCTTCTGCTGGGTTTGGGAGTAAATAACCCAATGGAAGGATGTATCAGCTTATGGAGAAAAAAAAAATCACTGGGCAAGGGGCAGATGGGAGCCTGGATTTTCAGGAATGAAGAGTAGATGGGGAGGAAGCACTAAAGAAGATCTTAACCTTGGTTTCAGGCCAGGTGAGGCATGGTAGTTGATATTTTAACATCTCATTGGCTAATGCCCTGAAACTCAATTTTACTGTTTCTGCTCTTCAAAGAATGGGAAAGATGATCATCTTCGCAAATCTCTGGTCCTTTGAGGCCACTATAAGCCGTGTCCATCAGGCAGGGAATCCTGCCTGGGTGGGTATATAAAAACGTATTGCCCTGGAGCAAAGAGTGACAGCATGATAAGTGTATGAGGTGGGAGCAGGCGGGGGGCTGAGGGTGGAAAATGACTGGGCAACGAACACACTTTTAATCCTTTTGGCAATTTACCCTTTAGACAAGCTTTCTTTCCATTAAAAAAATGCTCATGCTTAACAACCAGATGAACAATGAAGCTGAGTAGGGAAGCTTAAAATAGAATTAAAGCACCAAAATAGTCTAGAAAAGCCATTCTTGAAGATAGTCCTAGATGTTACATTGCTACAGTATGACCCTGAAATAATCTGTGATTCTCTATTCTTAAACACACACATCATAACTCAAACATTCAAAGAAGCTGTCTTGTATTTGTATACGCAAACTACAATGACATTTGCTCTTTTGTAATTATTTTTCTTATCACAAAGATACAAGGAACAGCAAACTCTATTGTCATTATACTGTCTTTGTTGACTCAAAATGAATTTACTTGGCTTGATCAATTAGAGAAAAATATTAATAGAAGGTAAAAGTTAGATTGATAGTATTGTAAAGCTATCCAGCAGAGTGTTGTCTTCTGTTTGAGAGATAATCTGTTGAACAGTTTCTTCTTTGTTAAAAAATTTTGTTTTCAGTCAGAATGTTCAGATTTTTTTTTAAGTCAAATTTACTTGTCAAGGTTTTTTTGTGACCAGATTTTTAAAAGAGATTTATGGAGATATAATTTACATACCTATAAATTCAACTATTTATTCATTTTAAAAGTGTACAGCCTGATGATTTTTAGAATATTTATTCAGTTATACAACCACTACTACAATCCAGTTTTAGATATTTCATCACTTTTCAAAATTTTGTCATGTCCATTTGCAGTAAATCCTTGGGACTTAATTTGGATGTATTTGTATCTTAAATTATTTAAATTTCTCAGAAAAGTTCTGAGATGAGGTTTCTGTGCTCAATGTGATCAGAGGGTTTGCGTGATGTAATTTCGGACACTGAAAAATCTTTATTCTTTTTTATTCTGCTCATGTTTCAGTTGCAAAACTTCAGTTGCAAAATAGTTAAGAAAATTTCCTAAATTTTATGCACTACTGACAGAGCAAGGGACTGCAGACCAGCTCTTCTAACTCTTAATTCAATTTCCTCTGCATACTAGACCACACTCATATAACTCTCCTGTGAGCCTGTTTCCTCAAGTATAAAGTACAACTGTTGAAATGGGTAATATTTCATGTCTTTTCAGCTTCAACACTGTGTGATTTAAACTCATTTCTGCTTAATTTCTACTGACTCAAGAATTCTATTATGATATGTGATAGAGGTAAATATGAGTGTCTGGTTCAGTCATGATGTGTGGAGCTAGAAAGCGCTATTTTATTTTTTAAAAATCACACTTTTATTAGTAAAATGGCAGCCCTACCTTTTATGTGTTATCTTAATATACCTATCAAAGGAATGCTGCTATTGGATAACTGAGGTCACATGCCAGGAGAGAATTATGATTAGTGTCATATAATAGTTACAAGTAAGGAAATAAATGCAAGAAAATTTCCTTGACCTCAACTTTACATAGATGTAAATATGTTAATATCACAGTGAGATTTTTCAAGTGCATAAATATAAAATTACCATTATGTAAAGTCAGTCAGTAAAAATACTGACTTTTCCATTTTTAAGAAAAACACTAATCAGTTATTTATGAGCATATGTTTGTATTGATACTACAAATTTTAAATTATGTTATGAAATCTTCCACAAATTAATGGTAGAACCCATTTAGCTGGAAGACCATTTTTAGAAATATGGTATTCACATTCTAAACATTAGTCAATTAATCTTATGAACCAATTCATTCTGAATTTTTAGAGCAATCATACTTCCATTAACATTCTTACATGGCACTTATACATACATTACACACAATATACACATACATATATGCATATGTATTTATATGCTGACATAGTTTTCCTAATTAAGGGGTGTAAATAGCCATTTTGTGAAACCATAAAGATAATTATTAAATACAATGTCATCAAAAGCAGAAACCAATTGCATTATAAATAAGTCGATTATTTTGATTAATGTGAGTAGTCAGTACCTTCAAATACCAGAGAAACTTCCCTGACACTGCGTTTGACATCAGTGACATTTCTGATTGGAATGCATCGTAAGTAATAGCTGAATTCATTAGTTATTGGTATAATTAGAATATGGAAATCTATTCAAATCTACTTATTGTTTGGGGAATACAGGAACTTGTAGAATAGAGTATGACTAAGAAACACACAAAACCTTACCAATTTAATGGCAGAATTTAATTTTATTTTGCCAACTTCAAAATTCATATATCACATCATAAACAAAAGAAAAAATAAGTATAATGCAATAACTCTTTTTAAAAAATAGCTTTAAGAAAGTCAAATGTATTCTGATGATGCCTGTATGCTTCTCCACACATTTCCTTAAAGGTATTTAATTACACCTGTTTTGTAATAAGATTGTGCTAGTTTATGATTAATGAGGTGAATTGGAATAACAAAGGGCTATTTTAATAATCCTATTTCAACTCATAAAATAATTTTCCCTATTCTTTTATTGCTACTGTTGTTGTGGTGGTGGTGGTTTAGAGATAGGGTTTCACTGTCACCCAGGCTGGAGTGCAGTGGTGAGATCAGAGCTCACTGCAGCCTCAAACTCCTGGGTTCAAGCAAACCTCTGGCCTCAGCCTCCCGAGTAGCTGGTACTATAGGAGTGTACCACCAAGCCAAGCTAATTTATTTATTTTTTTTAATTTTTGGTAGAGATACGATCTCATTATGTCTCCTATTCTTTTTAAAGATACTTGTTTTCCACATTACCAAACTTTAAAGATAATAATGTATGCTGACATTCATGTATTATAACTTATAAAACATGTGAACCAATTAATTTACTTGAGTCTTCACTTCTTATCCTTCTGGGAATCATATCACTACTGAAACGCTCTGTTTCTTCTCTGAAATTTAGAGATACGCTTTCTATAATTCGATTTTGGGATTCTGATTTTTCAACAGATCATTATTTGCTAGGTGAATTCCCACATCTGTCATTTCACTGTAGTCAAGGAATTCTCTCTCTCTCTTTCTGTCTCTCTATCTCTCTTCCTCCTACCCCCCTCTCCACATCATGCCATATGTAGTCTTTAGCACCTAGAATAGTCTGTGTCAGATTCATCAGACACATTCACAAATTCCTTTCTCACTGTCAAGTTCTAAGAACTAGCTTCATAAAATGATAACTTTTATGGTCAACTAGCTTTAATATTTTCTCTCCGTTTCACTTCACAGATATATATATGTATATATATATATACACACACATATATATTTTGCTCAAGAAAATCGCATTCATACTAAGTTGTAAGAAATTCTATAAAATTAAATATCATATCTATTAGTTTTTACACTAATACCTCACTTATTGAGAAAACTGTTTGAAGCAGTTAGGTGATTGGTATGAATTTCTGAGATAAGCAAAGGCATGATACCCATCTAACCCATTTGCAGTATTTATAGACAATTATTATTCATCATACATTTTAAAAATGTAGTTTTATCAAATACGCTTCATACTTCTCCTGTGTATTACTATAGATTATACTATTCCCAAACTTTTACAAATGTAGTTGAGGATTTCTTTCCTCCTTTCTTGTTTTCCTCCTTATCTTCTTCTAAGTAAGACTAAGGTGAAAGCCTACATCTTAGCATAGGTTACATTATGAAATTCTGTGTCAAGTATACCTGATCAAGAGAATATGTTCAAGTGATTCTGATAGAAAGATTGCCTGATGTAATAGTAAAACCCTAGAATATGTCTGCTATGCTCTAGTTTTGTGTACCTCTCTTCCAAAATCCATGCATTAAAATTTTGACTCTTAAGGTGAGGATATTAAGAGGTTAGGCTTGTAATCCCAGCACTTCGGGAGGCCGAGGTGGGCAGATCATGAGGTCAGGAGTTTGATACCAGGCTGGCCAACATAGTGAAATGCTGTCTCTACTGAAAATACAAAAATTAGCCAGGCGTAGTGGTGCACGCCTGTAGTCCCAGCTACTCTGGAGGCTGAGGCAGGAGAATCGCTTGAACCCGGAATGCAGAGGTTGCAGCGAGCTGAGATCACGCCACTGCACACCAGCCTGGGAGACAGTGCGAGACTCAGTCTCAAAAAATAAAATAAAATAAAATAAAATAAAATAATATAAAATAAAATAAAATAATAAAACAAAATAAAATAAAGAGGTGGGGCTTTGGGGAGGTGATTAGCTCATGAAGGCATGCCTTCATGAATAGGATTAGTTCCTTTATAAAAGAACTTGTTCGCCTCTTCCACTAGGTGAAGACAGTGAGAAGACGTCTTAACCATCTATGAACCAGAAAGCGGGATCTCAGCAGACACCGAATCAGCCGGCACCTTGATCTTGGACTTCCCATGTTCCAGAACTGTGAGAAATAAATTTCTGTTTTTTATGAGCCATCCATTTTATGGCATTTTGTTATAGCAGCTTAGACTAAGGCAATGTCCAAAGAGTCAGACCCCTGAATCTGACAGCTGATGATCTATTTCTACTGATTCTTTAACAAACATACTTTAGTTTTCGTTCATTGATGGCAGAATACTTTGGAAAAAAATTGTGCAGAATTTTGATTCTTTGGTTCTATCTCTATATCTCCGTTTCAGTTTTTCAAATTAAAATAAGGGCAAAGCCTGCATTACAGAGAACATGATGTGAAGGTAAAAGGACATAAAATGACTTAAGTGTATTTTGAAGTGAGACAAAATGGCATATACATTTTTCAGGATCAATGAGACAAATAATCCTCTAAGAGATTTGGCAGCTATTAGCCTCTGCTTGCCCTTCCGTGGGACATAGCTGTGGACTGATGGTAATGCAAGCATCTGTGGATGCAATTTTGTTAGAGAGTCTCTAATAATCATACTATGTGTCATAATACTTTATTTTACATTTTAATCTCCCAATTTAAAGGAGATTTTATGGACTCTTCAAGTAAATAGTTGTCAGTTTCCTAACGCCATTTTACTTTTTGTATTTTTCATACACATTCAGATATACTGATTTTATTATTTTGTTACTAATTTTCACAAAAAGATCTATCTACCTAAAATTCATGTCTTAACTAGCTCCTATTTCTACCTAAAAGGTATTTAGGAAACTGTTATTACTGAACAGTGAAAACATAAATGACATTTTTATATTTTAATATTTCAAAAGTAGTTATACTAAAAATTTTGGTTTAATGATCTATGGTAACTGAAATTATCACATCATAAATGATGTATGCTTAAGTAATTTAACATAATGCATTTGTCTGCCAAACTTTCTCAACTTCTTTAATAAGTCTTTGCCAAAGAATACCCAGACAACAAATAGATACTGCAGGGTAAATTAGTTCTACCCTCCATTATCTTGATGAGGACACTCTCTTTGCTCTTTTCAAAGGAACCTGCATTTATTGATAGACAGTAAAATATCTTTTCCTTATATGTGCAATAAACCAGCAAATATGTCCTTCCTTTTCTCAAAAATATTTATCTGTTAAGATGGTATCTTTGTTTTTAATTCAAAATATAGTTACGGTGTTTTAATACCAACAAAATGCATAGCGGTGTCACAGTCAAAAAGTTCAGACATGGTTCAACAATGATTGTGAAACTACATGGTTCCAGTTCATTCTGGGACTTTAACCTAATTAATATCTCTTTTAAAATAGGCTGTTGGTCCCTATTTATTATTAAAGCATGTGAAAGCTTCATTAATTGTTGTATATTTAATAATATTTTTTCCTAACATTATTGAGCACAATTTAACATGTCTGACACATAAACATCTGGTTTTGTTTCTTTACTTCCTCCTTCCCTTCTGATATGGTGTGGCTGTGTCCCCACCCAAATCTCATCTTGATACTGTAGCTCCCATAATCCCCACATGCCCTGGTAAGGACCTGGTGGGAGGTACTTGAATCATCTGGGCAGGTCTTTCCCATGCTGTTCTCGTAATAGAGAATAATTCTCATGAGATCTGATGGTTTTATAAAGGAGAGTTCCCCTGCACACATTCTCTTGCCTGCTGCCATGTAAGATGTGACTTTGTTCCACATTCACCTTCTGCCATAATTGTGAGGCCTCCCCAGCCATGTGGAACTGTGAATCCATTAAACCTCTTTCCTTTATAAATTACCCAGTCTTGGGTATGTCTTTATGAGCAGCGTGAAGCAGACTAATTCCTTTCTGTCTTCCTTTTCTTCTCTCTCTTATAAAACTTTGCATTTTATGAAGTTAAAACAAGACTTGGTTGAATGACTTATCTCAAACTACAGAATATGAATGAGATATAATTTATAATTCAGTTAATTTATGCATAATTACATACATGCTGTACATAAAATGATACTTTGATAACCACATTGACCCACAGAATACGAGATAATGTATTTGGATATATATATATATATATATAAGAGTCCTTACATAAGAATTGGCTAGAGAATGTTTCTGTGCCAGTCCAGTCTGACTTCCTCTTGCTTTGTCACCTAGATTCTGCTAACTGTGCTGTGGTTGCCCATGCTATTTTCTCTTCAGCCTAGTGGCACTGCTATTTTTACTAGAGGAAAATCCAGTCTGGATGTCAGTAATGAATCAACATTCAATATAAGGTCAGATTCTACATTAGCTATATCGGTAAATAAACCATGCTTCCCTCCTGTACTTTGTAAATGGCAGACAGCTTGTTACAAATTGCTAACTTGTTTATTTCTGTTTGCATGGATCTGAAGTTCTGTTCAGCATCTCTCTTCCTTAGATGCATCTGTGTCCTGCCTCTCTATTTTGCTTGTTTTACTTTTCCTCCATAATAATGGAATGGCATTTTAAAATTCAGCTGTTTTTGTGCCGGGGATACTATTTAGAAACTGGATGAAAGCTGAAAGCCAGTCTCCCATGTGGTTGCCATTATAGTCCTTGTGTGATATTGTTAAATGTTCTTGGCCAGAGCAACACAGGGTTTTACTATTTATTGTTATTAAAAAAACTCTGCTATGGACTACAGATTCACCAATGTTATTTCATAGATGTTTTAACAATTAATTGTGGTGTTATCCTCATTGAATAGCTAAATATATCTCAAAGAAGCTTCATCACATTTCTAGTAAAGTTACAAAGCCACTATGTACAAGATACTGATATAGAGACAAAGAAGACATGATCCCTTCCCTTAAAGAACCAGTCTTTGAGTGCCGTCCTGATCTTTCTATTATATTATAATCATGCCAAAGGAAGAGAAAAAATATTATTTGTTGTCTGAAAACACATGCCACCATGTGATAAATATAAAATCCTCATGCTCCTTTTAATATCGTCATTTAAAATACAAAGGAAATTATATTCAATAACTAAAAGACAATCAGAGCAAGGAGAATACCATGCTACTTTATTTTCAAATTACACATTTTCTATAAGTCCACAGATTCTTTTAAAATCCACAACTTTGCCTACTCCAGAGTATTTTTAGGCTTTCATCTAACATATGCATAGAATGGTTTGATACTAGAATTATTTCTCAGTAGAATTGTTTTCTTTTCTTCTTTATTGACATTAAACATAGCATAATTTTATTTTGCTAAAATAAAATTAATTAACTACTTAATAAGGTCTCTGATGTAAGCAGAACATGAATCCCTAAACTTATTTGCCATACCAATTTTCATTTCTCTATAATATTCCACAAACTTCTAGGATTTCTAGGGTACTATTTGCTCTTATTATGAGAAGGTGTATTCTGTGATAGACAGCATCAGTCATGCTTGTTCAAATTACATATAAAATTTGGAGTATCTCAAAGGGGTTTTGCCAATTTTTTTCTTTGTTCCCCATTTCTCAGTGTGTACTTTGGTAAGATATTAACTCATTCAATAAAATTCCTCTCCATAAAGTTCAAAAAGTATTGATTATTTATTCATCATTAATGTCGTACCCAAGAACATAGTACACATATGCACATGCCTTCTCTGAAAACATGTGGGAAGAAATTTATGACTTTTAAGTTACTCACTATGTTGAACTTTAGTTTTTTCAGCTTGTTGATTTCCACCAATCTGCAGAAAGGAAAGTAGGATATCATATTCATTGCATACCTTTGTGTGATTTGTGCCATAGCGTATCTCTGTTAGTATAGATATAACTAAGATGCATTGTTCACATATATTATTAGAAAAGAATCTAGTTCTGTCCAATATATGTGCTATACTGTAGTACTCATTATTTCAAGATACAGACATATTAGAATTTTGATACTTTTCATCTGTAGTATATGCATAAATTCACATTCCAAATAAGTCAGCACTGCAGAAAAATAACCTTGATGCAATAAAGCTCATAATAATGTTGGGAGTTTTATTTTCCTTACCACACTTGATGCTTGAAATAAACTAGAATTCCCTACATCTGGCTTTGAGATGACAAACTTGCATAGTTTTCTATGACTAAAATTTCTAGTCATTGAAAACAATTTTATTTTTTCATCTCTTCTTTCTGAACACATACTTTGAGTACATTTTCCAGCCTCTCTTGCATTTGGTCATGGCCATGAGACTGAGTTCTAGCCAATGGAATAAGAGCTAAAATGATATATGTCACTTCCAATTCTGGACCATAAAAACCTTTCTTTGCTTCTCTGCCAGTTGGATATTGATATCAGGGCAACCGTGGAGTTCTGAAAATGTTTGAGTCTCTATCCTCCTGGTCCATGAATAACTGCATGGAGCAGCCGCTCATCTCCATACCCTCCGCCCACTGAACTGGAGGCATCTTGGTTGTTACATGAGTTAGAAACACATTTCTATTACATTTAAATCGTTTTTATAGTTTTAATTTATTTTTTATAATAGTTAGCTCACCGTCACTAAAACACTTCCTCTAATGATTACAGTTATTACAAATTTCTGTATATTAACATGCCACAATTTGGCCCTACTGCAAATATTGCAAATACAGACATGCAGAATGTGTAGAACCATTAAATTATACAATTTCATCAATCAATCCATTTGTCAAAAACTAAGCTTATGAAAGAAAGTCTCATGATATGTAAAATATTCAAAATAATTGCAAAGTTATCAGCACCACAGAAAAGGGGAAAAATAAATAAAATTTAAAAAATAACAAAATCAAAAAATTTACAAGTTAAAATTCAGTGCATAGTTGAATGTTCTTAGTATGTGGTGCACAGCATTAGTGCTGAAGTCAAAAATCAAAAGTATTCAATTTGGTGAGTTTGGACATATATATATACACTCATGATACTATCACCACAATCAAGGTAATTAACATCTCCATCACCTACAAAATCTTTTTTTGTATACATTAAATATGTATAGTTTTTGTACATTAATTGTATCTCAACAAAGCTGAGGCATGTAAGTAACTTGCCTTCAATGCTTCAATGCTCTATATCAAGATACGGATATAGAGTATCTTGCTTACTATAGTTTTGCTTTGCTTTTTATAATTGTAAGAGACAGTGGTTTCCATTAAATCAAACTATCCCTTACTGTACCTAATTCATTCATTTAACAAACATTTCTTGAGTGGTTACTATGTACTATGCATGGTTCTAAGCATTTAGTATACATGAGTGAATAAAATAGACAGAGATGTTTACCTTTTTAGAGCTTACATTCTAGCAGGAAAGTAGAGGAAAAAATTATAAGTAAGTAAATACATGATATATTAGGCAATGATAAATATTACTAAAACGTAAGTGGAGGGTGATGTTGTATTTCAGGATGCAAATTTAAATAATGTAGTCAAGGTAGGCTTTTGAGGAGGTGAAAATATTAGTTATCAGGATATTTAGGAGAAGAGGCTTCCAGATACATGGAATAGCCACTTCTGTAAATCAGGAATGCACTTGGCAGGTTCAAGGATAAGGAAGGCACCAGTGTACTGACTGCGGCAGTAATGAGGGGAAGAGTTGTCAGAGAGTAGGTCAGGCAGTTAATTAAAAAAAGGGGGCAAATTAGGTAATGCCAAATGGATCACCATAAGCACCTTGGCTTTTGTTCTGTGAGAAATGCAGAGACATTGTTGGGTTTTTCACAGAGAAATGATATGATGTGACATATTTTAAAGAACCACTTTGGCTACTAGAAAGGACTGGGAAGAAAAGAGTGAAATCTCAGAGACCAGATACAATGTTATTGCATAACCCAGGTCAGAGAATGATGTTAGCACAGACTAGAGTGGAGATGTAGAGGTGGCAAGAAGTGATGGGATTTTGCATTAAAATGCTAGAAACCAAACTGATTTCCTGGTGTCTACCTCTATAAATGTAGAATACCAAAGTATAGAGATTTCTACAGGTATAGGTATAGAAATATCTATACTTTGGTATTCTTCATTTGCAGAGGTAGACAACAGGAAGTCAATTTGGTTTTTACCATTTTATAACTAATCACCTCTTCCCTCTATTGTACATCCTACACTTAATCCGGAAATAAGTGTGGAATGTACAATAGAGGGAAGAGGTAGATTAGTTCAAGGTTTTACTCATGGGCAACTGGAAAATGGAGTTTCCATGAATCAAGCTGGGAAAGGCTGTGGCAGAATAGGTTTTGGAACAAGGGTCAGGAATTCAGTTTTGGATATGTTGAGTTTGGATTATCCATTAGACCTGTAAATGGAGATGACAAATACATTACTGAATATATGAGTCTGGATTTTGGGAGAAGATCTGAGCTAGACATAAAAGTCTTGGAGTCTCTGTCATCTAGATGACATGAAAGTCAGCAGACTACATATCACCAAGGGACTAAGTGAAGCTACAGAAGAAAAAGACATCAAGAACGAAGTCTTGGGACACTTCAACAATCAGAGGTGGCAGAGTGTAGGAGGAACCAGAAAAGGAAACTAGAAGGAGGAACATCAGGACGGTTGGACATTCCTGTAACCAAATGAAGAAAACTTATTAGTCAAATAATAGGTCAACCTGTTATTATAAAAATAATAGGCTGTGGATAGGTCAAGCAAAGGGAAGACTGAGAATTACCATAGGATCTAGCAACATGAAGCCATTTGGTATCCTTAGCAAGAACAGATGAAAGTGCAATGAGGGCAAAGGCCTCATTTAAGTATTTTCAAGAGAGAAGTCCAGAAGAGAAATTGGAGACAGAGAATATACACAACTATTTGATAAGTTTTGCTGCAAAACATCAAAGGAATGAAGCCACAGCTAGTGGAGGAATAAATCATCATTCTATGAGGTTGTTATTGTTGCAGGGGAAAAGCTATTTCAGAAATGCTAAGGAATTGCAAAGTATAGGCACAAAAAATAGTGAATAACTTTCTTTGGTCTTCATTAGAAATTGACAAGTAGACAGCAATGGAAGAAGTGCATTTGAGGACATCTAATTTTTTGATTAGATTAAAAACACACTTTCACACAGCTAGAAACGGTTCAAAAATAGTTCTTCACTCTATTATTAATGCCTTTCAAATAACAACAAAGAATGAATTTATAAACATGACAACTATTTTATGCATGTCTGGGGGCAAATATTCAGGAGCCATGGGAGACAATATAGCTCTCTCCTGTTACTGAGAGATTAAATGTCAGGAAAAAAATGTGTTCCTCATTATTATTTCAACAGAATTTTATTACTAATCCCTCATGGAGAACTACCTGAAACATCCTCAAGAATTTTTGAAAGAACATTTCTTATGTAGAGTTATTTAAAGTTTTATTGCTTATATACATATGTAATTTTTAAAAGAATTTATTTTACAGTTTTCTCTAAAACATTTATTAAAATTATTTGCTATATATTTATATCTATAAATTATGAATTTATAAATATATTTCTCATCCTTTTTATTTTATCTCCCTTATTTTTCTCTCTTAGCCATTAAAAGTTTTCTATAATACTTATACAAACAATACAATTTTATTTATGTGATCAAGTATCCAGCATATTATAGCACACAGCATATTCTGGCACCAATGTTTATAGCTATCAATTACTGAGCACCAATATGACTGGAACTATCCTACTTTATATTAATTATCTGTTAACTTCTGTGGTGTAAATTATGATTATTTTCACTTTACAAATTAGGAAACAAATTTAGAGGCAAATGTATTCAATATTATACAGTATCAGAGCTCTGACAGGGATAGAGATATCCTGCCATTTTTTATTTTTACTTTATTTTATTTTATTTTACTTTAAGTTCTGGGATACATGTGCTGAAAGTACAGGTTTATTACACAGGTATACATGTGCCATGGTGGTCTGCTGTCAAACCATCATCTAGGTTTTAAGTCCAGTGTGCATTAGGTATTTGTCCTAATGCTCTCTCTCCCCTTGCCCCCAACCCCCTGACAGGCCCTGGTTCCCCTCCCCGTGTCCATGTGTTCTCATTGTTAAGCTCCCACTTATGAGTGAGAACATGCAGTGTTTGGTTTTCTGTTTCTGTTAGTTTCCTGAGGATGATGCTTTCCAGCTTCATCCATGTCCCTGAAAAGGACATGAACTCATTCTTTTTTTTGGCTGCATCGTATTCCATGATGTATATGTGCCACATTTTCTTTATCTAGTCTATCATTGATGGGCGTTTGGGTTGGTTCCAAGTCTTTGCTGTTGTAAATAGTGCTGCAATATGTTACAACATTGCCTGAACTCATATATACTAAGGAGCAATTAAAATATTATATAAAGTTTAGATTGCAAGGTTTTCCATTTTTCTCTTCTAATCTGAGCCGTTTTGGATGTAGAGTACATGAGACATTCAGAGCTACCATCATGTTGAGGCTCATTGAGAATGTCACCAGGAAGGATGTACAACTAATTCAATCTCTTCCAAATTTCCTTTGCCTATTACTCTCCATATGTAGTTACATTCATACTAAATCACTTAAAAAACACATTCCCCTTTAACTTCCTGCTGCATGAACTACCATGTGGTGCTTGTGTAGAATTCACTATGCTGTGAAGCAATTACAAATAACATCTGGGAGTTACTGCTCCCAATACGGGACTTTTTATGGAGTTGCACAATATGTGCTATGGTGCTACACCACGGACTATCCCTAATGCTATGTAGAAGGGGAATCTTCTTAACAATGTAAGCTGAAATGACCCTCGTTATCACGATATTCATGTCACTTTCTTTTGCTAGAAAAATTCTCACTCATGACAATGAGCCTAGACTGTAAAAACTCAATAAAGAGAGAAAATTACATGAGTTCCATTCTATTATTTAGTAAAATGGATGGCTCACTTTTGAACAGATTACTGTAGACAAGTAGACTTCCATAAATAAGCACATAATGGTACGATATCCAAAGTTTAGTCTTTAATCAAGGACATATTAAAATTAACATCCCTCTGTTTTTTCACACAAAATTCTTACAAATGTCTAGAATCAAGTAGAATCAAAACATAAATGATATTTGAAGAAATTCTGAAACTTTTGTGCAGTTAGTGCTGACACAAACAGATAAACAAAAGCCAGAGGCAATGAAAGCATGCCATAAAAGTAAGCAAATAAACATTGAACCAAGAGAGAGGTCCTCAGTTGATCTAGCCTAGCTGGGACATGTCTCTTAGTCACACTCAAATTTATGTGTGAGAAGGAGGTAGACAGACACAAAACTCTCACCACATCCTTTACAGTGTGCAACAGAATTACATCTATTAAAATGTATGTCGTCCTCACTTCTCATTGCAATTTTAGTTATACTATAAACTCTTCTTTGTTAACTTCATAAAGCCTCAATTCGAAAGTCACTCCAGAAACGTTTATGGGCAGTAGCTTAAGTTTGTGTAACTATTATATTATTGTAAAAAATGAGCATCCAAAGTGCCTCACACTATGCTAAATATATTAAATGTTGCAAAGACATTACAAGGCAGATGATGTCTTTGAAAGAAAGAAATCGAAAATATCCAATAAATTATAACTAAAATAATCATATTTAATAAAGCAGTTTCTGTGCCCCAGGCACTCTGCTCTTTGCCTCATATACACGATCACACTTTATCCTCACAATGAACCTATGAGCTAAACATTATTATCACCAAAGTTGGCAGCCAGAAAGAGCCATGCCAGGACTGTGACCTAGGTTGCCTTGGTTTGAAAGCCTGGTCTTTAATCAACAGGATGTTAGGTAACATATTAGGGTTATTTTCTTGAAAAAATTCTCGATATTCATGAAATTCATTTGTCTTGAAGAACATATCTAGCTACAAAGTTATGTCACACACACACATACACACACTATAAAGGTGCAAATATACATATACCACCCCACCATCCATACAATAGTAACAACAAAGTTCTCAAGGGATAAAAGGTCAATTGATTAATTGATTTCATAGTAAAACTTCCGATATGAAAACAAATAACTAAAAAAGTTCCCTATTGCTTGATAAATCTCGTAGAAAACTACTTTTTAAAAATTTTAATAATCCTTTAAGACATTCAATGATTATGTTATTATGAAAACAATCACCTTTAAATAAAAATGTTGATGACTCCGGACAATGCTGTTGAGAATCGGAAATCACTGTACTGTGTACATCTTAATGTGGATATAATCTTCCTCCTTTGTCACATAGATTGATTTGTTAAACCCATGTATCGGAGTATAATGAAAACATGCAAGAATGCTAATATTAGATGTTCTATCAGTTGGCTATTGCCACAATGACACGGTATAACAAACTACTCCAAGATGCAGTCACTTACAATAGCAAGCATTTATTCTCTTGGTCATAAGCCTGCAGGTTGATTGTAATTTGGATGATCTAGGCTGGATTTGGCTATTCCCTCAGCCTCAGGCTGTGGGTTGACTTGGCTTGGTTCCCCACTATAGGATGGGTTCAGATCTGCTCCATATGTGAAGGTTTTGGAGCTCAGACCAAAGGGGCATACAGTTGTCATTCAAGGTACAGAAGCCAAGTCATGTGATCCCAATACATTTAAGGCCCTGCTGGGTTATGTCTGCTAACATTCCATCTGTCAGAACAAGTTATATTGGCCAAGCCCTACATCAATGTAGGAGAAAAGTACACTATTCTTCAATGAGAGGGTAAGAAATGAATATTGCTGAACATAGAAGAAGCTGAATGTAATGCAAACATCTTGAAAATAACCTTTAACCTAAAAAAAAGTTTTACTTTTTAAATTTTAAACAACAATAAAAGAACCAATAAATGAAATACATCACCTACCCCAATTTGGCATAGTGAAAACTTTGCTATGGTGTCTTAACTACTGTTGTCTGTTTGCCTATGCATTAGGTAAAGAGTAAGACAATTGTAAACTATACAAAATGTTCAGCACAGAAGGATTAATGACGCTTAGTGGGGTGAAGCTGCTGACTACATCTGAAAGTCATAGAGGTATTATAAAGTGGCACAAAAATGAAACAGACTCAAAAAAACTTGAGTAATTTTTCACCCTCTAAACCTCATACTTAACTGCAGCAGTGCTGAGAAACTTTCTTTTCATGGATCAAATGCATAGGTGTGGTTTTAATTATTGCTGTAGCATTATATTCAAAATAACTGCTAAAAACAAACACAACAGAATGGTAAGTTTCCACTTGATACTCTCTTCCAAAAGATGGAGAAGCAGCATACAAAAAGTCAAGAACAACTATCTAGTGACAGAAAAACAATCGCAATATCTTTTTCAATTTAAATTTTAATTTTTTTATTATTTTTTTTGAGACAGGGTCTCACTCTGCCACCCAGGCTGGAGTGCAGTGGCAAAATCTCGGCTCACTGCAACCTCTGTCTCCTGGGTTCAAGCAATTCTCTTGCCTCAGCTTTCCAAGTAGCTGGAATTAAAGGCATGTGTGACCATGCTCGGCTAATTTTTGTATTCTAGTAGAGATGAAGTTTTGCCATGTCGGCCAGGCTGGTCCCGAACTCCCAGAGGAAGAAGCATCATCTATCCCAAGTATAAACAGACAAATTAAGAAATTTTATTTGAAAAAAGATATTTAGCCAGGGTCTAGCAACAAACTGAGGTCTTAGGCTTGAATTCTGTGCATAATTTCCCTTGGAGAATGAGGGCCACAGATTGCTTTCATTGGATAGTGAAGTGGGTCTTTGAAAGAAACAAAAAGAACAGCTACATTAAAAAAAATGATTTTTTCATTATGAAAGGATATTGGTTCACACACACACACACACACACATAAAGCAACAGAAGGAGAATCAGAGTCAGGAATGACCGAGTTTTTAGACAATATTAAGGTTTCTCACTTTTTTATATACTTCATCTATAAAGCCAATTATGAGAAAAGTCGGATTTATATAATGTTTTCCTATTGATTGATTACCTAAAGCAATTTTTATTCATGAAATTATAATCAGTGACTGCAAACAATTATAAGCTTATAAACCATGGACTGAAACCTTTATGGTAGATTATAAAACACAAGCTTATGAATTTGAAGGAAACAATTACCCCGTTTTTATACAAGTTTTTAATTTCTGTGAAAAGACAATGACAAAAAGAAATTAAGTGTGAAAGGAGACTCATTTTTAAATTAAATGTTTTGTGTCTCAAGTGTCATCAGCTACTTTTTAAACCACATTTACATGACTATAATCATCTCTACTTTTAAGGGTTTATTAACTTAATTAAAATATTCATTACAGGAAAAAATGTTCATTCCAAATTAAATCTTGTATGTACTTTTTATATATTTAAATCTAATATGAATTAAAATCCTCTTTATTTATATCAATAAAAAGTATCAATAAAAACAAAATTGAACTGTGCTTGGCACATATAAATATCCTTGATTTTAGTTATTATTATGAAAAAGGTGGGGGCTTCTCACTTAATTTACAAATATGTACACTTAGATAAATGAAGAGTGAAAAATTGAGTACAGTAATGGTCATTGTATTCGTTTATCTCTTCTAAAATACACAATTGAAAGAATATCTTACTGCACTATTTTTATGTGGTATCACATATGACAAGGAGACACAGATGTCTAGATGTAAGCCGGAATTCTTTGAAAAGTTAGACTACATTTGAATCAGTTTTGAAGACTGTTATTCCTTGACAATTCAGAAATATTTTCTTTTCCTGATTTAAAATCCATTTAAGCTAGAGGTGTTAAGGAGACCTATACTAATAAGGTTATTTCTTCACCTACGTCTAATGTTGTGCTTTCTGAGCCTGCACTCTAAATGTCTGATTCTTTAAAAATCTTTTAAAGCAAAAATTCTTTGAGCTTTTATTGAATCGTATCCCCATACATTTCGAGACCTTCATACAAATTGATCTGGGTGAATGTGGCTAAGGGAGGAGACCACCCCTCATATTGTCTTATGCCCAATTTCTGCCTCAAAGAAAAAGTAGGAGTTAAAGAAAAGACAGAAATGAAATCAGTAGTCAGACAGCCTGGTGCTACGTTCCAGGCCTGGTAGTTAAAGATCGACCCCTGACCTAACCAGTTATGTTATTTATAGATTCCAGACATTGCATGGAAAAGCGTTGTGAAAATCCTTGTCCTGTTCTGTTCCATTCTGATTACTGGTGCAGGCAGCCCCCGGTCACGTACCCACTGCTTGCTCAATCGATCACAACCCTCTCACTCGGACCCCCCTTAGAGTTGCAAGCCCTTAAAAGGGACAGGAATTGCTCACTCAGGGAGCTCGGTTTTTGGAGACGTGAGTCCGCGGATGCTCCCAGCTGAATAAAGCCCTTTCCTTCCACAGCTTGGTGTCTGAGGGGTTCTTGTCTGCAGCTCCTCCTGCTACATGGCAAAGACAAAAGTACTCACAGAATATTCAGTGAGTGTCGTTTTTCTTCGACAGGGTACGTTTTAGTTAGATTTGAGCCTTATAACCATTCAGGGCAAAAAGCCATGAGTACTTAATCCAGAGCTGCATGGCATCACAAGGGGCAGAGCCTCCCTCAGACTGGAGCTTTGAGTGCCTGTGTGGAGTAGAATCCCTCACATGGCTGTGCTGGACATAGAATATGAAGAGGAAATGAATTTCTGTGTGATAAGCTACTGGCCACTGAGATTTGGGGGTTAATTGTGTAGCTAATACTGAAACTGATTCAGGGATAAAGACTCTAATAAAATTTCTAGACAAAATTGCATTGCCTTAGCAGTTGAGTCATGAGTTGTGAACAAATTACTTTTGGATTTTGGAAAGTTGCTCAGCCATGTAAACCGATAGCAAAATATTTGGTCAAAATGCTTTCTGTAATTACTTTGACGACAGAAAGTTCATTTCTTGGGGAAAAGTCTGGAAATAGAAACTTAATAGCAAGCAAAGGTTGCTATTGATAATATTTGACACAGTATTACAAGAAAGAATTTAACAGTCAACAAGCCTAAATTAAAAGAAATAGAGACATCAGAAATGTGTGAGTATGCAAAGTGAAAAAAAGGATGTTATTGTAAGAGACTTTTATTGACCAAGACTCAATAATACCTTCACATTAATTAAAACAACTCAAGATAAAAGTCAATTTAAGGCTGTGATACACAATTTAGCAACAACAACAACAAAACCCTTTCAATTGACTAAAGTGCCTCAGGATAAAACCATATGATGAGTAAAGTCTTCCTACTTAAATCTGAGTGCTTTGAGATAGCCTCAGTAGGTGACGGAGTTAAGTTTTAGATAACAAAGACACAAAGATTCAAGAACTTCTAGGAAAGGACTTTGGTTCTGATGACTGGCAATTTAAAAATGCGATTGTTTTTAAAAACTAGGAATCTACAGAAAATTGAATCCCACAGTGTGCCGCTAAGAGTAGTGTGCTCTATTTGACAATAAACCTACAGATCATCGTGTGAATGAAATACGATAGAAAATTCAAATCAAATTATCCTTCATTCTATATTGAAAGAAAATCTACAGCGAATATTTAGCATCTGGGGATGCTAAATATTATTTATTTTATTGAACATATTGGGTTTAGAGATATAAATCATTTCATAATTATATCAAATCTGCCTGTGTATACACATATAAGTTGGAAATATGTGGAATTTGGAAAATATAATTATACATTTTGGATGATGGCAATTCTGTACGAAAAGCAGCAAAGATAGCATCACCTTATTTTTGTAAATGAGAAAGTTGAGGTCCAGAGATTTTAAATGACTTTCTAAGGTTAACAGAGCTAATCAATGATAAGCCACTATTAAACTAATATCTTATGACTACTAGTTTGGGTGCTTCTAGTATATCAATACATCTTACCTTGTGATCAGGTAAGAAAATAGAAATTAGGATTAATTGTGAGGAAACAAATGGAATAAGAAATAATAAACACCTTAACATGCCCTATAAATTAACAATTATTTTTTGAAGATACCGAACTTCCCTGTGATTCAGTTTCCAAACAAACAGGCTCATAAAGTTCCTTCACAGTTCACAAAATTGATATAGATAAAGTCTATCTTCTATGCAGGCAGTGAAAGACAGACCTACTTTTCATATTCTTAGACATTTGGGGAAAGATCAGGAAATAAAGATAAATGGAAAGGGAATCTTAAGAAAAACAGTGAAATTTTTCTGATGTGTCAAACAAACCTATGGCAATTTAATGCATGTAATTTATTGAGCACTTTGGAAATGGAGGGCACTTTTCCCTTTCAGGTAATCTATATGATCCCTACAAGGATGAGAATGTTATTCCAGTTTCACAGATAGCAAAAAAAAAAAAAAAAACTAATACAAAGAAGATAAATTACAACCTTTAATGTCAAGTAGAGTTACTAGCACATACAATTTTGGTCATCATAAAAGCCTAATTCCTATGCCTAATCTCAGTTCATGCTGCCATGTGGAAATATACTTGGCTGTAAAACAGATCCATCTGCATCTCTTTTCATTTATTTTGAAAACCTACAGGGGAATATTTGTTATTATGGCATATGCTTATGAACAATTGCTTTCAAGTATTATGCATTGCTAGACCCAATTTTTATGTTACGTTAGAATTGCCTCTAGGGCAATGTTATGATATTAGTTGCCAGAGTGTAAATGCAATTTCAAAATCAAGACGCTGTAATCAAAAGTGGAGCTACATCTGTTATAGAGTGTCTACTTGTGGTAGATGTTCTTAGTTGCCAATGCAGTATCTTTTTTCCTTTCTTTGGAGTGACAGAAACTTACTTTCATTTGGGGTGGCAGAAACCCAGTCCCATGTGATGAACCCTGTTTAAGTCAATCAGGATTTCCCTGTTCTTTGCTTTACCAGTTTGACTCGGCTATGAATAGTTATGTGATTCACTTCTGGCTAATGAGAACTAAGTGGGAGTCTTCTGAGGCTGGGGATGGAGGAACTTCTGAAAAATGTTTCTTTCTTGATGAAAGATTTGAAATGACAGGCACTGCTGCTTCCTTCTCTGTCTTCCTGCTGAGAATGTGGCTCTATTTCTGGAGCTGTAATAGTCATTTTTTGACTCAGTCAGCAGTAGGCAGAGGACAGGAGAATCTGGAGGTATCAGTTTAACATTATTGGTCCACTTATCTTCTGATTTTGTTATATGAGCAAAAACATGTTAAGACTATGAGGCTGGATTTTTTTGTTACTTGTTGTTAAAAACAATCTTAATGAATAAATTTTCTAAATGATGTCTCTAAGAATCATAAGGGTGTGAAATAATTGATTTCCAGGTTTCACAAGCAATGAAGGACTTTCTGCTTAATACTGAGCTGTATTATTTTTGTTTACATTGTGCCCATCTATGATTTCATTTGGAAAAAGAAAGTTTAGCTATCAAAATATTTCAAAACTAAACTCTAAAAAACCTATCTAAGGTGTCTTAACTAAAAGTCTGTAGATATCTGGACTTCTATAAGCATATTTTGCTTGCGTTATGCTATCTGTGGTTTCTGCTAATGCTGATTCTGATACACAGCCCTGCTCCTGGCATAAATGGTGCTTTGAGATAAAAGAACCACAGAGAGCCACCTTACAATTAACCAAGAGAACATGCCAGGCAGTGGCTTTCCTGATCTCATTATCTAAAATATTTCCATCCAGCGTGGTGGCTCACCCCTGTAATCCCAGCACTTTGGGAGGCCAAGGTGAGTGGATGGCTTGAGGCCAGAAGTTCTAGATCAGCCTGGTCAACAAGGCAAATCAGTCTCTATTAAAAATAGAAAAATTAACCAAGAGTGATGCCATGAATCTGTAGTCTTAGGCACTTGGGAGGCTGAGGCAGGAGGATCACCTGAACTCTGGGAGGTTGAGGCTGCAGTGAGCTGTGATCGTGCCACTGCACTCCAGCCTGGGTGACAGAGTGAGACCCTATTTTTAAAAAACTAAAACTAAAAATAAATAAATATATAATAAATAAATAAAATATATTTCCAGTGCTCCACTCCTTGTTTTATTTTTTCTTTCTTCTTAAGAGTATCACCATGTAATGTGCTATATTTCCCTTATTTAACTTTTTACTTTTCTATTTTCCCCCCAGAATATAAACGCCATGAAAGTAGGGATTTTTGTCTGATTTTCTCGCTATTTTATCCCCAGGGCCTATAAAGCAACTGGCACATAGTAGGTACTAAAGAAGTATATGTTACATGGATAAATGAATGCTGTATACATTTTCTCAATTTATGTTCCATAGCATACTGGTGTGTCCCAGGCAGGTTGCAGCTAAGCCAAGATTTTGTCCCTTCAGCCCTTAGGACAACTGGAAGAGGCTACAAAAAGCCTCTTCTGTATATTCCAGTGTGCTGTACTTTTTTTTTTTTTTCAACATGTCCAGTGAGGTGAAAAAGGTTAGAAAGCACGCCATCAGCATTGCTTTCAAACATCTGGTCTTCCATGTAATATGTGAAAAGACAATTTCACTGAAAGCCTCTTTCAGGTGGGAAACTTAGTCACAATTATCATTACTCAAGGACAAATAAATGTCTCATTGGAGTTTATTCTGCAGGCGAAAACCAGATTCCAACTGCATGCTAATGTAGTAATTGCATTACCAGCTTCCTCTGATATTTCTAAACCACTCAAACTCTGCATTAGTGGCTTACGACATCACCAATATCAGTTAATTTAATCTTGTTTTTTTTTCTTTTAGTAAAGAGGCAGGTATCATTTTCCATAACAAGAGCATATTCCACAGTGGTCATATAAATCTTCACCAATTTCTTACTCCATTAAAAGCCCTTTGGCCCTAATGTAACTACTTCATCAGCAAACACACATTCATGTTTGCTGACTAAACACACTCATGTTTACATATTAAGGACAATTAAAATTCAGAAAAAATCAAAAAGTTGTTCCTTTTATATGGGGGTAGCATAGTTCATTTAATCAGAAATTATTTTACGAATGTACATAATCTGTGACATTTTAACCCCCAGGGTCTCTTCAAATGTGGCTTGTTTTGCCTAAAGTGAAAAGCTACTCTTGCATTTATTTAGTTCCATAATAAATGTGAAGCCTGCTGTGCTGTTATATAACAATAAAGATATTTTATTTTCTATAAACTTTGTTGACATGAGGGGGTAGGAGGGAAAATCATTGTGTCACAACATCATAAAGCAACCCAGAAAATAAAGTGAGAAATAAAAGAGCCAATAAAAAAGCCCAGTACAATTAACTGATGGTGTTTGTATTTCTACACCTACCAAAGTAAACTTAAAAAACCAGATGCATTTGTATTTATTTATTTATTTATTAAGTTAGTTTTCTGGGACCTCTTTGAAGAGACCAAACAAGTATAGTTACATTTCTGGTTAGAAAATTACTTCATTGAATAACTTTGCAGACCATAAGGGATGACATGACTCACCCAGACATTAAGGCAGTTAGCTAATTAGTAAGTCACATTTCCTATATAAAACTGGTGGCATAAACTAAATCTCCCTGCAATGCAGTGTTATGGCAGTGCTTGCCTCACATAAAGACCAATAATATTTTAAGAGATATTTTTCGGAGCAATAACCAAGATTATGAGCCTGTTGTATTCCCTAAATTTATTTCTATTCAGGTGTTAAATTAAAAAATTATATAATAGAGTTCTGGAGATTGGTTGCACAACAATGTGAATGTAATTAATATTGCTGAACTGCATATATATGGTTAAGATGGTAAATTTTATTTATATTTAACACAACCAAAAAGTAAATTAAGTTTTATGGAAAAAATACATAGTAAAATAAGCTTCATGATATGTATAAGTTCATTAACATTAAATAAAAATACCAGGATATTGCTATTTCAAATAACAAAAAGTTAATAAAAATTTTTAATTTAAATTTTGAAAGTGATTGTGGTATCTTGTTTTTAATGAATAAAGATTTATTCTTATGAGTATTCTAGAATAATTAGCATAACATGTAAAAGTAGAAAAATCTAGAAATAAATTTTTGTCACATTTATAAACCTTGGTTTCTACCTGTTTCACATAATAGATGTGTTGATTAATCAAGATAGTCTACAAAAAGTATCTAACACAGTGCTTAGCACATTATAGATGCTCAACAAATGTGAACTTCTTTCTTTTCAGTTAAAATACAGGTTCAAAAGTCATACCTGGCCACTTTGAATTAATAGACAAAGGATGTTGATGCCTGCAGGTCTAGCTACTATACAGTAATTGCTTTAATTATATCCAAAAATTGTTAATTATTGTTTTAGCTATTAAATACCAACATCAGGAAATGTATATGGAAAGATGGAATGTAACCTCAAATAAAATTTTTCTACTTTATATTTTATAGTAACCTTTCCTCATTGAAATGTTCTCATTAGTATTATATATCCGAAGTTTCTATTTTGATATTCATGAGATTAGAGCTATGCAAATTCAGAATTACATGTCTTGTGATTGTAAGTTCATTAGACTAAGAACAAGTACCAACTAATAGGCAATACTACACAAAGCAGTACAGAGGCTAATAATCTATAAAATCCAGTTATTGTTTTATGTAGTAGCATGCATTACAAAAAATTAGATATTTGATTAGTCAATATAATAATTATTTGTAATTACTTTAAGTCCTATGAGCTATATATTGATAATGGGGTCCCTAAAAAATCTATTACCAAACTTTGTCTAACTGTTGATTATTGTTGTTACTAGTAGCATCAATAATAACTGCTGGTTAATTGGAATATCTTACTTGGGATATAAATCACCAGTTGGCTGCTTTAAACACTAATTTAGTCTTCAACTGAAATACATGTTTTGAAAATAATTTACCAGGCATTTTAGCTAATAATCACCTATTTTAAAGCTAGTTATAGCAGATGTTACAAATATTTTCTTTTTGAGTAGCAATAACAAGATTTTAAAGGTTTCTGCTCTTAATAAAATATTTTAGAACTGAAAATATTCAATATCTTTTAAATTAAAAAGGCTTAATAATACTAAGGAACAGAGTACAGTGTATAGTAAGTGATTTCTAACATTTGCTACTAACTTCAAAATAATGAACATAATTTGTTGATGCATTTCACTGTTCAGTTTCTGAAGATTTCTATTGGTAAAAATACACTTCTGGATGAGAGAAACTGTTGGTGTAAATCTTAAAGTCATAAAAGTGGAATACAGCCAAGTAGAGCCAGTGTCAGCAAGTCATCGGAGCAGTGGTTTCTCCTGTGTCCTTCCACCCACAGTTTCTACTAAAGCAACAACAGAGGAGTATTTCCTCGCCTACTAACAACATCAGTTTAATTCAACAAATGATTAGCATTTACCTCAAATAGTTTATGGTTTTGGGTTCAGCAATGAGGGTAGAATCTGAAAAAAAAAATGAGAAGAACAGCAGAGGGAAGGCATAATAATGTGCATGTGTAGAGTTGCTTCTATTTCAAATATATAATTTATTTTTATACATTTTATATTTATGTCACACATATGTAAATATATGATAAAATGTGTCTACTTCTGTACACACACAGATATATATTTTTTAAATTTATTTTGCTTATATGCTAATATAGGTTGGGACTTATTCAAATCCCAAACACAGGCCTTTTTCATTCTCTAAAAGTCTATACTATACCATCAGTTATATCTGTATGTGTACAGGTATAGGTATAAAAATAACAAATTAAGCATACAATCATTCCTATTTGAGATAGAAAATTCATAGAGAAGACAAATGATAGCACTCGAATGGATTCTGTATATAGAGATTTTGCTTTAATGGAATACATTTCCACTATTCTCACATAATAATATCTTATGACAGACTTTCAAGTTCACGGGTCAATAAAAATAAGGGATGCCAAGAAACATTCTGAAGGAAGTATTTCACCCGAATCCCCAAAGGTTGTGGCAAAAAGAACAAATGGCTACAATTTATGTATTAGCAAGAAAAAGGCAGTGTTTCCTAAAGTGGCCTTCTATATATTTTCCACCGTTTCAATAATCCTTTTAAAAATGTTTAGCAAAATAATATATTGGCAAGTTATACTCTTAGAAGAAAGATTTGGTTTGTATTCCACACATTAATCTTGAAGAAAAACATTATATTCTTAGGCTACCCGCTGCTTATAAATTATACAGTAGCATAGGTATTGTATGGAATTAGCTAAACATTCAATTCCATTTTCTCTTTATTGAGGCTAATTCTGCATAGGACAAAAAACCGGTATGTGTTTTAATGATGTATATGGTTACTTCAAGTAAAGTCAAATGTAATCATTCAGCCCACAAACTCAATGGACCTTGTGCCTGAATCATCAAATAAAGCAAATATTCATTTTGTTTCGTTGTGTAGACATAATCCAAAAATGAATTCATTATACAATGATTGATCCTTTTCCCCAATATGAAGTTCAATATCTTACAAAGAGTTATTCAAATAGATTCTAAACAAATCAAAACAGTGAAGCATTGATATATGAAATGACAGTAATGCCCAAGAAAGAAATGCTACATTTGCACATAGTAGACATTAATATAAGTTTGTGGCATTGTTGCCACAGAATCTGCCACATGCCTGAATAATTTTACATCTTCATGAATTTTTTATCACTTAGTTCAGCTTACTTCATTGCTGTGATTTTTGAATAAATGTTGTTTTCTACACGGACCAAATCATTAATCATTGGCCTACTGCCATTCACTTAGTTTTCCTGCTTACACCCTAAATCAGATTATTGATCCTGTGAAGTGCATATTGGATAATATGATAAGCAATCATAAACATGAAAATTAAAAGATTGATTTGAAGCATGAGTATGGAGCAATGATAAAGTGCGAATATAAAAAGCAGAATTAGATTATATGCATTTTGGATGATCCTGAAAGATCTTGGAAACCCTATAAATTTTGCTGTAAGAGATGTAATAATAAAAATTTAAACACACAAATCATAAATAAAATTGACCCATTTAAAATGATTTTAAAAAAGAGATAATGATAGATATCAGATGATTTCTGTAATCATTTGTTGGGAGAAGATAGAGAACAAGATAAACTGGACGTTAATTCACATTTAAAGACACGAAAGCTATTTAATATTTGGTTCTCATCTTGAATTATTGAAACTATGAATAAACTTAAAAATAGAAATAAACTTTTTAAATCTAAAGGATGAAAGAAATATTGTTTGATGTAAAATTTGAAAAGTATTGATATTTATTATAGCAATAATTTAAGATACAAAATTGGATAGAGGCCACAATATATGACAAATTTAGCCTAGTAAACTCAGAAAAGTGGGCTGACCATTAGAAAATAAATATCTCCAGTTCTGCTCTGTCACTAATTAGTTGTAAGAACTCAGGCAACTAAGTTGTTTTATGGTTAGGTCTTTAGGAACAGAAGAATAGCTATCTGATATTCAGTTCAATAGTCTTATTTTTTTCTCTTGAAGACAATATTTTTTGTGCAGCTAATAGACTAAAGCCATTAGTTCTCAGTATAAAAGGGACAATGAGTATGTTTGTATATACAAACATCATTTATATATATATGTATTATTTAAATTTTCTAGTTAGCATGCATATGCATTTTTGACTTTATAATTTATCCACTAAAATATATTTCTGACTTAATTTTTAATTTCTAAAATATATGTATTTCTGTGCAGTGCAATGGCACATGCCTGTGGTCCCAGCCACTTGGCTGAGGCAGAAGAATTGCTTGAGCCCAGGAGTTTGAATTCATTCTGAATAACACTACAAGACCCCCTCTCAAAATAAATAAACAAATAAATAAATAAGTAAATAAACAGAGACAGATAAAATGTGTATTATTAATATATACATAATACTTATACACTTATACCTATTAGCCTACATTGAAACTTTGCATGTCTGCTTATTTATGATTTTTCCTTATTAGGAGAGAGAATCAAAGTGTTTAGAGATCAATAAGACTAGATTTAGATTTCAGGGCATAGTGACTGAATATTCAATAACATTACTTAAAAATATATTTAAATTTATTTGAAAAATTAATTAACACATTAGTTGTAGACACAATACTATCAATATCCTTGGGAGAGGGCTCTTCCGTGAATGCCCTACTAAAGTTTATGAAGCAATGTACTAAACTGTTAAGGATTCTAGAAAAGTCTGCATCTTAAAGTTTCATGTTAGGATAAGCACAGATAAATAAAACTTTGTGATGAAAAAAAATCAATAAAAGGAAGAGATTGATGAGCAGTTTTGGTTACTCTGAAGGTGAAGGTAGGGAAATGGCATAAGGGCCGTCTTAAGACCAACTGGCTCAACTGAACAAGGTAGTTTATAAAATCCAGCTGCATGGAGTAGGGGGCTGTTTCAAGACACAAAGCTCAGGTATTTCCACTTCATTAGAATAAAAAACCCTAGACATTAGGATGTGAGATAACATGGTTATATGTGTAGCTACTGATCCTTTGTTTTGTTTGTCTAGCAGGAGCTTAATTGACTCACCTCACTTCAATGCAAGGAGAAAAAAAAAAAAAAAAAAAAAAATATATATATATATATATATATATATATATATATATATATATCAAGTATAAGTAGGAATAGGAATAAGTATATATATTTATATATGAGTATTAAGTATATACATATTTATATATACTTATATATATAAGTATTAAGTATATATGTTGAAGTACATATAAGTATGTATTTCTTTTAAGTCATAGATTCCATGTGGATGAGGAAATGTGAGAACTCAGTTGTCAAGAATGGCCTAGTGTCTAAAAGAGCCTCTTGTTAAATTCGGTTTCCAGGGCACACCTGGTGAAATGAAGCACCAATTAAGCCTGACAAGAAGGCTTTCCGAATCATTTCATTTTGCTCTAAAAATGTCTTTTAGTTCTTTTTAAAAATTTGCCAAAACCTAAATCAAACACCATTTTCTTAGTAATTACATGTTGAAGGATGTAATCATTGCAGCTTCTGAAACTGAGAGACCGGTAGCCCTGCTTGGGCATTTTCCCACAGTTGCTTTTGCTAATGTACTAATGAGCCATTGTCACAATGGAGCCAACCTGGCATTAGCACTTACAATAAATTTACTGCAAGAACACTGCTGTTTGTAATTAGCTCTTCATTACACAATCAGGCTGATTTAGAGAAACTCTCGTATGATTTGCTCAGCAAATGAAGCAATATAATTACACTTCACTTGAAATCAACAAATTAGACTGCTGTTTGCAATTGGCTATATTATGTACTATTAGTGCCCAGGCAATCGCAGGCCTGTTGCTTCCTTTAACACTAAAGTAGAGTAAGCCTAATTAAAACACTGAATATTTCTGTATATACAAGAACAGCTACATAATGGTCACACTTTTTATAATTAAAGAAGAAAGCCAAGATTTGTGTTCAGAATATTTTACATTGAGCTCAAGCCATGACCATTTAAGGCTCTTATGATAGAAATCAGAAGCTAAAACATAACAGGAGGAAATGAAAAATTTATTTTTGAACGAAATTATTTTCTAGCCAGGGCACACGAGAATTGAGTAAGATTCAAATTAGGTTAAAGCAGAGTATAAGCTCTTCATTCAGTTTGTGTGTTTCTCAGCACTAGGTATTTAGTATTTGTCAGCTATTATAATGGCTGGTGTTCATCCTTTCTCATTGGGTTTTGACTCTGGGGCACTCTACCCTTTAGAGTTGTAATAATCACTGTGGGGAGTAGCTGGTGGGAGTTTTGGAGAATGGTTGCCTGATGTGGCAAATAAAAATACAAGACATTCAGTTAACTATAGGCATCCTTCATTTCATCTGGCAACCTTATTTTAAGGCATTTAGGGCATGCTTCTCTGTGTTAAACTAAGGGTATGTATATATACTTACAGAGAGAGAGAGAGAAAGAGAAATAAATGAAAGATCATCCAGATAATAAGCCTACCCCTGGGCTGTGCAGGCAATAAATTTGTAAAAGAATTAATTCCTTAAAAGACAGTGGTTTAAAAAATAATTTTCAATGGAGTAATGAGTTTTGGGTAGTTTTGTGCCTCTCCTCTAACAATGTACGCTTCTTTAATTCAGGGACTGTCACTTTATTTCTATATTCCAGATAGTTGGCATTTAGTAAAAGTATCAACCGTTTCTGAAGAAATGAACTAACAAAAGAAGATTCAGTGGCTTACAATAGACTGATAGAATATTCTATGGTAGAGTTAATACTTCCAGTCAAAGATCCATTGCTTTGGAAATCGAATGTAAATTCTTCTTCCTTTGAATACATGCAACTTAAAAAAAGTAATATATGTGTATATGTGTCTATGCAAATATATGCTCCTTCAGTTAATATGCTTTTTGACATACTAAGTGATGATGTATATTGTACATACTTGTGATTTTCATTCAGTTTTATTGTAGTGTAATGAAATCTAGTTATTTAAGACAATTTTTGGCTAACCGTAAGAAAAAGACTTCTATTTCCTTGCCAAACTCTGAATTAATTATTTTATTTAAAAAGTTTATTTGATACGTTAGTTCATGAAAGATTTAGAACTTCTTAAATGTGTTCAATGAGTTCTCTTCATGGCATGTACGGCCAAATATACCTGTGTTCTACCTCATTTATTACTTGAATTGTTTCTGATTCTCAAAGGGAACAACTATGAATAAGATGTATGGGTTATATAACTCTTTGCTAAAATTTCAGAATCAGTGTAAATATTGAGCTGGGACAAAAAGATCCCATTCTATAGTTTTCTGATGCACTTTGCTTTGAGGTAAAGAGGAAGTTTGAAAGTTCATTTGATTATCAGCCTAACCCTGGGCTGTGCTGGCTCTGAGGTGTGTTCCCTAGTCAGACACTGGGAAACGAACAATGCCATATCTTTGAACAACTAACTAGACTTTAGCTTTATAATTTCTATTTTGAGTAGTATTTAATTGTCTTATTCCTTTCTACAAATTATGTGAAGATACGGACTAATCAAGATCTTTAGAGAATTAGGCCTAAGAAAGATAATTCCAAAAAATGAATGTCCAGGTTTAAATGCTGGAGAATTGGGCTACAATATAAAGTATAATGACCTGAAATACTTTGCAAGATGTGCTGATCTGTATTCATTCGTTTTTCTGTATAGTAAAAATCGTATACTTTAAATTTGTTCCTTTTCACCCTCAACTTCGTTTCTCTTATTTTGAATATTCTGATACCTGGTAAAATGATCAAACAGCTCAGTTTTAGTGAATGTGTTCCTTTTGTTTTGTGGCAGATGTTGTGTTCATTTGTAGTCTTACCGTGTTAAGGAGAAGTGCTTTTTTTTCACAAGATTCGTCCAAAAAATCTTCCTATAACAATTAAAAAACAACAGTCTTTTTGAAATCCTTTCTATTTCTGGTGGCATACTACTTTTCAATGCAATAGCAGTGTTTTATTGAAGAATTTAAGGAACATTTAGAAAAACGTAATCTTTTCTCTTTAAAATTGTATCCTTCACCGTTCCAGTAATGGCAGTTAACTGCTTTGGATTTAAAATTACGCTTTAAGTGTATTTCAATAGTAGAAATTTTGTTACTGAAAGGTAGCAGTGCCATTGACCTCATTGAGAGATTTCTTCATGTTATCTTTTAAAATGACAGGTTTATACATCATTCTGTAGAGAATGCTGAGCCTACCAGTTGAACATAGATTCAATTTCAAGAACATAAGGAAAAAAATCATTTTAGTAATCACAGGGACAACATCACAGTGTTAAGTTCATTGCACTAAGCCAGGCACACAGCATAGAACAAAGCCTAAAGCTCCCAAATGAGAGTTATAAAAAATTGACCCTTCCTGGAGACCTAAGGCCTGAAATGAAATAGTAGCATTTATTGAAGATATTTCATGTGAAGTAGAAGTATCATTAGAAAGTATTTTTATTAAACTAAGTAAGAAGTATGGTGAATGCAGATGTTGATTTCTGGAAATTCTTTCTTTCAGGAGGAGAGTTCTGTGTCTGTTAATAAAGATCTCTCTCTCTCTCTCTCTCTCTCTCTCCCCCCTCCCCCTTTCCCCCTCTCTCCCTCTCTCCCCCTCTCTCTCTCTCTCTTCCTCCTCCAGAAGCCAGGGAAGGCACAATGCTAGTGGTAAACAGCTTAAGAATATTCTTCACTGGATTTTACCACGACAAATACATAAAAACTTGAGGTGTCTGTTATTATTGTAATTTCGGTGGGTTTGCTTCTAAAGTATACATTTCATATCTACAGTATAATTTAATTTAGCCACAAATGTGATGATACAACTTTCTAGAAGCACAGTTTCTCTGATAAAGTATGTTAAATAGTATGTGTATACTTAAATAAGGTCATAAATTTATAGGAAGAAAATGAAAGTTAACACTGACTTCAAAGTTATTTTTTAAAAAGAGAGAAACTATAAATGAGAAATGAACTATATTTTCCTAATTTAAAAATATTTGCAGTGACTGGGAAATTTTTTATGGTGAGACATAAATCCTTTAGAAGGTTAAAATAAGATGAGATTTAACCTATATAGAAATGACCATAACAAATCTAACACCTTGAAAACTAGATTTTAGATGTCGTGTAGAGTATTGAATTTAGCTTTATTTTCTCCTTTGCTGGAATGAAAATTAGTTTTAAAAAATGATATTAATAACAATACAATTCACTAATTGTGAATTTTAAGCAGCAAAACTTTATAGAAGCCAAGACTGTAAGAAGAGAAGGATAAAGCTCTTTGTGATTTTTGTACATTTTCTAAACCAATTGGGTATGTGTATGTGTGTGCATGTGTGTGTATGTTTCATATATGATTTATTGTTCATGTAATAGAAACAACACAAATGAAAGGACATTAAAGTTAACAAGGAATAATGAAACTTTGCAAAAGGAGAAGAGAATTACCCGAGCACAGTCACCTTTCAATATGTCACTAACAAAACAAAAGGATGAATTGGATTTGCTTTTTTTCTATCTTCTCTGTGCTAGATGATTTAGTCTCCGATTGTCTCATTTATCATTTGTAGTGAAATGTTTTGGACCTAGGTTTCATTTCACAAAAATAATCATTCTCCTATGCAACATGTATTACTCAGTAAACAGGAACATACAGTCAAGGATGTCGATAGAGTGGTCATGTTTAGTAAACATGCTCTTTAAAGTCTGACTTCACGTGGAGGCTCGTCTGGAAATAAAACTCGTCAGAATCCCTCATGCTGGGCTCTTACATCGTCGGCTTTCCTCTCTAACCTTCTGTGCCATCATCCTAACATCAACTTACTCCTGCCCTTTCTTTGAGTCTTGCTCTCCTCCCATCTCCATGACTTCACTTCTCCTGCTCCTCTATCTAGGACCTGCCACACGCATCACCTTCTAAACATGATGGCACCTTCAAGAAGGGATCACAAGTTCGTGTAAAGTCTTTCAACTCCTAAACTCTGTCTAGAGTCTCCCGTGGCTTTTACAGTTTAACATGCATTTTTAACATACGTCACAGTTGTTGGGTTTGCTCATCTGTGAGACCACAAGTATTTCTTGTCCCTTACTTGTCATTATATAATGCTTGGCATTCATTATCAATACAGTTTTGATGGTTTTCTGTTAGATCCTTGTCTATACTGACAAAAATATGGTACCAAATAAATTTTGCAAAATTAAAATGTATTAGAATTCATTTTCCTTAGAGGTTAATAGTAGTATTGTAATGTAGGTAATAGGTAAGTGCCAGAGAAACTTCTGTTGATCTTTGAGCTTTATCTAGCACTTACTAATCCTATTAATAATCTCAAAAGCACCAAAGCATGTATTTGTTAGACAAAAAGGACACAAAGAAAGCAAGTAGGTGATAATTGAGGACTGAGAGTTCCAATTAGCACAACTGAGATTTTTCTAAAATTTTAAAAGGGCACAAATCTAACACTTGGAAAAATCTGGTGTAAGGGTGTTTTGGCTGTTATAAATTTGAGGAAAAATAAATGGCTAAACCAGCTGGAACTGGTTTATGCTTGTATGTCTGAGAACAAATGGCGTAGGAGTAGATGAGAGAAGCAAACTTTTTAAGTACCTATATGAAGATAAAAAGAAAACCTTCTTGTTTGAAGTTAAATAAAACTATCTTAACAAATAGTAAATTTAGGGCAAAAAAATTTAAAAAGAATAAAATAAGTCTTCATTTAAACATCATGCTTTGATTTTTTGGTTACATTCTATTTTGCTGGTGAATGAGAAAAACTCATCAATTTCCATAAAAAGTTTTATTTTTCTGCACAGTACGTAAAGCAGGATAACAAAATCATACGGAGATTGAAGCAACACATATCTAGGACTCCTGCCATGTGAAGTAGGAATAGATAAGAAATAATATTTATCTAACAATACTTTAACCAATAAATTTATTTAAATTAAATTGTTAGAATGTAGTATGGGGGCCTGAAAATGATTTCTTGAATCTTTGAGTTGTTCACATGAATCTATACTACTCAGTGGCTACTACTGAATTTTTTTGAAATTCAGAGAAGAAAAAATTCTTGATAATTCAGAAATATTAATAAAGACAATTTGTACTAAAAGTATATATCATGCAGTGTTCTGTTTACTCTGCATATAGTTATTTTCTTAATAAAAATATAAATATTAATATAGACATTTTAGAAAATATAGGCTAGCCAAAAATAAAAATTTATGCAATATTTTGACTAGAGTTAAACACTGTTAACTTTTTATAATACGTATTTGTGGTTATATATGTATATGTAAATCTATACATGCAGAGTTATTTTATTGCTAAAATCAATTGCTTTATTTAATGTATGATGATATAACTATTTCACATTAACTCCATATGGGAAACAGTATCTGCTTCACATGTTCTATTATCCAGTAGGCTGATTAACTATATGTTCTGACCAGGTAAAAAGTAGTAGTAACAAAATACATATTTTAACATATTTATATTAATGTTTAAATAAAATATAGAAGCTATCATCAAGACACAACTAAAAGGTTGATTTTTTTTGTGTTAATTTCAGTGCTGTTTGATTTGAGTCTCTGTGGAGGTGGGCACCATAACCTTTTCAGTGTCCAGAGTCTATGTTTTCAGTCGGCTTGTCCATAAGAAAAAAAAACCCAAACATTGGCAAGGGCAGGGCAGTATTGAAAGAACCTCCAAAAAATACTTATCAAACCAAGCCCATAAATACAAATTAACATAATTCGATTTCTATGTCACTGAATATACTTCTACAAAATTATTTTTAGGAATTGAATATATTTGTAGAGTTGATATATTATAGTTTATTGAACCAATACCTTCTTGCTGGATGTTCAGGTAGTTTACCATTATCAAGAAATCATTTCACAGGTTATCTTACTGCAATAAAGAATACATACTCTTTAACTTAGTACTGTCAGTTTCTTTCTTTCATCTCAACACATAACTCAAGCAATAAACGATTGCAAAGCTAGTCTTATTTTGAAAAGGAGAGTGCCGGTCTCTAACGGATTAAATCTAATAGCACTGCTCTTCCTCCCCTCTTATTGGACAAGGATGCCCTGAATGAGATATGAAAAAGGATAGCACTCACTTCATTATCAGCCATTGTTTTCATAAATGCCATTTAATATATGTTCATTTTATTAATGAAAGATCAGTAGCCCTCATATCTTCTTATTTTGACAGCTCATTTTAACATTGGTCCATCAAGATCACTTCTTAAGTCAGCACTGACTAATCATTTTTAATAAACATTAACTCCTTTTGTTCCTGTTCCATTATCATAATTTAAGAATATGTAATTGTTTTCCTAAATTTCTCTCCATAAAATATGTAATGTTGACAGCTAGAATTTTGTTAATGTGAAATTAGTTTGTCATCATACTAACAGTATGGTGATGAAGAAATTTTACAAAATATATTCTGCTTTAGAAATAAAACAGAAAAGACAATTGCCTGATGGTTGGCATGCAGTTAGGGAAGACAGTGGAAAGAGTTAAGAATAATAAAGAATCCAAAGAAGGACAGAAGAATCCAAAAGTAAAAAAAAAGAAAGACTTTTAGCTTGTACTATACTGGCAACAATTATATTTAGAAAAGATAAAAATAAAAGATAGTGGCCAGGCACAGTTGCTGATGCCTGTAATCCTGGCACTTTTGGAGGCCAAGGTGGGAGGATCACAAGGTCAAGAGATCGAGACCATCCTGGCCAACATGGTGAAACCCTGTCTCTACTAAAAAATACAAAAATTAGCTGGGCGTGGTAACACATGCCTGTCATCTCAGCTACTTGGGAGGCTGAGGCAGGAGAATTGCTTGAATCTGGGAGGCAAAGGTTGCGGTGAGCAGAGACCGCACCACTGCACTCCAGCCTGGCGACAGAGCGAGACTCCATTTTAAATAAATAAATAAATAAATAAATAAATAAATAAATAAATGAGATACTTATTTCTAGGAGAGTTAAATCCATTTTTTATTACAACAATAAATGTACAGCTCACATAAGGTGAGTGATTTGTTATATGGATATGACTACTCAACTCAAAAGGTCCTTGAACGTGTAAGAAATTAGCATGTGGCTCCCAGTGTTTCAATGATTATGCACGCTAACATTACAACTGTTAGGCAAAATATTACTTCTAAATCTTGCCCTCAAATTCCAGTAATGCTTTTATTATCTTAATCATTTCATGGGTGTCAAGGAGATCAATGGATTTCTATTAGCATCTAATGTGAACTCTAATATGAAAGAATTAGCATTAATACCCCAAATAGAGTCATATGTAATATGAAGACTCCTAAAACAGTTTACATCTATCACAGACCTATTAAATACTATAATTTCTAAGATTCACGCACAAGCATATAGACTATCTCTCACATGAACAAACACATATATATATACCTAGGTAGCCTCCCATCAGATATTAGTTCCATCTCGAATTTACATCTTGATGCTTACCAAAATTTTCTAGTTTTGTTAGTCATTGTAAGATAGATATAATGGTAGAAAAAATCTGCATTAACAATATAAATTTCAAGGACAGATTATATATTATTTTTAAATTTATAAAGAACATTTCTAATGATGGATGTTTTGCTATTAGTCCTGAAAGTAAGCAAACAAAATGTACTGGATGACTTATTTAACTATTGCATTCAATAAAATGTGCAAAATTAAAATTGTCTTTTAATTGCAACACACTGATAATTATATAACAATAAAGTGGCATCCATGCAATTATCTGAATAGTTTCTATTTTTTTAACACAAGCCCTGACAATATATCTCCATCAATAAACCTCACATATCCTAGAAGTTAGGACTGCAAGTTTGTTGAAACTGAGCTATGGTTGTAGTCAAAGATGTCACAAACATAACTGTACAGGTGAGTGGTTTTATTGAGAACTGGTCTTAAGTAAGGAGAAAAATATCACTGAGTTTGGGCACTGAATGGAAAACATCTCTTATTTTCAGAAACCCCTCACTTGGCTTGCACTTCCATAAACACTATTGGAAGCTACAGCTATGGGTTGCTGAGATTTTTTCTTGCCATGAAAAATGTTATGAACTCAAAAATAAATAGTAGATCTCACTTTAAATGTCCTTGCTGCAGTGAGGACTATGGTAAATCAAAACACGTAGAATATAAAGGCTTAGACTTAAAAAAAAAAAAAAGAAAAAAAAAGAAAATAGTAATTGCAGTTACGCACGCTTTAGATCGGAAGAAGGCAAGTTTCCTGGCAACATGAAGAGTAACACTCAGGGCAGACACTTTTAAACTCAAACTGCCCGAGGAAGGGCTCAGGTCAAGGAGAAAGAAGAAACTGATGACAGTGTTTTATAGTTATTATAAGGAAAAATGTACATATTTGAGATACACAGTTTTTGGTTATCAGGGCAGGAGTCTTTTCTGAAGTTGACAAAATGTGGGTATGCTGGAGTGTTTCCATGACTTTTATAATAGAATGGTGGCAGGGGCACTAGGATGATTTAAGCACTTGCTGCTTCTGTACACGTTGATTTAGCCTCTTCCATTGATTTAACTACGCGTGAAGTCAGAGAATGAAGCAGTGAATTCCATAGGTTTAGGGACTCATTTTTCTCCTCAGGGAGGCTGTATCAGGTTGTATGTTAATTATACATTAATTAATTAATGTTGCCGGTTGATTTCCACTAAAATTACATTCATGTTTAAATTTTTGAAACTAATTTTTGCCCATATTAAAAACTTTGCTATTTACTCTCCTTTAAATTTGTAATATTTCATCTCTTGTATCAATAATTATCTTGGGAAACTGGAGTTCAGGGATTATTCTTTTTCTTTATTGAACTACATTAAGTCAGACTTCTATAGATAACACAATATACATGGTCAATCCTTTCGTCAAAGGTCTGATATCTCAGAATATATTTTATTTTAGGAAAAACATCTAAACGTGTTATATACTCCTGTGCCATTAACTCTAATATATTCAAGAGAAAAATATTGTATGTTGACAATAATAAGATAGTCTAAAGGTCACAAGGTAACAACAATAAAAATATTATATTAATGGTTGTCCAAAGAATTCTGATTAAAATAAAAAATGAAAACATACAAAAAGCAGAGATTTACAACTTTTCTGTTTGACTCTAATAAATAAAACAAAATTATATTTTTTCAGTCTTTGCACACATTATTTGTAAATGTCCATAAATACAAAAGTAATGATTTTTTTTAAGCTACAAGGCATGTTTATGCAATATGACTATTGTATGAAACTTTACATTACAGAAACATATAGACTCATGGGTGTAACTCTTGACTAAGGAATGGTAGTGATGGCCTCTTTGGACATAAGTTAATTAACAATCGATTCATAAATATAGAATGCTTCTAAAGCTAGCGAAAGCCTGTCAATTTATAATTTGGGGGAGATTTTCTTGTCAGGTGCTTTGTAGTATCAATAATCCTGATAACACAGACTAAAAACATATAGAGAAAGAAACTGCTGTTCATCCTAGCACCTTCTGATGAAGTAACAGAAGATATCTGAAACACAGCTGATGAGTAAACTTAATATAAATGATAGTAATTGCTGCAATTTCTGTGTGGCAGGTAGTATAAAAGCAGCCAAAACAGACCAAATACATCATGCTAAAATTATTTCATAAACAAGGGTTCTCTGTTAGTAAATATCTGCTTGTCAGGAGGGGTGTCAGCATGCTAGAAGAAAATGTAACTGCCTCAACTTTCTTCTTTTCCAAGTGATAAAAGAAGGGCCGGGCGTGGTGGCTCATGCCTGTAATCCCAGCACTTTGGGAGGTCAAGGCAGGTGGATCACCTGAGGTCAGGAGTTCGAGACCAGCCTGGCCAACGTTGTGAAACCCCATCTCTACTAAAAATACAAAAATTAGCTGGGCGTGGTGGTGTGTGCCTGTGGCCCCAGCTACTCAGGAGGCTGAAGCAGGAGAATCCCTTGAACCTGGCAGGCGGAGGTTGCAGTGACCTAAAATTGCACCACTGCACTCCAGCCTGGGTGACAAGAGCAAAACTCCATCTCAAAAAAAAAAAAAAAAAAAAGAAGAAGAAGAAAATAAATTGCAAGACTACTGCTAATTTCTGTATATATGGCTTTTTTGTTGAAGTTGGGAACACATGTGTTACATCAAAGAAACTCCATGGCTCTCACATTATAATATGTGAATACAAATAACAATTTTTATGGTTATAATTCACTTTTGTTATATGTTTGAAAATGCTTTTCAATAAAGAGACAAATACAGCAACAGAAAGTTTAATGTTAGCTAATTATTATATAGTAATTAGTTTAAATTAGCAAGTATAAAGTAATTATAATTAGTAATTATAAAGTTGTGGTGTAAAGAAACTCAACAAAATTTAGAAGTTTTATAGGCTTATAAAAGCCAGATTACCTGTGTACCAGTTTTTAAAATAATATTAGCCATGAACAATCAACCATCTACATCTCTTTAATTTAAAACAACTTTTTATTAAACTTTTATGTATGGTTTCTTTAGTTATAATAAACAGTGGGAATAATATATATTCCATTTATCAATTTATTTAAACCTACAATGTGAGTGACTGAATTAAAATTCTGGCAAAAATTGAACATAAATATAAAATAAAATCGACACCATTTTTTGAATTCTCAGCAGAAACCTGAATAAATTAGCATTAAAATATAGTTTGAATTATTAAGACATTACAGAAGTAAAAATAAAGCACGTAATAAAAGTAGTTACATAAAGCCCAGTAGTCAGATACTCATTACCACATTTAATTGAACACAACAGGATCACTGGTGGGGCTGCCACAGGGAAATCTCGAAGACAAAAATATATGTCATTTGTACTCTCAAAATATTTTCGTATGCTATGTAAAGATTTTACATATTAGAAATGTTCAATTAAGCAAAAGATGAGATTTTTAAAAGAGACGTTAAGCTTCATCATTTAATGTGTCATTAATGAACACCTGTGATGTTTCCTGAAAATGAAACTTAATAACCTGCTACTCAGAGTGGTTGGAGTCTCTCTGTTGTCTCTTCGTTTTGTTTAATGGCAAATTTGGCCTGAGGGTAGTTATGCTAGAGCTGCAGAGAAGCTTGAGAGCTACATGAAAAAGAAGCAGAGGAGGCACTTTGTGACAATCCTGGGACAGATATGTGGAGGGGTGATGTTGCCCAGTTCCTAGAAGTGCTTATACCTTATTCTCATTTTTTCTCAAGTGTTTTCTCCTAAGGGATAGACACTCACATGTTCTATCACAAAGTTATAATAGTCACCTCTGCTGTGTTCATATATAGCAGCGGCTCCCTTTTTGGCACCAGGGCTCAGTTTCATGGAAGACAATTTTTCCACCCGGGAAGGGGGATGGTTTGGGGATGAAACTGTTCCACCTCAGATCATCAGGCATTAGTTAGATTCTCATAAGGACGGCTCAACCTAGATCGCCGGCATGCACAGTTCACAATAGGGCTTGTGCTCCAGTGAGAATCTAATGCCACCGCTGATCTAACAGGAGGTGGAGCTCAGGCAGTAATGCTTGCTGGCCCGCCACTCACGTTCTGCTGTGTGTCCAGGTTTCTTAACAGGGCGGGGACTGGTACAAGTCCGCAGCCTGGGAGTTGTGGACCCCTGATAAATAGTTATCCTCATTTCATGTATGGGAAAACAAAGGTGGAGAGAACTTGCTTCCCTTCTCAAAGGTCAAAAACCCGATAAGCTAAGCAGTAGAGATTCAAATCCACAAAACCTGGCACCAGAGCCAGGACAATTTTTAGTATATTATTTTGTATCTGCAAGAGCAAGAAACACAGATGTTTTACACAGATTTGTTCATTAAGCAGGTATGTTTTTCTCTCCAAGAAAAACTTTCAGCCAGAGCAACTCTTCCTTTAAATACTGTAAATTGCCCAGGAATGGTGGCTTATGCCTACAATCCCAGTACTTTGGGAGACCGAGGAAGGAGGATCCCTTGAGGCCACAGAGCGAGACTGCTCTATATTAAAAAAAAAAAAAAATGAATAAGAAATACTTTAAATGCTTCTGAGAGAAGTTTTTACTTGTCAAAGAGAAATTGAAGATCTAACATTTTATATTTTCTCAAAGCTTGATTGGTCTTTATAGTGTAACGAGAATGTTTCTAAAAATTCTGGTATGTGTAAAGAACAATTTTTAATTAAAATAACTATTTAGGCCAGGTATGGTGGCTCATGTCTGTGATTCCAGCATTTTGGGAGGTCAAGGCGGGCAGATCACCTGAGCTCTGGAGTTTGAGACCAGCCTGACCAATATGGTGACACCCTGCCTCTACTAAAAATATGAAAATTAGGGGGGTGTGGTGGCGTACACCTGTAATCCCAGCTACTCCGGAGGCTGAGGCAGGAGAATCGCTTGAACCCAGGAGGCAGAGGTTGCAGTGAGCCGAGATCGTGCCACTGCATTCCAGCCTGGGCTACAGAGCAAGACTCCATCTCAAAGAAAAAAAAAACTGTTTAAAATTTTTTGAGTTAAAAAGTTGATTAGCATTATCTTAGTTTATTTTTCTCATTAGTGTGTCCTTTCAATCGATATTGGAAATCAGCTGGAAAAGGAACTTATTTTAGTTCCTTTAAGGCTTTGTAGAGTGAAATTCTTGAAACCATTACATATCCCTCTGTCTAGTAATAGGCCTGATTAGTCAGTACAAAATCCTTTCTATGTGTTTGGCAAAACAAAGTTCACAAATAAACAGTAGTAAGAGATCAGTTGTTTAGAAATTATGTTTGTCATCTTACAAACACTCCCAATGTCACCCAATGTCACCAGAAGCTTCTTAGTTGCTGCTATGGTTAGAATGTGTCCCTCCAAAATTCAGATGTTGAAATGTAATGGCCAATTTGATGGTAATAACAGGGGCCTGCCTTTAAGAGGTAATCAAGTCATAAAGCCTCTTCCACTTGTGAATGAAATTAAAGCCCTTATGAAGGAGGCTTCTGAGCCAGGCACGGTGGCTCACACCTGTAATTTCAGCTCCTCCAGAGGCTGAGGTGAGAGGATTGCTTGAGCCCAAGAGTTCAAGGCTGCAGTGAGTTATGATCATGACACGGACTTTCAGCTCTGGGCAACAGAGCAAGACCCCATCTCTATTAAAAATAAAAAGTAAAAGAATAGAAGTGGCTCCTCACAGTGTTCATCCCTCTTGCTCTTCTTCTTTCTGCAAGGTGAGGACACAGCGTTCCTCTCCTCACAAAGACACTCTTCAAGGAACTGTCTTGAAAGCAGAGACCAGACCCTCACCAGAGAGCAGAACTGTGAGAAATAAATTTCTATTCCTTATAAATTATTCAGTCTGTGGTATTTTGTTATAGCAGCACACATGGACCAAGACAGTTGCCCACATCCACAATGATATTGAGCTTATTGAAATTTGAGTATGATGGTTCTCATTTACCTAGTCTATAAATTAGTTTTTAAACACTGAAGTAATGTAACTCATTTAAAGTGTAAATAACATTGACTTGATTTAATACAATTAACCACTGTTCTTCTCTATTTTTTTTCATAAGAGTGCCTTAACTCACTGTATGACTTGTTTAGGAATGCCAAGATTTCTGATTTACATGTCCTGTTTGTAATCAAAGCTCCTAGGAGCCTCAATGTAAAGTCTTTTTGCATTTTATCTTATCTGTGTTTAAATATAACACTATTAATTAAAGCTTTTTTGCTTTTTGCCTCTCATTTGAACAAAATATCGCATTTTACGTCATACTTAGTTATATTTATTATTTTCTGGAAATACAGTAGTCCCCCCTTATCCATGAGGGATATGTATCAAGACCTCCAGTTGATATCCAAAACCATAGGTAACACTGAATTTTGTATAAACTATGCTTTTCTATCTGATAACTGAGATGACTACTAAGTGGCTATTGGGCAAGTAGCACATGCTGCGTAGACATGCTGGACAAAGGGATGATTCACATCCTGGGCAGGACTGAGCAAGTAGGTGTGAGATTTTATCATGCTACTCAGAGTGGTACATAATTTAAAACTTATCAATTGTTTATTTCTGAAATTTTCCATTTAATATTTTCAGACTGCCAATGACTGTGGGTAACTGAAAGTGCAGAGAACACAAGCATGAGTAAGGGAGCATTACTGTAACATGGTTTTTGTTCTGTTAATTAAAGTTTAAACAGTCCATAGTGGCTCTATTTCATAAACAATCCATGGTAACCCAAGAGTATGTTAAAAGCATCAATTGCAAACATAGCTATTAGATTACAACGTTTGAAAAATAAGTCAATTTTTAAAATATTAAACAATAGGCCCCTAAAATATTTTATGTTATTTTCTTTGGGTTAAAAAAGTAATGACCTTTATTTTGCTAAAGGAAATTTAAATAATAAGAAAAAAATTTAAATAGCAGAAATTGTTCCATTGAGTTTTTTTGCATTCAACTACAATACAAATGTGAGAAAGTATATCATTCATCACTTCCAAGCAATCTGTTATACAGTGTGGATCTGTCGCTAAATTAAATTCAAATGGTCAAATGGGAACATAAAGGTATCATTTTTAAAGAAAAACTAGCAACTGTTATTTTTTAAAATCATGAACTAAAGGAAGCTTCTTTTTTAGTAATACCTTAGTTTTATTGTCCTCCAGCAGCCCTTTACTCAACTAATTCGATATATTACAGTAAGAAAATATTAAGCATATAAAAAGCTATGTATCCACCATCTGGGTTTGTCAAATATTGTTACTTAAGTCATATTTGTTCTACATACTTTCTTTTATTGATTAAGAAATAAAACTTAAAATGAAGCTGAAGACTGAAGCCATGTAGTTCTCTATGATTTTATTTACCTCCTACCTTCTTCAGATGCAGCCAATACACTGAGCTTGGATTTTAGCTTAACTTATGTGTTATATACATCTACTCATTTTATTTCAATTACTACATAAACAGAACTTATTACAATTTTCAACTTAACTTTTATTTACATTCACGACTTAATTTCTAACCTTTTAATAAATATGCATTCCCATAATTTCTGCAATAAATCTTGGAAGCATTTGACCATTCATTAATCTTTGGAAAGAACAAAATTACTGATTTGTTAAAATGCACCACTGAGTACTTTTTTTTCCTACATCAATGATTTCTAGTCTTACTTTAATTATATCTTTCTTTTTCTCTTTTTTTCTGCTGTTATTTTTAAAACATTTTGAATTAGACATAGTTAATAAATTTTATCCTAGTTGGGAAACATTTAATAAATTAATTATTACTAAATGTGTCAGAAAAACATTTAAATATGTATTAAAATATGAAGTAGGTAGAGATGTCTTATTCCATACAATCCTAAAGAATTTCATGTGAACACAAACTAAAATGTAGGTCATAGTTCCTGAAATTACGTCTTGTCTAATATAATCATATAGCATACATTTCTGAATTTTAAATTCGGAGGATGATTTTAAAAAACTAACTTTAAGCTATTAGAAATATTAGGAATTGGAAAAACCAAGAAAATAAAGTTCACCAAAAATATAGATATAGATATAGATATAGCACAGCTTTTCTGGTTGCTTATTTTTAAATGGCTAATAATATAGATCATGATTTCATTTTTTGGGAGGATGTCATGTAAGTATGGTACCCGCTACCCCCGAAGCAGGTTGCTAACACTAAATACAGTGTGCATAAAATTAGATATCCTACATAGGAGGCAAGTTATTTCCTCAAATTTTTTTCTCATCAATATTATGGTTTTAGTACTAGGACAAGGGCATCTTTTTTAACAGATGAATATGAATTCCAGAAATTACTCTTATGGGGAGTGGATACACTAATATAGCAAATTACAATTTAGTTGAAGCAGATAAAATGCTAATGCCAAATCTCAGTGAAATAATCTAGGTTTCATTTGAAAAAACCTCCTTTTGAATATGTAATGTCTCTTGGATGTTGAAGTAAATACCTTACCAAGGTTACTCTAATTTTCTAAATAACTTTCCTAATAAATGTCTTTATTCTTCCACAAAAATACTTTCTGTGGCATATATGTAAACTTTATCTTACACTAAAAGAACCACCAAAATGAAGATTAGCAACTTTGAAGTGTCAACTAGAATTGATTCAAATATTCAAAGCACTAGAGCATTGCGTTCTATGATTTTAAATTGACCAATGTATGGTATTTCTAAAACGAAAAAATAGCAACAACAGCAGACAGATGCTCCATCTACATTAAACTCTCCTACTGTACTCACAAGTCTTAGAGCCAAGTGGCTGAGCTCATGAGCTCTGGAATAAGCAAAACTGGGGCTAAGTACTATATTGGGATGTTAAAATAGGATGTATCTGTTAAAAATGGTGATAACAAAGTAACACTTGGATTTGTTAGGAGAAGTAAAAAACAGAGCACATCAAAATGGTGCCTATTTTGATCGTATCCAACATGCAAGTGAGTAACTATACTTTGTGATGAAAGGTATGACTGCTTTAAAAGAGGTACATTTGTATTAGATTGTGGAGTGGAAATGTATTTGAGAGGAAAGTAATATTTATGGTAAAGATGAAGTTTGAAGAACAAATATAAGTTGTTTGAAAATGTCTCAGAAGGAGGATACAGCATGAGCAAAAAAACAGAGGCAGGATAGTTAAAACAATGTTCAGTAATAGGAAGAACATTTTAGTTTATAAAAACTGAAGGAAATGTAGACTTGGCAGAAGAAGGTGAAGAGACAGGGGACAAGATCATGGACTGCTTAGAGAGGATTTGAAGAAATAATTACCAATATATCCCAAATTTGATTAAAAATCAATCTACATATACAAGAAACTCAGTGAATTATAAGTAAGAAAAACTCAAAAAGCCACATTTAGACACATCATATACAAACTGTCAAAGGCAAAGACAAAAAGAGAAGATAGAAAGCAGCAAGAGAAAAATGACTCATTGGGTATAAGGTATCTTCAATAAGATTAACAGTTGACTTCTAATCCAAAAGGACAGAGTTCAGGAGGTAGCAGCATATTCAAAGTGTAAGAAGTCAACCAAAAAGTTTATATTCAGAAAATCAATTTTTCAAAAAGGAAAGAGAAAATAAAACATTCTCAGATAAACAAAAACTTAGTGATTTCATTTCTGTCATATCTGTACTACAGAAAATACCAAAGAAAGAAACCTTAGGCTGAAATGAAAAGACAATAGATAAAAACATTACTTCACAGGAAGAAATAAAAGGGACTATTATTAAAGATTACTACATAGGTGCTATGAATTACATGTTTGTGTACACTCTGCTCCAAATTTCTATGTTGAAACCATACTCCCATAGAAGGTTATTTGGAGGTGGGCCCTTTGGGAGGTAATAAAATTATGAGGGTGGGGCCCTCAGGATGGTATTAGTACCTGTGATCATTAATTTTGGCTGTCACCTTGACTGGATTGAAGTATACACAGATAGCTGGTAAAATATTAATTATTCTTAATGCTTCAATAGGCATTGAGCCTGTCTCTCCTCTGCTGAAAAGGAAACTCAGATGGTTTGGCATTTGATTGGAATGGTTGGGCTTCTCCAGGTGTACCTATGAGGGTATTTCTGGAGTAGATTGGCCTTTGAGTTGGTAGGTTGAGTGGCAAAGATCTGCCTTCAATGTGGGTAGAAACTATCCAATTGGCTGGGGGCAAGCTTGGAACCAAAAAGCAGAGGGTAAATTTTTCTCCCTCTTCTGAAAATGGGACACCCTTCTCCTGTCTGTGGATGTCAGAACTCCAGATTCTCCAGCCTTTGGACTCTGAAACTTGAACCAGCAGTTGAGTTACTCCATTGGCTTCCCTGGTTCTGAGGCTTTCAGACTTAGGCTGAGCCATGATGCTTACTTCTCTGGTTCTCCAGCTTGCAGCTTATCATGGAACTTCTCAATCTACATAATTGAGTGAGAGAATTGCCCTAATAAATCCCTTCTCACCTCTCTCTCTCTTTCTCGCTCTCACTTTCCCTCTCTTATTAGTTCTGTCTCTCTGCAGAATGATTATAACAATACTCTCATGAAGAGACAAGAGAGAGCTTGCTTCCTCTCTCTCTGCCCTCTACCATGTGAGGGTACAATGAGAAGATGGTCATCTTAAAACCAGGGAAAGTGTCCTTACCAGACACCAGATCTGCCAGTACTTTGATCTTGGACTTTCCAGACTCCAGAGCTGTGCAAAAAAATATGTGTGCTCTTTAGGCCACTCAGTGTATGTATTTTTGTTATAGCAGCCTGAATTGACTAAGGCAATAGGTAAATATAAAAATTATTATTAATGTATTTTTGTAAATTTTTTCTTCTCCTATCTGATTTAAAAGGCATTGAATAAAGCTATAACTATAAAACTGTGTTTTTCAGCTTATAATGAATAAAGATACAATTTGGGATTAAATAATAGCATAAAGCAGGAGTACATAGAACAAAGCTCTTTTATAGCAAATTTTTGTATAATATTGACTTTAGTTGACATTAACGTGAACTAGATTGCTTTAAGTTAATTGTAATTTCTACTATAATCTTTAGAAAAATATATATATGTGTGTGTGTGTATAAACAATAAATGTAATAAATAGTACACTTGAAAATATGTATATGTAACCGAAGAAAAAACAGTAATGGAAGAATAGAAGAACAAAGAAGCAAAAGACATGGTAAAAATAAATAATGTACAAATTCTATCTTACCAGTAATTACATTAAAAGTCAATTAAGTAATTAAGTAAAACTCCAATGAAAAGGAAGACATTGGAAGAATGGATTTTATAAAAATGATCCAATGATATTTTGTCCACAAGATTCAAAGACATAATAGGTTGACAGTAAAAAGACAAAAATGAGATATACTATACAAACAGTAACTAAGAGCTGTTATCAATATTTTAAAAAATAGATTGTAAAACAAAAATTGATATAAAAGCAAAACATATATATATTTTATAATGAAAAAAGGGTCAATTATTCAGCAATACATAACAAGTATAAATACATGTGAACCACAGGAAAAAGTCTCAAAGTACACACAGCAAAAACTAAGAAAACTGAAAGACTAATTGATAATTCAGTGATAAATATTGAAGATTTCAATGTTGCACTTTCAACAATGAATAGAACAACTAGGCAGGAGATCATGAAGAAAACAGAAGACTTAAACAGCACTAGAAACCACGTATAACCATAATCTATAGAATACGCAATCATAGCAGAATATATTAAGACATTTTTGTCAGGTACTCATGAGTTCCTTGATAAACCATATGCTAGTCTATAAAACATACCTCGATAAATTTAAAAGGTATTAAATTGTTCATCATCTCTTCTTGAAACAAAATTAAAAACAAAAATCAATAACAGAAGAATAATTAGAAAATTGAAACGTATGAAAATTAAAGAACACACTTCTAAATAACCAATGGGTAAAAAAAAAAAAACAAAAAAACAAAACAACAACAAAAACGAAACAAAACACACACACACACACACACACACAAAATTACAACATAACATAATTGAAATGAATGAAAGTAAAAACCCAACACAACAAACCTTAGCCAGTCACAGTGGCCCATGTCTATAATTTCAGTTACTCAGAGGCTGAAACAGAAGGAACAATTGAGCCCAGGAGTTCAGGGTTAGGCTGGGAAACATAATAAGGCCCTGTCTCTAATAAAACGAACAAACAAACCTTTTGGGATGCAGCTAAAGCATTCTTTAAAGGGAAATTTATGTCTGTAAACGCCAGTATAAAGCAAGAAGAATTTCAAATCAATAACCTAACCTTCCATCTAAAGAAATTAGGAAAAGTAAAAATGCAAACAACACAAAGCAATGAGAAAGAAGGTAATAATAGTATTAAGGGTAGAAATTAATGAATAGACAGTAGAAAAAAAAACAATAAAGAAAACTAACAAAACCAAAACTTTAACAAAATTGCCAGACTTTTAGCTAGACAAAACAAGATGAAGTGAGAGAAAATGTAAATTACAAATCAGGAATGAAGAAAGCAACATTGTTATTGGCCTTAGAGAAATTTAAAAAAAAATTAAGAGGGAATACTATGAACTACTGTGGTCCCACAAATTAGATAACCTAGATTAAAAGGACAAATTTTTAGATACAACACAAACTACCAAAGCTGACTCAAGGATAAATAAAAAATCTGGAAAGATCTATAACAAGTAAAGAGATTGAAACAGTAATTAGGAAAACTACCCACAAAGAAAAGTTTGGGCCCTACTTCACTTCACCTGCTTCACTGATGAACTCTATCAAACATTTAATTAATACCAGTTTTTAACAAATTCTTGCAAAAAGTAGAAGAGGAAGGAACACTTTCAACTTATTCTGTGTATTACCTTGATACCAAAACCAGACAACTATCACAAGAAAAGAAAACTATACATTAACATCTCTAATAAATACACAAATAAAAATCCTCAACAAAATACTAACAAACCAAATGCAGACCCATATTAAATGAATTATACTCCATTAACTAGTGGTTACTACACTAGGAATGCAAGGTTGATATAACATCCAAAAATCAATCAGGATAACACATCATATTAATAAAGGACAAAAATCACATAAGCATTTTCATAGAAGTAGAAAAGTATTTGACAAATCCATCATCCTTACATGATAAGAGCTTTCAAGAAAAATAAGAATAGAAGGGAACTCCTGAACCCGATGAAAAGCATCTACCAAATAGAAGGGAACTTCCTAAACTTGATTATCCACAGCTAATATCACACTTAAGCAGGAAAGACTACATGCTTTCAATCTTAGATCAGAAACAGGATAAGGATGTCTGCTCTCACCTTTTTATTCAACATTGTCCTGTAGATTCTAACCAGGACAATTATGCAAGCAAAGGAAGTAAGTATTCAGATTGGAAAGAGGCAAAATCGTGACGACTCACAGATGGCATGCTCTTGTATATAGAGAATCCTGAGAATTTCACACAAAAATTAGAACTAATAATTCCAGCAAGATTGCAGAATTCAAAGTCAATATCCAAAATCAATTGGATGTCTATACATTAGTAATGAAAAGTCTAAAAATGAAATGAAGAAAACAATTTTATTTATAATAGCACAAAAAACAATCACTTATAAATAAGTGTAACAAAAGTTCAATAATTGTACATTGAAGACTACAAATTTTGTTGAAAAAAGTTACAGAAAATCTAAAAAAAATGAAAAGAACTGGAAGACAATATTGTTAAGATGGCAATACTCTCCAATTTGGTACACGGATTCAATGCAATGTCTACCAAAAAAATCAATTACCTTTTTCTAAAAAAATTGACAAGCTGATCCTAAAATATACATGAGAATGTAATGGCTCCAGAATAGTCAAAGTAACACTTAAAAAGAATATCAAAGTTGGAAGATTAATACTTCCTGATAATGAGATTTATTACAGAACTATAATAATACAGTGTGTACTACATAAGAACAGACAAATAAATAGAATTGAGCATCCAGAAATATAGCTTACATTTATGATCGTTTGATTTTAGATTTGAATTCCAAAAATATTTAATGGGGAAAAAACAGTCCTTTAAAAATTGTGTGAAAATAGTCTTCACAATTGCCTTTTCAACCCAATTATGGGTTGAAAAGAATAGTCTTTTCAAAGTTCTTCAGGCAAAGAATTTATTTGGACCCCCTATTTCACACAATAGGCAAAAATGAACCTAAATTGGATTTAAATCTAAGTGTAAAAGCCAAAATTACAAAACTTTTAGAAGAGAGAACATACGGGAAACTTTGCATGACGTTTTGTTAAGCAATGGTTTTTTAGACATAACACCAAAAGTATGAGACAAAAACATCTAGGAAATTGAACTTTATCAAAATTTTAAAATTAGTGTATCAAAGGACACATAAAGAAATGAAGAAACAATGCACACAATAGAAGAATATGCTTACAAATTATATATTTGATACATTACTTGCACTCAGAATATATTAAGATTTATTACAACTCAACAATGAAAGAAGAAATTAAAAAATAGGCAAAAGGCTGGAGTACATATTTCTCCCAAGAAAGACAAAAGACTGACAAGTACATAAAACGATGCTCAACATCATTATTCATTAGGTAAATATAAATCAAAACCTCAATGAAATACTACCTCACACCTAATAGAATAACCAAACTTAAAAAAAAAAAAAGACAATATTGGCTGGGCGTGGTGGCTCACTCTTGTAATCCCAGCACTTTGGGAGGCCAAGGCAGGTGGATCACCTGAAGTTAGGAGCTCCAGACCAGCCTTGCCAAAATGGTGAAACCCCTGTCTCTACTAAAACTCCAAAAATTAGCCAGGCATGGTGATTGGCCTGTAGTCCCAGCTACTTGGGAGCCTGAGGCAGGAGAATTGCTTGAACCCAGGAGGTGGAAGTTGCAGTGAGCCAAGATCGTGCCATTGCACTCCAGCCTGGGCAACAAGAGCGAAACTCCATCTCAAACAAACAAAATATCCAGTGTAGATGAAGACATGGAAAAAAATGAAAATTCTCATAAATTTCTGGTTTTAAAATGAAGCAGCCATTTTGCAAAGTTGTTTGGCAGGTCCTCAAAATATTACACATTGTTTTTTGTGCTATCATAAATAAAATGATTTTCTTCATACCATACACTGCAGCAATTTGACTCCTAAGTATACACTCAAGTGGAATAAACATATCTGTCTTTATAATCACTGACACATCAATGTTCATATTTGCATTATTGATAATAGTCAAAAAGTGGAAACAATCTAAATGTCCATCAACTGATGAATCAATAAACACAGATGTGATATATCCATATAATATTTCATTATTGTTATAGCTCATAAAAAGGAATTAAATATTGATACATGCTACAAAATGAACAAGCCTCAGAATAATATAATAAAGGAAAAAAGCAAGCCACAGATGACTACATATTTAATTATTCTATTTATATAAAATCTCCAGAACAGGCAAATCTGAAGAGAAAGAAGGTAGATTACTGGTTACCAGAAAACTGGGAGTAGGGAGGAATGGGAGTGACTGCTCTTGGGTGTGGGGTTCCTTTTGGGGGTGATGAAACTATTATAAGATTGGATAGTGATGATGGTTGCACAATTCCATCAATATTCTAAAAACCACTGAATTGTACACTTTAATATGGTCAATTTCATGCTAGGTGAATTATATACCAATAAGCCTTTCATTACAAAAAGTAAAAAGGAAATAGCTTTAAAGGAAATAATCATTTGTTTCATCCAAAGCATAGGTCTTAACTTCTTTGTCCAAAATTCTGACAGAAAATAACAAATAATAAAAAGTAAGTATAATCTTCACAGGAATTTTTAAAGGTTTATTCCACCTCACTCTATTGTTTTGTTACAATGCCTTCAGCAAATTGCAGGAATTCATAAAGCTTGCCTGATAGAGGGCAGCTGAATAAAATTTACAGTTCAAAGTATGACAGGAGCACAAACTGTTAAAATAACATTCAGATTTATCAGATTATCTCTTTAATTTAACTGTTATAAAAATAAATTTATTTTCACACAGTACAAAATTTATTCTCATTATCATTCTATTGCAAAAAGGAAAAGGAATAAACAATCTGACAAGCTGAAAATCAGCAAAACAACTGAAATTACTTTAAGGATAAGATGTTCTAAATGTCTATTGTAATAAACAAAACAAAACAATTGAATATGACTGTAGTAGAGTGTCTCTTCTCTTTCGTGGTAAATTATATGGAATATGTTTTCAGATTTCAATTACATTTTTAAAGCTTTAAGGAAAGAGTTCTTCTTTGTGGTTCTGAAATACCATTAAAATAGATTACTTATGTTAATTGATGCATATTAAACAGTGACAATCGTTCTTTCTTTCCCTACTAAAGTGTACATCTTTGTACATTGAAAACAAGGATATATAAACTAGAAGTTAGAGACCAGAGACCCAACTCAGGACCTGACAAGATGGCTGGGCTGCCCAGCAGGATCGTCAAGGAAACCCAGCTTTTGCTGGCAGAACCAGTTCCTGGCCTCAAAGCAGAACCATATGAGAGCAACATCCATTATTTTCATGTGGTCATTGCCAGTCCCTGGGATTCCCACTGTGAGGGAGGGACTTTTAAACTTGGACTATTTCTTCCAGAAGAATACCCAATGGCAGCCCCTAAAGTGCGTTTTATGACCAAAATTTGTCATCCTAATGTAGACAAGTTGGGGAGAATACGTTAAGATATTTTGAAAGGTAAGTGGTCCCCAGCCCTGCAGATCCGCACAGTTCTGCTACGGATCCAGGCCTTGTTAAGTGCTCCAAATCCAGATGATCCATTAGCAAATGATGCAGAGGAGCAGTGGAAACACCAACGAAGCCCAAGCCATATAAACAGCTAGAGCAGGGACTAGGCTATATGCCATGAATAATATTTAAATTGATCCGATCATCAAGTATGCATCACTTCTCCTGTTCTGCCAAGACTTCTTTCTTTTGGTTTACATTTAATGGACAAGGTCTTAGAAACACTACAGAATAAAAGCCCAGACTTCTTCAGTCCTTTGGTGATTAAATGCACATTAGCAAATCTATGTTTTGTTCTGATTCACTGTCAAAAAGTATGAGCAGAGGCTAGAAGTATCGTCTGGACTGTTGGGAAACGTTTAAAAGCAGTGGCCCCTCTCTGCTTTTATTCATTTCCCCAAGCCTGGTTTAAGTGTAAAGCACTGTGAATGAAGGTAGTTGTCAGGTTAGCTCCAGGGGCGTGGGTGTTTTTATTTATTTTATTTTATTTTATTTTATTTTATTTTTTTCAGGGGGGAGGTAGTTTTATTTTAATTTATGAGCTCCTTTCCCACCTTTTTTTGGTGATCTAATTGCATTGATTAAAAGCAGCTAACCCGTTCTTTTTTTTTTTTTTTTTTTTTGAGACGGAGTCTCGCTCTGTCGCCCAGGCCGGACTGCGGACTGCAGTGGCGCAATCTCGGCTCACTGCAAGCTCCGCTTCCCGGGTTCACGCCATTCTCCTGCCTCAGCCTCCCAAGTAGCTGGGACTACAGGCGCCCGCCACCGTGCCCGGCTAATTTTTTGTATTGTTAGTAGAGACGGGGTTTCACCTTGTTAGCCAGGATGGTCTCGATCTCCTGACCTCATGATCCACCCGCCTCGGCCTCCCAAAGTGCTGGGATTACAGGCGTGAGCCACCGCGCCCGGCCTAACCTGTTCTTTAGAATATGTTCCCTAGCCAAGTCTAACTTTATTTAGATGCTGTAGATGGACAAGCTTGATTGTTTGAACCAGAATGGGAACATTAAACAAACATCACAGCTCTCAATAATAACACTGTGACTTTGCTGTCAAGTATAGATTCTCCCCTTCAGAAAAAGCTTGTGACCATTTTGTATGGCTTGTCTGGAAACTTCTGTAAGTCTTATGTTTTAGTAAAATGTTTTTTGTTATAAAAATAAATGAAAATGAAAATAAACTAAAAGACTAAATTCTACCAGAATAATATATATCTTAGACTTATTCCTTCTGGTGTTGAATATTGAAAGGATTTACATAAAATCTTGAACATAAAACACTTAATAAAATTAACTTCTATAATCATTTTCATAAAAATAAAATATAATCAATCTCATCCAGTTTTTAATGTACAGTCTCTCAAAAATATATTTCTCAAAAATTTTGGCTTATAATGGATACATGTTATAAATCAAGGTATATACACTATATTTCTTCACATTGTATATTATTAATAATTTATGATATTACTCAGCATTAAAGTTCTAGGATAAAAAAACTTCTAGAGTAGTAACTATAAATTATAATAATCTTTATTCATCTGAATATATATCAATTTTTTTTAAAAAACAACAAAACCAAACATCTTTCTAATTTATCTCAAAGTATGGTTAATTCGAATTCCATCAAATCACTGGTATTTCAATAATCACGTGTTTAGTTTCCTGTATTTTTAAGATAAATACACAATTAGTGTTATCGAATTAATTAACATTAATTTTGTGCTTAACTGTTTCCAGATTAAACAAGTAATATCTTTTCACCTTCCCAGCAACCTTTCTGATGCTGGTAATGTTATTATATTTCATTTCCTGAACATGGAAATAGAGGCTGAAGCAAGGTCCTTTTTCCTTGAATCGGCTTCCCTGCTTTCAAGCATCAGGGTCTATTCCTGAGGATTCTACTCAGGCTCTGGAACTGCCAAGTGTTGCTTTCACACGCAACAAGGACTTATTTAAGAACTATAACTTCAATATTAGAACTCTGTATCAGAATATCATATAGCAGATAACTCGGGCGGCTCTTTTGGTTAAAGGTGACTGGAAAAGTATGATAGTCACAGTGAGAGGTGACAACGTGCTGGCAGCCCTCACTCGCTCTTGGTGCCTGCTTAGCGGCCTCAGCATCCACTCTGGCCATGCTTGAGGAGCCCTTCAGCCTGCCGCTGCACTGTGGAAGCCCCTCTCTGGGCTGGCCGAGGCCAGAGCCAGCTCCCTCTGCTTGTGGGGAGGTGTGGAGGAAGAGGCATGGGGGGGGGGATCTGGTGCTGCGTGCAGCGCTCGCGGGCCAGCGTGAATTCTGGGTGGGTGTGGGCTCAGCAGGCCCCGCACTCAGAGCGGCCAGCCTGTGCAGCCAGCCCTGGGCAGTGAGGGGCTTAGCACCTGGGCCAGCGTCTGCGGAGGGTGCACCAGGTACCCCAGCACTGCCAGCCTACCCGTGCCGCACTAGAATTCTTGCCAGGCCTCAGCTGCCTCCCTGTGGGGCAGGGCTTGGGACCTGCAGCCCACCATGACCGAGCTCCCCCACAACCGGTGGGCTCCCGTGTGGCCCGAGCCTCCCTGATGGGCACCGGCCCCTGCTCCACGGCACCCAGTCCCATCGACTGCCCAAGGGCTGAGGACTGCGGGCGCACTGAGTGGGACTGGTGGGCAGCTCCGCCCATGGCCCCAGCACGGGATCTGCTAGGCGAAGCCAGCTGGGCTCCTGAGTCAGGTGGGGACTTGGAGAACTTTTATGTCTAGCTAAAGGATTGTGAACGCACCAATCAGCACTCTGTGTCTAGCTAAAGGTTTGTAAACACACCAATCAGCACTCTGTATCTAGCTAATCTGGTGGGGACCTGGAGAACTTTTATGTCTAGCTAGAGGATTGTAAATGCATCAATCAGCACTCTGTGTCTAGCTCAGGGATTGTAAACGCACCAATCAGCACTCTGTCAAAACATACCAATCAGCTCTCTATAAAACAGACCAACTAGCTCTCTGTAAAATGGACCAATCAGCTCTCCGTAAAATGGACCAATCAACAGGATGTGTTTGGGGCCAGATAAGGGAATAAACGCAGGCTGCCCGAGCCAGCAGTGGCAACCCACTTGGGTCCCCTTCCACACTGTGGAAGCTTTGTTCTTTCGCTCTTCACAATAAATCTTGCTGCTGCTCACCCTTTTGGTCTGCGCTGCCTTTATGAGCTGTAACACTCACCACGAAGGTCTCCAGCTTCACTCCTGAAGCCAGCGAGACCATGAACCCAACAGAAGGAAGAAACAACACATCTGAACATCTGAAGGAACAAACTCCAGACACACCATCTTTAAGAACTGTAATACTTATCACGAGGGTCTGCGGCTTCATTCTTGAAGTCAGTGAGACCAAGAACACACCAATTCCAGATACATTTTGGCAACCACGAAGAGACTATTGCCTATCGCCAAGCGGTGAGACAACTGCCTGTCACCAAGCGGTGAGACCATCACCTATCGCCAAGCGGTGAGTACCATCGGACCCCTTTTGCTTGCTATTCTGTCCTATTTTTTCTTAGAATTCAGGGGCTAAATACCAGGCACAGTTAAAAGCGACTAGCGTGGCTGCCAGACTGAAGACACAGGTGTCAGGCTTTCTGAGAAAGGGCTGTCTAACAACCCCTGACTCTTCGGAGTTGGGAGCGTTGGTTTGCCTGGAACCAGCTTCCACTTTTCCTGTTTTCCTGGGCTGAGTCGAGGGTCGACAGAGAGGAAAGCCATTCAGCTCCGGGGTGCCGACAACAAGTTGGTTGACCATGCGGCCATGAGCAGAACTCTCAAAGGCATGTCACCCAAGCAAGACTAGCCCATCTATTCTATCTACCCTGACCCTTGACTCCTGGGTCCTAATGCCTGCCAGACAAAACTTCCTCTCACCTCTCTTCTCTGAGGCTAGTCCCTCTTCTAAAAATCACTCCCTGTCTCTGGTGATTTTCTATTTTCTCCTGTAAGAATGATTTCTAGTATAAACTCCAGGATTCTGTTATCTTCTTTAGGCACCTGGGCTCACTAATCAGAAGGACACAATTTTTGCCCAAAGCCCTGTTGTAGGGGAGACTACCTGGAATTTTAGGATCCCTCCTCAGACAAGCAGGCCTAACAAAAGCTATTCCTGAAGGTAGGATATGGGTAGCCTCAGAAATTGTATCCTTCCTATTCATGTAAGTGAGGACAAAGGGCATCACTCTTCCAACTCTGGAGATCCCTTCCCTCCCTCAGGGTATGGCCCTCCACTTCATTTTTGGGGCATAACATCTTTATAGGACACGGGTAAAGTCCCAATACTAACAGGTGAATGCCTAGGACTCTAACAGGTTTTTGAGAATGCGTTGGTAAGGGCCACTAAACCCGATTTTTCTTGGTCCTCTTTGTGGTCTAGGAGGACAGGCAAGAGTGCAGGTTTTCAAGAATGCATCAGTAAGGGCCACTAAATCTGACCTTCCTTGGTTCTCTTTGTGGTCTAAGGTGAAAACTAGTGTTTCTGCTGCTGCGTCAGTGAGTGCAACTATTCCGATCAGCAGGGTCCAGGGACCATTGCAGGTTCTTGGGTAGGGGTTGTTTCTGCTGCTGTGTTGGTGAGTGCAACTATTCTATCAGCAGGGTCCAGGGACTGTTGTGGGTTCTTGGGCAAGGGTAGAAACAAACAAACCAAAACTGGGGGCATTTTTGTCTTTCAGATGGGAAACACTCAGGCATCAAGAGGCTCACCCTTGAAATGCATCCAAAGCTATTGGGACCAATTTGACCCACAAACCCTGAGAAAGAGGCGGCTCATTTTTTTCTGCACTATGGCTTGGCCCCAATATTCTCTCTCTGATGGGGAAAAATGGCCACCTAAGGGAAGTACAAGTTACAACACTATCCTGCAGCTTGACCTTTTCTGTAAGAGGGAAGGCAAATAGAGTGAAATGCCTTATGTCCAAGCTTTCTTTTCATTGAGGGAGAATACACAACTATGCAAAGCTTGCAATTTACATCCCACAGGAGGACCTCTCAGCTTATCCCCATATCCTAGCATCCCTATAGCTCCCCTTCCTATTAATGATAATCCTCCTCTAATCTCCCCTGCCCAGAAGGAAATAAGCAAAGAAATCTCCAAAGGACCACTAACCCCCCAGGCTATCGGTTATGTCCTCTTCAAGCTATAGGGGGAGGGGAATTTGGCCCAACCCAGGTACATGTCCCCTTCTCCCTCTCTGATTTAAAGCAGATCAAGGCAGACCTGGGGAAGTTTTCAGATGATCCTGATAGGTACATAGATATCCTACATGGTCTAGGGCAAACCTTCAACCTCGCTTGGAGAGATGTCATGCTACTGTTAGATCAAACCCTGGCCTCTAATGAAAAGAATGCAGCTTTAGCTGCAGCTTGAGAGTTTGGAGATACCTGGTATCTTAGTAAAGTAAATGATAGAATGACAGCTGAAGAAAAGAATAAATTCTCTACTGGTCAACAAGCCATCCCCAGTATGGATCCCCACTAAGACCTCGACTCAGATCACAGGGACCGGAGTCATAAACATCTGTTGACCTGTGTTCTAGAAGGACTAAGGAGAATTAGGAAAAAGCCCATGAATTACTCAATGATGTCTACCATAACTCAGGGAAAGGAAGAAAGTCCTTCTGCTTTCCTCGAGCAGCTATGGGAGGCCTTAAGAAAATATACTCCCCTGTCACCCAACTCACTCAAGGGTCAATTGATTCTAAAAGATAAGTTTATTACCCAATCAGCTGCAGATATCAGGAGAAAGCTCCAAAAGCAAGCCCTGGGCCCTGAACAAAATTTGGAGGCATTATTAAACCTGTCAACCTCGGTGTTCTAAAATAGGAACCAAGAGGAACAGGCCCAAAAGGAAAAGCGAGATCAGAGAAAGGCCGCAGCCTTAGTCATGGCCCTCAGACAAAGAAACCTTGGTGGTTCAGAGAGGACAGAAAATGGAGCAGGCTAATCACCCAGTAGGGCTTGTTATCAGTGTGGTTTACAAGGACACTTTAAAAAAGATTGTCCAATGAGAAACAAGCTGCCCCATCGTCCATGTCCACTATGCCGAGGCAATCACTGGAAGGTGCACTGCTCCAGAGAACGAAGATTCTCTGGATCAGAAGCCCCCAGCCAGACGATCCAACAACAGGAATGAGGGTGCCCAGGGCAAGCGCCAGCTCATGTCATCACCCTCACTGAGCCCTGGCTATGTTTAACCACTTAGGGTCAGGAAATTGACTTCCTCCTGGACACTGGCGCGGCCTTCTCAGTGTTAATCTCCTGTCCTGGTCGACTGTCCTCAAGGTCCATTACCATCCAAGGAATCCTGGGACAGCCTGTAACCAGGTATTTCTCCCACCTCCTCAGTTGTAATTGGGAGACTTTGCTCTTTTCACATGCCTTTCTTGTTATGCCTGAAAGTCCCACACCCTTATTAGGTAGAGATATATTAGGTGGAGCTATTATCTACATGAATATAGGGGACAAGTTACCCATTTGTTGTCCCCTACTTGAAGAGGGAATCAACCCTGAAGTCTGTGCATTGGAAGGGCAAAAAATGCCCACCCAGTCCAAATCAGGCTAAAAGACCCCACCTCTTTTCCTTATCAAAGGCAATATCCCTTAAGGCCTGAAGCTCATAAAGGTTTACAGGATATTGTTAAACATTTAAAAGCTCAAGGCTTAGTAAGGAAATGCAGCAGTCCCTGCAACACCCCAATTCTAGAAGTACAAAAACCGACGGTCAGTGGAGACTAGTGCAAGATCTTAGACTCACCAATGAGGCAGTAACTCCTCTATATCCAGTTGTACCCAACCCCTATTCCCTGCTCTCTCAAATACCAGAGGAAGCAGAATGATTCACTGTTCTGGACCTCAAGGATGCCTTCTTCTGTATTCCCCTGCACTCTGACTCCCAGTTTCTCTTTGCCTTTGAGGATCCCACAGACCACACGTCCCAACTTATGTGCACAGTCTTGCCCCAAGGGTTTAGGGATAGCCCTCACCTGTTTGGTCAGGCACTGGCCCAAGATCTAGGCCACTTCTCAAGTCCAGGCACTCTGGTCCTTCAGTATGTGGATGATTTGCTCTTGGCTACCAGTTCGGAAGCCTCATGCCAGCAGGGTACTCTAGAACTCTTGAACTTTCTAGCCGATCAAGGGTACAAGGTGTGTAGGTCGAAAGCCCAGCTTTGCCTGCAGCAGGTGAAATATCTAGGCCTAATCTTAGCCAGAGGGACCAGGGCCCTCAGCAAGGAATGAATACAGCCTATACTGGCTTATCCTTGCCCTAAGACATTAAAACAGTTGCAGGTGTTCCTTGGAATCAACAGCTTTTGCCGACTATGGATCCCCGGATACAGCGAGATAGCCAGGCCCCTCTATACTCTAATCAAGGAGACCCAGAGAGCAAATACTCATCTAGTAGAATGGGAACCAGAGGCAGAAACAGCCTTCAAAACCTTAAAGCAGGCCCTAGTTCAAACTTCAGCTTTGCTTTAAGCCTTCTGACAGGACAAAACTTTTCTTTCTACATCACAGAGACAGCAGGGATAGCTCTTGGAGTCCATACTCAGACTCGTGTGACAACCCCACAACCAGTGGCATACCTAAGTAAGGAAATTGATGTAGTAGCAAAAGGCTGGCCTCACTGTTTTACGGGTAGTTGTGGCGGTGGCCATCTTAGTGTCAGAGGCTATCAAAATAATACAAGGAAAGGATCTCACTGTCTGGACTACTCATAATGTCAATGGCATACTAGGTGCCAAAGGAAGTTTATGGCTATCAGACAACTGCCTACTTAGATACCAGGTGCTACTCCTTGAGGGACCGGTGCTTCAAATATGTATATGCGTGGCCCTCAACCCTGCCACTTTTCTCCCAGACGATGGGGAGCCAATCAAGCCTGACTGCCAACAAATTATAGTCCAGACTTATGCCCCCTGAGATGATCTCTTCAAAGTCCCCTTAGCTAATCCTGACCTTAACCTATATACCGATGGAAGCTCATTTGTGGAGAATAGGATACGAAGGGTAGGTTATGCCATAGTTAGTGATGTAACCATACTTGAAAATAAGCCCTTTTCCCCAGGGACCAGCGCCCAGTTAGCAGAACTAGTGGCACTTACCTGAGCCTTAGAACTGGGAAAGGGAAAAAGAATAAATGTGTATACAGATAGCAAGTATGCTTATCTAATCCTACATGCCCATGCTGCAATATGGAAAGAAAGGGGGTTCCTAACTGCTGGGAACCCCCATTAAATACCACAAGGAAATTATGGAGTTATTGCACAGTGCAAAAACCCAAGGTGGTGGCAGTCTTCCACTGCTGAAGCCATCAAAAAGAGGAAGGAGAGGGGAGAACAGCAGCATAAGCAGCTGGCAGAGGCAGGGAAAGACCAGTAGAAAGAAAGAGAGAGACAAAGTCAAAGAAGGAAAGAGAGAAAGAGACAGAAAGTCAAAGAGAGAGAGAGAGAGGAAGAGACAGAGAGAGGAAGAAGCAGAGACAAAGAGAAGGAGACAGAGGAAGAGACAGAGCGACAGAAAGTCAAAGAAGGAAAGAGAGGAAGAGACAAAGAGGGAGTCAGAGAGAAAGAAGGAAAGAGAGACAAAGAAGTCAAAGAGAAAGAAAGAGAGAGAGAAATAGTAAAGAAAAAACAGTGTACCCTATTCCTTTAAAAGCCAGGGTAAATTTAAAACCTATAATTGATAATTGACGGTCTTCTCCATGACCCTGTAACACTACAATACCACCTTGTTGTCAGTGTAAACAAGGGCATAGCCCGAAAGCACTGAGGCCAATGACAACCCATAGCCTTCCTATCAAAAGTCCTTAACCCAGGAAGTTTCCTAACAGGGGATCTAAATCTTAATTAATTACCATAGGAAGTTCCGACCAGACATAGGAGGAACTCCTTTCAGGACAGGACAATAGATGGTTCCTTTTGGGCGATTAGGAAAAAAGACACAATGGGTATTCAGTAAGTGATAAGGAAACTCTTATAGAAGCAGATTTAGGAAAACTGTCCAATAATTGGTCTGCTCAAACGTGTGAGCTGTTTGCACTGAGCCAAATCTTAAAGTACTTACAGAATCAGGAAGGAGACATTTATACCAATTCTAAGTTAATATGGACTGAATGAGGTTTTATTAATAGCAAAGAAAAATTAAAATCCCAAACTTACAAGGTTTTCAACTAAAGTAAAGTTTGCTAAAAGTTAACGGTGTAACATGCATTATCCTACTACCACACACTCTCAAAGGATTTCTCAGACAGTTTGCAAGAAATAACGAAATCTATCCTTACTCTACAATCCCAAATAGACACCTTAGCAGCAGTGACTCTCCATAACCGCTGAGGTCTAGACCTCCCCCCTGCTGAGAAAGGAGGACTTTGTACCTTCTTAGGGGAAGAGTGTTGTTTTTACACTAACCAGTCACGGATAGTATGAGATGCCACCCAGCATTTATAGGAAAAGGCTTCCGAAGTCAGACAATGCCTTTCAAACTCTTTTTTTTTTTTTTTTTTTTTGAGATGGAGTCTCACTCTGTCGCCCACGCTGGAGTGCAGTGGCGTGATCTCGACTCACTGCAAGCTCTGACTCCTGGGTTCACACCATTCTCCTGCCTCAGCCACCCGAGTAGCTGGGACTACAGGCGCCCACCACCAAAATTAGCCTGGCTAATTTTTTGGTATTTTTAGTAGAGATGGGGTTTCACCACGTTAGCCAGAATGGTCTCAATCTCCTGACCTCCTTTCAAACTCTTATACCAACCTCTGGAGTTGGGCAACATGGCTTCTCCCCTTTCTAGGTCCCGTGGCAGCCATCTTGCTGTTACTCGCCTTTGGACCCTCTATTTTTAACCTTCTTGTCAAATTTGTTTCCGCTAGAATCGAGGCCATCAAGCTACATACAGAAGGTCTTACAAATGGAACCCCAAATGAGCCCAACTAACAACTTCTATTGAGGACCTCAGGATTGACCCACTGGCCCTTCCACTGGCCTAGAGAGCTCTCCTCTGGAGGACACTACAACTGCAGGGCCCCTTCTTCACCCCTATCCAGAAGGAAGTAGCTAGAGTGGTCATCGGCCAAATTCCCAACAGCAGTTGGGGTGTCCTGTTTAGAGGCAGGATTGAGAGGTGACAACATGCTAGCAGCACTTGCTCGCTCTCGGCGCCTCCTTGGCCTCGGCATCCACTCTGGCCACACTTGAGGAGCCCGTCAGCCTGCTGCTGCACTGTGGGAGCCCCTCTCTGGGTTGGCCGAGGCCGGAGCCAGCTCCCTCTGCTTGTGGGGAGGTGTGGAGGGAGAGGCGTGGGTGGGAACCGGGGCTGCATGAGGTGCTCGTGCACAAGTGCGAGTTCCAGGTGGGCGCAGGCTCGGTGGGATCTGCACTCAGAGTGGCCAGCCTGTACCACCGGCCCCGGGCAGTGAGGGGCTTAGCACCTGGGCCAGCATCTGCAGAGGGTGCACCAGGTAACCCAGCACTGCCGGCCTGCCCATGCCACGCTCAAATTCTCACCGGGCCTCAGCCGCCTTCCCATGGGGCAGGGCTCGGGACCTGCAGCCCGCCATGCCCAAGCCCCGCCCCCCAGGGTGCTCCCATGCAGCCTGAACCTCCCCGACGGGTGCCACCCCCTGCTCCGCGGCGCCCACTCCCATCGACCGCCCAAGGGCTGAGGAGTGCAGTGTGGGACTGATGGGCAGCTCCACCCGCAGCCCTGGCACGGGATCCACTAGGTGAAGCCAGCTGGGCTCCTGAGTTGGGTGGAGACTTTGAGAACTTTTATGTCTAGCTAAAGGATTGTGAATGCACCAATCAGCACTCTGTGTCTAGCTAAAGGTTTGTAAACGCACCAATGAGCACTCTGTGTCTAGCTAATCTGGTGGGGACTTGGAGAACTTTTATGCCTAGCTAGAGGATTGTAAATGCACCAGTCAGCACTCTGTGTCTAGCTCAAGGATTGTAAATGCACCAATCAGCACTCTGTCAAAACAGACCAATCAGCTCTCTGTAAAATGGACCAATCAGCTCTCTGTAGAATGGACCAATCAGCAGGATGTGGGGGGGGGCACATAAGGGAATAAGAGCAGGCTGCCTGAGCCTGCAGTGGCAACCTGCTCAGGTCCCCTTCCACACTGTGGAAGCTTTGTTCTTTTGCTCTTCACAATAAATTTTGCTGCTGCTCATTCTTTGGGTCTGTGCCGCCTTTATGAGCTGTAATACTCACTGCAAAGGTCTGCAGCTTCACTCCTGAAGCCAGCGAGACCACGAACCCACCAGAAGGAAGAAACTCCAGACACATCTGAACATCTGAAGGAACAAAGTCTGGATACACCATCTTTAAGAACTGTAACACTCACCGCAAGGGTCCGCGGCTTCATTCTTGAAGTCAGCGAGACCAAGAACCCACCAGAGGGAAGAAACTCCAGACACATCTGAACATCTGAAGGAACAAACTCCGGCTACAACATCTTTAAGAACTGTAACACTCACTGCAAGGGTCCGCGGCTTCATTCTTGAAGTCAGCGAGACCAAGAACCCAAAAATTCCGGACACAACAGCACTTGACAACATCCTTGCTGTTTTAGATGAGCTTTGTGATCTGTTATGTTGGAACTATCTCTAGACCTGTTTATATGAGAGGGCAGCAGAGCTTAAAGGTGATGTGAGGTATTGAAAACTTATTGGTGTACTGCAAAACCACTGCAAGGTTGCAAGGTTCTGGATAACATTCTACTATTATTTTGTTTTTTTTTGTTGTTGTTATTTGTTTTGAGATGGAGTCTCGCACTGTCGCCCAGGCTGGAGTGCAATGGCGTGATCTCAGCTCACTGCAACCTCTGCCTCCCAAGTTCATGCAATTTTCTTGCCTCAGCCTCCCGAGTAGCTGGGATTACAGGCACACACCACCACACCTCGCTAATTTTTTTGTATTTTTAGTAGAGACGGAGTTTTACTATGTTGTCTAGACTAGTTTTGAACTCCTGATCTCATCAGTCACCTGCCTTGGCCTCCCAAAGTTCTGAGATTACAGACCTGAGCCACTGCGCCTGGCCAATATTCTACTTTTGTAATAAGTATTTATAGATACTATTTCCCTGGTATTTTTTAAAGTTTCATAATAAAAAGACAAAAGAATTTCTGTGACACATTTTGAGTATCATTTTGTGTCTTCAGTTAATACTGAATAAAAATTAAAAAACTAATATTTATCATTTTGTGGAGCATTATGGGTATTGCCAATTAAGGCTTAAAAGTCTGGAGTATAGCAAATTTACATTAACCTTATAAGCGATGTTAATGAGACATATACATATTTTTCTCCCAAAAGATTAAGTTTCTTTGGAAGAAAACATGTGCAGTAAGTTTTATATAGTATAACTTAATTCATGAGGACTTTATTTTATTTGTAGATGTACAAAATGATAAACTTATCTGCATTATTAATATGTCCATTAAAAAATTAGCACAATTCCTACCCTAATTTCTGATAGATGACAGAACTGAGATATTCCAAAAACTAGAAGTGAATGAGATTAATTAAGCTATATTCAATGCCAGATAGAAGCAACACTTTTTTTTACATGGTTTAAAACAATTTTTCCAATACAGACTGTATGCAGAAATTCAAATAAGAACAAGATTACGTTCTTGGCTACGTGGAGTTATCAGTACCACCTCAAAAAAAAAGGTCTTTCTAGGGGCCTTATGAAGGCATTCATTATCTTGGTAAATGTATCAAAAGTATGCCTGAGCCATGCAACTTCTGAAACCCAATGTGTCAGCAGATCTCAGCAAAAGACTCAAGTTAATCATGAATGAAGGCAAACACATGGAAATGAAACTGCTTCCACCCTCATAAGCAACCTTTTTCATCCTTGTAGGAAGACCAACATGGGAAGAAAGTAACCAGCATATCTGTGAGTTAACACAGAAACAAATGCCAACGAGATCAAAACGCGTGATGCCTATGTGAATACTCTCCCTCCCCACTACTTTTATTGTCTGTTTACACTTAAATTTATCTAAAGAAAAGACATGCCTATCTGCTTACACTCAGGTATGCCATCTCACAGGTTTGGGGACCACCACCACTCTTTCAAAGTGCTTTGCACCTTCCTGCTAGGATTCACGGGGTATTAATTTTACAACTTAAATCTCAGAAGCTAATTCTAATTCCTTGGTGGAAACCACAAGAAAAATACACAATTGATGTTACCTAATTAATTAGCAGTAATTTTGTGCTTAACTGTTTACAGACTAAAAAGGTGATATTCTTCATCCTCCCAGCAACTTCTGAATGCTGGTAGCATTATTATATTCATTCTCTTTTTGGACAAGGAAATAGTCAGTCTCTTTCCACTGACTCTACTCAGTGATATCTGAGTGTAACCAGACAGACATGTCTTTTCTTTAGATAAATTTAATTGTAAGAGAAAAAATCAAGGTTAGGGGAGGGGAGGAGGATGATTATTCACACAGACCTGTAGTGCTTTGATCTCTCTGGTATTTGTTTCTATTTGTTAACTCAAAAACAGGCTGGTTATTTTTTCCCACGTTGATCTTACTACAAGGATGTCAGCGTTCATGTACTGAGTATGTATTTGAGGAGACCTTTCATAAGTCTCCTCAATTCATCTATGTTTGGCAATCAGTCAGGCAACATATGAAGGTGACATGGCACTACCATTTTAATTCCAAGAGAAGGAATAAAATTATTATATATCTTATATAAAATGACAAATAAAAATATGACAATGTGGTGATTACAAATGAAATTATTTATTTACATTCCTAAACATACATTGAGATAGCCAGAACTGCTTTTGTAGTTTGTATTTATACAGATCTATACACATTTGCCAGATATAGAAAATACAAAGATGGGAAACTAGTTAAACATTTTTTCTGAAATTCAGATTTAACTAATGAACTGTTTTTAATCTGTAAACCAGATCTATGTAAAAAATGTATCAGAAAACTATTTTTTGATAAACTGCAAAAACTATGTAGTTTTTGATATTATCTTTAGTAATACAGAATGTAGGAATATGACCTTTGGTAAGAAAAAGTGAGGAAAAAGAACATTACAAAGTCTCTCACAAGCTATAAGAACCACCAAAACACATGCTGTCAAATTATCTAATTCATATCTTCTACCATCAGGTTTCAAGTTAAAATGAATGCAGATGAATTGCTGCTTTTTTACAGTTATATAAGGCTTATCTCATTTTTTTTTTGACAGGGTCTGCACATAACAAAGATCTTAATGGAAGTTGATTATACCGGATGTCTAAAGGTGGGTCAGCCTAGCTTTTTAAGCTCTTAAAATGTCTTTGATTTTTGTCAAGGTTACCAAATTAACAGAACTCTAGGACCTTTTGTCCTTACTTAAAAGTTAAAACTTAGAGGCTCGCACTACATACATTTTGATTTTTTTTTTTTTTTTAGATTTCCCACATTAGGTTTGGAGATAAACTCACGAATTTATAAGAAGGGCTCTGGAGATAAGCAAGGCAAGGCTTGAAGCTGAGGTCCCTTGTAGTCATGAGTGCTAAGGGAGTATGGCCTCTGATTTCAGAAATGGAGAGAAAGTTTATTTTCATCTATGATTTATTAATTTCTTTAGCAAATATTAATTATTAATTAAGCATCCTGACAGAGCAGGAGCATCGCCATCTTGGACAAGAACCACCATTTTAAAGTTCCCCTTGATCAAAAAACTGCCTAATCCAATCAAAAGGGCATCAGCCTAATGGCTAATGTCAGCATGACCATGAACCACAAATGACATCTCCGACCAGAAACACTCCAATTCTAAGATAAACCCTTCCCCAACCAGAGACATGCCAGCCCCAAGATAACCTCCCCTCTGACCAGGGAGAGGTCAGCCCCAAGATTACCTCCCCTCTGACCACAGACATTCTAACCCCACAATAAACTCCTCCACTCAGAAACATTGCAAGACTGTGATATGCTCTCTCCCTAAACCCTTAAATACTCTTAGTCTTTAAGAGAGTGTGCTCCTGACTGAAATTGGCCAGAAGCCCCTCTCAGATTTATTCTCCAAAATAAACCTGTCTTTTACTGTTGAGTCATTTTTCATGTTTTTCCTCTTTAACTGTTACACATCCTACTATTGTATATTCTAGTCTTTGGGGAAATAGCAGTGACAAAAACAAGCACCTATGTTTGCCTTTATGGAACTTATAGTCTACATGGGGACACAGGACATACATTTGCAGTTTTAACTTGAATAAAAATTGCTTGGGGAGAAAAAAATTCTCTATGATTCTTTTTCTGCTATGCATCTATCTATCCATCAATTTATCTACCTAGCAAATCTGTCTTACTCTGTCCATTAGTTGAGCATTCTTACTGTATCTTTTTAGGTCCACTTTGACTAGGGACAGATAGGCAGGAGACAGATTCCTCTACACACTCTTTGTTTAAAGTTCTGAATCTTCTGTAAATGACAATGGATCAAATAGTTCAATAAATATTTATCTTCCCAACCCATGCCATTCTGCTACTGACACTCAGTGTTAAGGGAAGAAATGTTATCTTTTTTCAAATGTTAGTAGGTTCATGCTCTTAGAATTCAAAATTCCCAGTGATCAAAGGGTTTTTCAATTTAAATAAATAGAATACTTATTGCATTTAATATAAGACTCCCCTGACATGGGTGCTAGATAGGTTCTGATGCTAATTTTTTTTTGTTTAATTTGTTTGTTTTAGAGACAGGGTCTTACTCTGTGGCCCTGGCTGAAGTGCAGTGATGCAATCACAGCTCACTGTAACCTCAAAATTCTAAGCTCAAGCCATCCTCCCACAGCCTCCAGAGTAACTAGGACTACAAGTGTGCCACCAGAATGGACTAACTTTTTAATTTTTTGTTGAGACAGACTCTTGCTATTTTACCCAAGCTAGACTCCAACTTCTGGCCTCAAAAAATCCTCCTGCCTTTGGCTCCCCACAGAGGGCTGAAAATACAGGCATGAGCTACCATGCCCAGTCCTAATTTTACTAAATCTATCAAGGTCTGCTTTATTGAAATTTTTTTCTCAGAAAAATCAAATAACATGTTTAAAATAATTAATACCACACCTTAAATTACTTACAAACTCTCTCAAGTGGGAATAACATAACAGATGATGGGATTGTAACATTTGGAAATAATTATTGCAAAGAAGTATAGTTTGTTTCTCTGAGCTTCACTATTTCTGACATACATCATTAGTGTGCAGTGGTAAAATGTTCTATTTGTAGAATCTCTCAACAACTTTAATTAATTAAAGGAACCGAAGAAATAAATTCTCCTAATGACTGAAAATTACTTTTAGACATTTAGTTTTGAAGAAGTAAAAGGTTTCTATTCTCAATAAATAAATAAATAAATTTCTATTTCCAGGGATGAGCAAATGGGTGAATATGTACATTGGTTCAACCTATAATAATTTTCTGACTATGACCCAGGTACTTCCCTTCTTCAAAGAGTTAATTGGTAGTAAAGATAGATATAAACTCACAGTCAAATCATGTGAAAATTGCAATGGTATTGATTGAGGGTACTATAGTAGTAATGAAGAATGATTCCAAAGGTAGAAACCAACAATTGTTATGGGCTTCTGTATCCAAGTGACTGTGTAAGCATTTTGTATGCATTCTCTTTAATACCCACAACCACTCTGTGAGATTATTATTATTATTCTACTTTTACTATGAGAGAAACTGAGTCATGGAGTGTTTTTTTATATTTTTTAAGTAATTTGTTCAAGGCCACACAGTAAATGGCGTAGCCTGACGTGGCAGGTGGGAGGGTTTCAGGGAACATGGGCTGAAGATGTTATTCTCTTTGAGCCTGAGTGATTGGTTAGAAGAAAAAACACAGAAAGAAGGGAACCGTTATAGAGACACATTTCAGATAGTGAAAACATTATTTAATAAAACACAGGGGTGATAAATATATGCCATGTGAAGCAAAATTTGGCATCTTGGTTTTATCATGACAAAACCTGCCATATGGACTATAGAGAAAGATGAACTAGAGAACTCATCAAGGGCCTCTTCAGGGAGGGTGGACTTTGACATGTTGTGCATAAGAAAAAGTTATAGAGAGGGAAGACTGCCAGTTTTGATTGTTATAAATATTATTTTGGTAATGGATTTGATTAGACAAAAGTGGAACAGAACAACAAGCCACAAGGACCTTTCAGGAATTTAAGCAAGTGAATTAAAGCCTCAGTTGAATGGAATGAGAAGGAAAAATGACTACAAAGTACTTTGGAGGTAAATTTGGCAAGATTTGTTCATTGACTGGATGTGGGATGTGAGGAAGAAAGAGGAATCATAAGAGCAATTCATAGGTGTCTAGTTTCAATGGATGATGATGTCATCAAGCGAGGAAGTGAACTTTTCAAATTTAAAATTAGAACATGTGGACACATTGAGTTTGAAGTATCAGTGTGCCTTCTAGCTCCAGATGTCCAGTAGTTTGTTGAATGTTCAGGTCAGAAGCATGAGAAGAGTTTAGTTGTACAGAATGAAAAAACTGATCACCCAGGTATAGTGTGCACAATTATGAGTTGTGAGTAATGAGTGGAACCCTGAGGATCATCAATATTTAAGAAAAATATAGCAGAAGAGAAGCCCAAGGAAAAGCCCATAGAGGAAACGATGAGAAAAGCATGCCCCAGATAAGAAGAATGCAAGCAATGCCAAATGAAGCAGAGAGGGTCCAATATTAAATTATTACATTAAATAAATTAAGTTTGTTTAATAATATTAATTAATGTGAACAAATACACTTATAAATTACTTAAATTATCAAATTAATTATTAAATCCTCATATAAAGAGTTCATTGGGTTCTGTAATTGAGTCATTCTTTGAAATGCTAGTTGTACAACTTCAGAATTAACTTTATAAATTCACAGGGACACCAGAGATAGGCCTCTGAAGATAGTGCCTCTGCTCTTTGTAAAGGTATAAAAGGAGGTTCTTACCAATGTGTTGCACATATTCGTAAGCAGTAGGGTTGAAGGAAAGAAATGATTATTTTTAAGTTGTTTTATAATCTATTAATTATAAGCCTAAATTTTATACTCAAAGTTGTTGGAGATATTACTAACTCTCATCTAGTTCAATTCTATAATTTTATAGCCGGAATAATAATGGTCAAAATTTATTGAGTGCTTACTTTGTACCAAGCCAAGATCAAATAGCTTTACATGTAGAAACTCAATTTCCCATGAGTACATGACAAGTAAGATATATAACTTGTTCATGAGCACACAGCTAGTAAAGGGAAAGCCAAGATATAAAGCTAGGGTGATGCCCAATAACATATTTAACCACCACCACTCACTGACAATGAGAAAAGGGAGTCCTGTAAATTGTGTCATTGGTTATTTGATTGGAACCATCATCCAGGGCCTCTTCTTCAACCAATGTGCCCCCATTTTATGCCCCTTTTGACTCACTAATGAAAAAAAGGGGGTTAACCCCGTTTGCAGACATTGAAAATGAATAGAATACACTGATATTATTCATCATGCACTGCCTTGGAAAAAGCTTATTATCCTGGGTTCGATTTTTAGGCTAAGTACAGACCCAGAATCCATAAGCTTTTTCAAACCTTGGAAAGTAAGAGGCCCAGCATTAATGTGAAATACTGTGGCATTTGTTGTTGTTGTTTTGTTTTGTTTTTGTTTTGCTATGTACATTGGCCTTCAGCTCCCTTGTAGGACTTCCCTGATCCTAAAATGAAAAGTGGATTAAAGAATTTGAAAATAATATTTTCTATACCTGCCACTAATGATGACTTGTAATTTCTCTCAGGAAAAAGGACCTTCATAGTACTCAATAATAATAAGACACATTCTTGATCTACACTGGTAAGGACTTGAGTTTACCATACAATACTTACTATTGTATAGGATAAATTGAGTTTTCACTAAAACTAACAAAATAGATTACCTTTCTGAATTCTGAAATTGGCAAAAACCAATTTTAGATATATTGAGTGGCGAACTTTTCTAAAAGTTGAAACGTTTATCATCATTCATTCATTTGCTGTACCCTTTTTCACACAATTCTTAATCATCAGGTGTTAACATATTAAACTAAGGAGGTATGTTGTTTCCTTTACACTTTTCAATTACAGGGAGAGATAGAGGAAGCAAATTAGGGAGCAAGCTGAAGAAGCTGAATGCAAACTTCTGTGCAGGACTTGAAAGCAATTGCTTCTGGCCTTCAAACCTGGACTTGCAATATTTCACACATTAGACTTCCTATCTTCTGGGTGAAAGTCTGATATAATGAAAACATAATTGAAAGTAGCCATTTCTATTCTCTTTCAACTTCTACATACTAATAATACCTTACATTTTCTAACAAGAGCAGTACAATCACAAACAGTTGTGGTGTAGGTTATTCAGTCAAGTGCAACATCGACTGCACAGAAGTAGTCTTCCTCTCCCATTATTTCCCTCTTTTCTCATCCTACATAGACGGTACCCCATGATTTCCCTATGTGTGTTGATTCAAGTTTAGAAGTCAATCATCAGTTCTGTGGTCACTACTAAATTGCCTTCATACAACTCAGCAATAAAACCGTTCATTTAGGAGGAATAAGTTATCTGTACCCTAGAAATTAGAAGAGTTTACAGCATCTCTTTTAACATTTTTTATGTAAATACAGAATTATGGGACACTTCTGAAATGTGTCATGCCACTGTAGATGAAAATATACTTTCCTAGGTACATATGACTAAAATCAAGGTAATAATTATTAAGTGAATCTTATTTAATGGTACTGCAGGTCAGCTGTGATGATAAAGCATTCTCATAAGAAGAAAGTATACACATAAGAATGTATACATCATTTATGATCGTACAGCTTTCAGTATCTCCATTGGAACTTATTGCCTGCTACTTAGGAGCTGCAGATATTTAAATGTAGATGTGGATCTTGGAATTATATATCCCTGAATCTTTGCTGCTCAATGTGACTTCTTTTGAGTCATAGATCATTTTTGCAATAAGAAATCCATGTGGTTTTATTAGATAACCATGTCACCTATGGTCTTAAGTAAGTCAGCAGGGCAGTCATGCCATTAGGCCCTCTTCTGGATTTTATAATGATGTGTAAGGGATCTGGAGCAAGGCAAAACACAACACTGTACATTTAGCAAAAACAATATGTTCAGGGACTCCTGTCAGCTTACCATGGGGCTGAGAGTCATATGTCAGGGCATCTTTTGGACTCAGCCTGGGTTCTGTTAGAGTAGAGGTGCCACTACTCATCATGCATGTCTCACCTTTCACAGAGAAGTAGAATGAAGTGCTTTAGTCAGTGGGTAGATGGATAGGCTGATTGGTGCCTGTATTCAATATGGGGTAACCCCAGATGTTTTTTACAGGAGAAAGCTATGTGCCTTATATGTGGGATCCATGGGGCAGTTTGATGGGATGCTAAATTAAGATCACCCCTGGTGGTGGGGAAAGTCCCAGTTTTAAGGGAATCTAAGCTTGAAATTCATACCTCCAGTAGGGGTAATGTTTGGCTAAAACTTAACAAACCAAGTCTGATTCATAGTACTTACTTCTCTGATTCTTTAAAAAAACACTGATGTCATTTTAACTCTTATTTTCGTTTCAGGGGTACATGTGCAGGTTTGTTATATAAGTAAACTCATGTCATAGGGATTTGTTGTACAGATTATTTCATCACCCAGGTACTAAGCCTAGTACCCAATATTTATTTTTTCTTATCCTGTCCCTCCTCCCACCCTTCACCCTCAAGTAGGCCCCGATGTATTCTCATCATTAAGTTCCCACTTATAAGTGTGAAGGTGTGATATTTGGTTTCTATTCCTATGTTAGTCTGCCAAGGATAATGGCCTCCAGCTCCATCTATGTTCCAGCAAAGAATATGATCTCATTCTTTTTTATGGATGCATTGTATTCCATAGTGTATATGTACCCCATTTTCTTTATCCAGTCTGCCATTGATGGACATTTACGTTGATTCCATGTTTTTGCTAATGTGAATAGTGCTGCAGTGAACATTTGTGTGCATGTGTCTTCATGGTAGAATGATTTATATTCCTTTGGGTACATACCCAGTAATGGAATTGCTGAGTCAAATAGTAGTTCTGTGTTTAAGTCTTTGGGAAATTGCCACACTGCTTTCCACAATAGTTGAACTAATTTACACCCCTACCAATAGTGTATAAGTGCTCTCTTTTCTCTGAACCTCACCAGCCTCTGTTTTTTTTTTTTTTTTTTTTTTTTTGACTTTTTAATAGCCATCATTATTTTAGAATTTTTTCCAAAGGTCAAAAACAAGCACACTGAAGTTTGGAACCTAAAATTTGCCTTTTTCTATGTATAGAAATTATTCTTCTGACCGCAGTCTTGGGCAGTTATTTCCCTCATCACAATTACATGACTATTATTATTCATGGTTAAAAGGTAAATTTTGCATTTTCTTTGAGTATGTTGCAATGGTTCAGACAAGGAGCATCCAATCTTTTGGCTTCCCTGGGCCACACTGGAAGAAAAATTGTCTTGGGCCACACATAAAATACACTAACACTAATAATAGCTGATGAGTTAAAAACAAAACAAAACAAAAATTGCAAAAAAAAATCTCATAATGTTTTAAGAAACTCTACGAATTTGTGTTGGGTCATATTCAAAGCCAGCCTGGGCCGCACGCGGCCTGCAGGCCATGGGTTGGACCAACTTGGTTTAGCCCTTCAAGCATGAACTTACGCAAAGCAGTAATGAGTAACCTGCTGTCTTTTCTCTATATTGGGGGACTTATTTTTCCTACCCTTTCTAGTTTGGTGATACCTTTTCTTGAAATATTTTTCTTAATAGTGAAATCATACCTGGTTTCTGTAATCCAGCTTCATATCCAGTTCTTTGCAAGGCCTCAAGGGCTGTAAGTGGCAGAGCTGGAACTTGAATTCAAGACTCTCTGTCTCCAATGCTGAGGCTCTTAACCACTCACTATATTTCTACTTATCTCATGAGTCTATGGTTTTATAATACTCAGTATTGTAAAATAAATAAATAGACAGATAAATGGACAAATAAAAGGAAAATCTTTTTTTCATAGAGACTTTCATTTATTTTCTAAGAAGCAGAGTTTCAACTTGGCAAAACCAGACGAAAACATGGACCCAATCAAAAAAAGAATTGCTTAAATTTTATTTCAAACTCAAAATGTGTCTCCACTAAGTTGGATATGGACTTAATAATTTTGCAGAAGTATTATATGTAAAAGTCGAAGCTGTCAAGTGATAGAGCTAGAGTTTATTCAGGATATAAAATTAAATTTTCTTTCGTCATTGCTCCACTAGCCTCTCAGTTGCTAGCATTAAGCAGTTCTTTACAGAACTACAATATTGCAGTCAGGTTTTTTTGTGTTGTGAGATGGCCACAAGTTTACAAAGCATCATATATATATGAATTCCGTGTGTGTGTGTGTGTGTGTGTGTGTGTGTGTGTATATATCTATATATATATACATATATTCTCCATATAGTCTTCCCAATCTACGTTTTGAGAGGCCAGGCAGAAAAAAGATGAGAAAATAAAGGATGTGTATTTAATTAGTCTCTAATCCAATGCTGGACATTTGCCCAGTAACTTCCCATGCCTCCTCTACCCTTAATCCAGCCTCTCTCTCTTCTAGAATGACCCTTATCTTCTGGAGACATTCGCACCAGCATGGCCCTGTGAAATCTCAAATGTGCCTTGGTTTGGGTAAAGGAAAGCAGCCTTGCTAGGCTGCCTAACACTTTTTCCAGGATAAAGACAGAATCAGATGTCCCACAAGGGGCCAGCCCAAAATCCATTTAAGTACCTCAATAAATTCTACGGCACATCAGTCTGTGAAGCTATATAAAACATATTTAACTCTGTTTTATGACCTATTTTACTACTTTTGAGAGCCTTTCCAAACTTTAGAATCACTGTTTTCTCCAGGAGGAAGGCGCTGATTGGCCCCCTGCAGTCCTGGAAGGCCATTATGGAGACTGGAATTGGTGTGCTAAAGTCATTATGATTCTCATGAATCCTCTATTTCAATACTTGGGTATACACATAGTGAAATGATGGTTTCTGTTATTGTTGTGATCCTAAGGAAAAATGGGTAATAAATTAGATTCAATTATCTAGAATGTCTATATAATTGTGGTACATTTTATTAAATTAATGATAGTTATCAGAATTGTTTCAGTTTCTCAGAATAAAACATCTGAGAAAACTACAAAGAAAGGAACCTTGGATACCTAACTGTGAAAACTGTACATTTTAAATTAAACTAGCATTTATCAAAGCATATAAAATTGACCCACTGTGTGACTTAGGACTTCATCTTTATCAGTTGCTGTTTACTCATTTATAAATATTACAAATGTACCATGTCACCTACAAATCCCTCATCTCAAAGATCCTATTATTCTAATATGAATTTATTCCTCAGTTGACATAAAACATTTAATTCTTATTAGGGGAGAATTTTGTTAAAACACATTTCATAAACATGGATGAATTTGATGTTCAAAACTTGTCAGCTTAAGAAAAATCTTGAATGCTGAGAGATTGATATTTTTATTTTATTGAGTAAGTGTTATAATTCAGGATAAAAGAGAAAATGTTTGTGAAGTTTTCTTTTTTCCATTGTGTAGATGCAATGATTTTTTTTAAATTAAGAGCAGATGGATATTTAGACATCAAAAAGAGCTGCTTGAAATACTGAACATTGCATTATTAAAGCTCACATGCTGAGGTTTGCTGACAAGAGGAATAGTCATAAAACATAACCTTTTATTTCATCAAAGAAAGTTATGCCTGCCCAAGATCTGAAGCCCAACATGCATAAAATGGTTTCACACTGGTGACATTCTATTCAAAACAGCTGTCTGAAAGAAAAATAAATGGGATTTAATCTGCCATGAAATGAATTGCACAATTTATTTTTCTTGAGGAAGTCATGCCTTTGTGACGTTGGTGAGCTGTAACAGTTTTGCTTCTAAAAGCAGTGTCTCCTTCTATGCCAAACCCATATTAATTCAGCCATGTGGAATTTTCCTACACAAAAAGCAGTTGGAAAGTCAGAGCAGCTTATCCAACACCTGATGCTTTTCTCTACCTTTAAAAGTATTAGTTTAAAACATGAGCCCAGGATAGACTTTCCATCCAGAGGTAGGTAGATTTTAAGATGCTTGGTCGTAAACATTGAAATATATGAAAACTGTCAAAGTCAACCATTAATGTCCTACAAAAAATGGAATTTCATATACTACAAACTAATGTTTGAGAAGAGAGCAAAACTGCAAAAAAGTGAAATGTGAGTTAGAAAAATGACAACTAAATGAGATTAATCATCTCTTCAAAATGAAATGCTTAAAAAATGTAAAAGCTACTCATAGGACAAATGTAAACATTTAGAAGCCCCAAATTAACTAAGTCAGAAAACTTTTCAATATAGACATTTTAAAGACAATCGAGTAATAGTATGTTTTGCTTATTTCATTCATTTAGTACTCATCATACCTTTTACAATAAAAGAAAAGAAAGCAAGCATAAGATTTTTTTCTACTGTGGAATTTGCTGTAATACTACATGTGATAACTAAGATACAACCTAATATAGGGTAGACATTGAAACTTAGGTTGTGCCTTTCCATTCCATCACTTCATTTTATCACATATTTTCCAAAATTCTTATATGCATGTTCAAATTAGCCTGCATGTATTTCATCGTAATGCCATTCTCTCAAACAACGTACATTAGAACACTTCTAACAGTTCTTTTTTGTTAAAGCTAGCTACATAAAAAATGTCTATTTGCATGGTTCAGCAAATATATCTTTGTAAATTAAATGTGAATCCTAAAATAATTAAACTGAAAATAATTTTAACTGAGATATATTATTACTTTCTTTAGAAGACAGAAGATATTATCTCCATAATAACTTTTTGCAATGTTCTGACTACCAATGCCCTCATTATAAAAGCTAATCCATAATGCAATTTATTAAGAAAAAATATATATTTCTATAGTATCTCAAAATCCTTTTTCTTAATTTACAAAATGAGCACCTGCTTAAAACAGATTTCTACTAGAATAAATAAAGTATTGTAGTAGTAAGCATGAGGCTTGTGAATGTGTGTAGCATTCCTGAACACTTGAGAGATTATTCACATTCGCACTTCAGGAGAAAAAGGAGACAATACAAAGCTACCATAAACATGAAGGCAAAGGTGAGACTCAATAAGGATATATAACTATCATTATTTTTGTCAGATAAATTCTGTTGTTTCTGAAGACATTAACATCCAGTGAGACTGAATTTTTAATTTACAAGTAAGAGGGAGAGAAATCTCAAAAGTGCTTTTCTTCTGAGACAGATTCTACTCCAAGCATATTCTGCTACTGGTGGGTAATATCCATCTTTTACGAATGCACAAAGACTTTTTATGAGTTGAGTTTTTATTTTGTAACTTCCCAAACTTTTACCCCTTTATGTTGTAGGATAATTTTCCTGACATTGATTGCACATTACTGTGGTATGTTCATACATCTGACCACAGAGAGCAATGTCGCTCAATGTCCCAGATTCCCTTACATTCACAAATGTTAAAGCAATTTGTTAACAGAGCCATTAGGACAATCTGCACATTTAACTTTTATGCAACACGATATACAAATATCAGAAAGCAGAATAGCTCCTTTCCATTCTTTGGCATATAATCTTGAATTTCTAAATATACTGTTATATTTTTAACATTTGCTTAGTTCCTGCTACTAAACAGTATTTGGTTTGATATTGTAGTTTGATTTTTTTAAACGCAATTATCCTCACCATTTTAAATACGAATATTAAATCTAAATAACTCCAAGATTTATTTAGAGTGACTAGCTCTCAATAAATCTGAGACATAAAAATTGCTTGTCTTATAATCTAGTGAAGTACCTGATGGAATACCAGCACTAAAACATTTTTGTCGACTGTCGTCTCAGAATCTTTAAATGCACTTTAGTGTTAGTATTGTATAATATAAAATAAAAAGGCACTACCATTCTTCTTCGGTTTTACAACCTTTTTCACACTGATATCTTCCAACTTCGAATAGTTGTAAAACTTGTGCTGATTGATTTGTCTGCTTATGGAAACTTTCCTTAATGTATACTTGGAGACTATTTGTGTAAAATAGAAATTGAATTCAAGACTTGACATCATCATTTGTGAAATCATTAAAAATATCTCTGCTATTTTAAAGATTTAAAAACACTTTCAGCCCTGTGAAGGGTCTAGGATTTTTTAATGGTAATGTGGATCATTATAGGAATTGCTTTGCTATTTCCACATACATATGTATGTATACATACATATTGTATATACACATATATATATATAATATTTTTTCCTTGTGAACTTGGCATAAAATCTATTGGCTGATTCCAAAGCAAAATAGATTTATAAAGTTTTGAAAGACATTATTTGTTTAACAAAAAGGGAAAATTGGCAAGGGGATGAGGTATGACAGTAAATTGGAATTAAACATCAAATGCTATAAAATGAGTTCACAAGAAAGCAAGGCAAATGTCTACAATTTTTGGAAAATGGCGATATCTACCAAGGAAATATAACAATTAACGTTACATAAAATATTGTCGATGTCCTTTACAAACTTATAAATCCAATATTAATTGCACACTAAATAGTATAAACAAACAGCAAAATTTATTTTGTAATAACATGTAAGAAACAGGAGATTTTTGAAGTTACTTATTGCACCCATATTATTCACTGAAGCTTCAACTTTTGGGACAGAGTTTTGCTCTGACACCCAGGCTAGAGTGCAGTGGCACGATCTTGGCTCACTGCAACCTCCATCTTCCAGGTTCAAGCAATTATCCTGTCTCAGCCTCCCAAAGTGCTGGGATTACAGGTGTGAGCCACTGTGCCTGGCCATTCAACCCCAATTTTAAAATGCATGACAGTGATTTTGAAACTTTAATTCCTATAGAAAGTACACATAGATCCTGTTGAAATGCAGATTCTGATTCATCTGGTGAGGACTGAGAGTCTGCATTTCTAGCAAGCTTCAAGCTGCTGCTGCTGGTCCATGCACCACAATTTGGATAGTAGGAGTGCGGGCTGTCTAAGCAAAAGTAAGCTGGATTTCTTGAAAGTTGTTGGCATTGGGAGGATAGTTTCAAGTCTGTTTTTCCTTCTAAATAGTACATGGAGAATAACAGATCTTTCTGAAACTCAAATATTCAACTACTTCCCTTTTCTGTCCAGGAACTTTGAAACAAGCAGGAGCAGAAATGAGTGAGTGTGCGCCTGTGTGCCTCTGTTTGTGTGTGCATACTCGGGTATACAGCAGTGCCTCCATACTTGCATTAAGGAAAGTGTGTCAGCAACTCTCCTGCGACTATCCTCAATTTAGACTTGCATTCATCTAAGCATGCAAAGTTCAGGGAACTGTCAAGTTCAAATATACCCTATCTCTGAGGTTAAGCCCCAGCCCATTTCACACATTTCAACATTTTCCATGTGGATGCCGTTAAGGTTGCCTGGAATTTGGAGATAAGCCCAGGATTAGTCCTGCTTTAAAGTCACCATGAAGCCTTGTTATAGGCCTCAAGTTAAGTTGTTAAATGTATTTCTCAGAGCTTACTGGAAAAAAAGAAAATAGCCACATTCACTAACTTTGGTAAGCTTCAGATAGCAAAACACAGTGGTGGTTGTTGAAAACTTACCTGCAGGCCTTTACCTTCATGTTTTATAGATGGTGGACTTATGTTCTGAGGCTAAAATGACATTCTGTTACCAAGCTTGCTTTAGGAAAATGTCTAAACTGAGAACTGCAAGATGGAATATGCACTTTTTTTAAAGCATTTTGAGAACTAGGTCAATCTTATTTAAGCAGATTTTTCTAAATCACTTGGTAATAGTTAGCATTATTCTGTGATTATCTAATATTTTAGTATTTTACTTTATTGATATGAAACCCACTATTACAGAATTTAACAATTACTATATACTTATATTTGTTGTAAATATGCATTCTAAGTAATCAGCAAGTGGCTCATGCTAATGACATGTCTAAAATATTGGCTTTCTTGTATTTTTGTTCATGTATAGCTGTTCTATTGACCTGGAGGATGTAAAATATAAGGGAGTAATATTTGATTAAGTCTTGTTAAAGTTTAGTGCTTTTGGCCAAAGGATCTTGTAGAGTATCTGAAAAAGTTAATAGTGCAAAGGTGGTAAATAGTGCAAATACTGAACAGAAATGAAATTGGGATGTATTTCTAAAAGTAAATTTAAAGTGTAAAACAAACAAAAAAACTTCCTAAAGGAATCCAACAGAATTCCTATATCTTCCTGTATTTTCAAATTTATCTATCCTACTTAATCTGATTTTTAAAGAGTTGGTGAAAAGAACTCTACACACTATAGGGTTGTAGCTTTGGGGAATTTTCTAAGAAAAGTATAAGTTAATTATAGCTTTTAACAGCACAGCTACAGATGCATCAGAATAAAAAGGAGTAGAAAAAGTTTTTCTCTCTTAGAGGCCCTGTAAACAAGTGATGTCTAGGGGTATCTTCCTTTTCTTCTAATAGTAAAAACAATCTTGAAAAGGATTCTGCTAAACACTCTTCTAAGGCCATGCATATAATTTAGATAGATAACATAATCTCCTTATTGATTAAATTCTCAGAATTTTATTTTACTTCAATGCTTATAGTAGCTTATTGGCCATATTGGAGATGTTTTAAATGTTAAGGCAGTCCTAATTTCTCCAAATATAAATTACCATGATAACTCCTTAAATGGCCACTAAATGAATTCTTCTGTTGATTCTGGAGATAAATAAATCAGTAAAGAGGTAGATAGATAGATAGATAGATAGATAGATAGATAGATAGATAGATAGACAGATTATTGTGGATCACATTTGATTAAATTAAGAGAATCTCTTCTCCAGAAAGTATAGACATTTATACTATAGTAGTAGTAGAGTATTTGGTGAGTAGAAATCAATAGCTGAGAGCAATCGCTCTCCCATGAGCACACAATTCACTGAAACATCCATGGCGGCCCTCCATCATAACCTCTCCATGAAGAGTCACTATCATTCTCATTTTGATAAACAGAGACACTCAGAGAAAGTTAATTTACCAAATGTCGTACACTTAATAGTTGATGTTGGGATTCTGACCTGTGTTCATTACATTAATTATTTATAGTTCTCATAATTCAGAAAGGAGGAGTGATGCTCCTAAGTCCACTCAAGTGCTAATGTACATCAACCAATACTCTCAGATGAGATTTTCATAATCCAAAGCAAAAATTTGGAAAAAGAGTCTTTCCTAGTTTATATAATTTAAAAATTATGATGTATTATAAAAGATTATAGAAGCATTTTATCACCTATTTCTTTCAAAATTTACTTTTGCATTTGATTATAAAATTATACTTTCAATTTGATTGCTCATAAGAATAGAATATCTCAATGAAAGTTTTACCTAAGCGTTAAAGTAATGATTATCCTTAGAAATGTCCATTAGGAAATTCAAAAATCACCATTACTGTTCCTAAATTATCCATTTTCTGTTATCCCCTTTCACTAACACTAATTACATTGACAGTCTACTTTCTTCCCATCTAACATGACATACAGAAACATAGTCCACCAAAGTTGCTACTGTACCAAAGGTGACAGTGATTTGGAACCAAGAAAATGTAGGTGCCAGTATTTTCAACCTTTTCAAAGGCTTTCAACTGAAAAATACCTCTGAGAAATATTTAACAAGAAATGTTCTACAAACCATAATTTTCTGCTACCAAGTGTTTCTCACTCTATTACCCACCAGTTCAAAATTCTACTATAATAAATAGTTTACCAAGATAATCAAAAGTTACACTGGCCTATTTCTCCTAGTACCAGTCAATCACAAAGACTATTCACTTGGCAATCTGCAGCCTCAGATCTTTATCACCTTTTTCACTTTTTGAAGTCAACGTTTTATTAACACATTAAGTACCTATCTTTAGCCTGAGGTAATAATGATGACTGCTTTGAAATAGTAACCTCAATTAGAATAAAAAAGTGAATATGCCATTTACATTGTTTTTCAAAAATCTGCAAATTTCAGTTTTAGACAGTGGCTCTTATTAGGTAGTATTAAATGCATGCCTACCTATGCAACACGAGACAAAAACCTCTTTAAAATCAAACCTAAAATGACCAGGTTGATAGTTTAAAAAAAATATATATATATATATTTTTTTTTAATTTGAGACGAAGTCTCGCTCTGTCACCCAGGCTGGAGTTCAGTGGTGCGATCTCAGCTCACTGCAATCTCCGCCATATTAATAGTGTAGTGTCAAACAACCTCCTTTCTGTCATGTAAGTCCCAGTATATATAGATACTAGGCAACCTCTGAATCAGTATTTAAAAGAAGTGTATAAAGACCAGTATTTTAACTGACTACCTCTGTCAAAGAAACTTCACAATTAGCACACCAAGCAGTCTATCTTTTGCAGAATTTTTGAATACTATGAAAAAAAGATGTTTCTGTGACAAATAACATTTCCAAAACTTCAAATTAACTTCAATTAAAACTTCCAAAACTTCATTAACCCATGTGATCTCAAGTTGTATTCTCTTTTGAGACATAAGAATAATATTCAATCAAAATATTTTACTGTCATTCTTTCTAACAGATATACAGTTAAGTGTAGCTCCTTCGTGCAATAAAATATAAGGTAAATTATAAAATGCACTTTATAGTATATTCATACAATAGAAAGTAAATTACAAAATTATAAAATTTTTATAAGGTAAATATAAAATTATAAAAGTATTAAAACTTATGCTAAATTTTGTAAGATACTATTACACTAGATTGTTTCTGTTATTGTTCAGATAGATAAAATAGCTAGAATTACCAAGTAAAAATATGTACCTGTGTCCCTTATAGTTTCTAATATTTATGAAGTAACACAAGCACAGCCTGGAGTATGTGTCATACTGGTAAATAATAGAGTAGATACTTTTCAGAAATAGGAACAAATTTTATAGTTCTAACTCAAATATTTTACCATTCATATGTACTTACAATAATATATTTTACAGTGTTGGTCCTGAAGCTGAAAGTAGAATTTGAGGCATTTTGCCAACACCTAATTTGCAACAGAGATTGTAATGCAAATTTCTTACAGATTCCCAAATGAAACCTATAGCTTCTCATTAAGTTTCTTTTGCATTTGGTGAATATTTTACGAAATCACAACATAGATAAAACTTCATAATCACCTTTCAGATGGAATCAGAAAGAAGCTCCCATTGTCTTTTTTAAAAAGTCCTTAATGATTATGTGAATGGTAGCAGAATCAGATAAAATGTTATCAACTGTATCTTACCTCTCTCACTGAAGTCATCTACTAGAATGATTTCTGCTATCAGACTCCCTGGGGTTCGGTTAATTATACTGTGTATGGTCCGCAGGAGTGAAGTCCAACCTTCATTATGAAATGGGATAATGATGCTGGTGTTTGGCAGCCTTTCCAGATACATCTTATGCTTACAGCTGGAGATGAGGGAAAAGAAAATGGTGTGTCAAATACAAAACTCTTGTATATCTTATTCTGTTGTTTATTCATTATGTTATCAGACAACTGTGGAAACACGACTTAGTCTAATACTTTCCAACCAGAGTTTGTACAGCATGATTGTTATCCTGCTCCTTCACGGAATGCATTAATGATCTCCTTTCACACTCACTCTTAATGAAACAACTGTTTTATCCTCTGGTATCAGGGTTTCAAATTTGTCAGTTTTTGAAATGTTGTGCTCTTGTTGATGTACATTTTTCCTGTTGTTATATAATAGAAATAAGGATGAGTAATATGCATTAAAACTGTTTCCATGGAGCACATAATTAAGGTTTAGATGGACTTCCTGAAGATATCTAAAAATTTAACTTCTGTAATATTTATGTTTAATTAGTCAGTTTTAGTCATGGAGTGTTTCAATGGCTGGACAGTATTTAAAGCCTGAAGGGAAAAACAACTGTAGCTTCTAAACAGAATAAATTAAAATTCAATTTAAAATAACTGTTAACTGAGCACAACCACATAATAAGATTAAATTAAGATCCAAATCAAGATGTTATCATAGTCCCAGTGAAAACTCTAAAAAGAAATCTCAAGTTCATTTTTTTCATTGTTGGAACCATCTGAGAAGATGAAAAAGAAGTATTTTTAAAATTGTATTCCTTTATTCATTATTTAACCTAATAATTTATTATTTTTAACAATATTCATTAAACAAGTAAATTTTGACATATTCAGACAATGAAAAGTGTCTGAAAACCCATCAAAATTATAATGATATGGGCACAAAAATGTGTAAAAACATGAAATTCATTTTAGGATAAATGTCAAAAAATATATATAATATGACAAAGATTTGTCAGTAATTTCCATGGGAGTGTAGTAAGATAGATGTTTTGCTTATAATTCACAGATCTGGAAAATAGTGTTAATGAAATTCAGCATACCTGGTCATAATTATGCAGAGCCATTGATTCTTCTGAACAAAGTCAAAGAGCCCAACTAATTGTGCTTTGATACATCAATATTCAGAATGTTGCACCTACTTGTGAGAACCATTACACTTCACAGTGTTCTTAGAATGAAGGTGATATCCCCAATGAAGCCAATTGTTTTTTAAACATTAGGACAAGCTATTGTACATATTACTTGTCTATTAATTAAAGAGGAATTGCATTCAGAGTAATATCCTATAACCCATCAATAGGGGCCAGGCACAGTGGCTCATGGCTGCAATCCCGGCACTTTGGGAGGCCAAGGTGGGAGGATCACTTGAGTCCTGGAGTTCAAGATCAGCCTGGGCAACATAGCAAAACCCCATCTCTACCAAAAATACAAATATTAGCCAGGTATGGTGGCACACGCCTGTCATCCTAGCTACTCAGCTGGCTGAGGCAAAAGAATCGCTTGAACCCAGGAGGCAGAGATTGCAGTGAGATGAGATTGCACCACTGCACAGTCCAGCCTGGGTGACAGAGTGAGACTGTCTCAAAAAAAAAAAAAAAAAAAGAAAGAAAACAAAAGAAAAGAAAAAAATCAATAGGCTCATGACTTTTCAGAGTCATATACAATCCAATCAGAGAAAGGGTAGACAAAAAAGAATGCAAGACCAATCATGTGTGACAAAGGCTTTCTCTTTTGAAATGTTTTCAATAATTTCTATGTGCCTGAGCTCAAATTACTATCAAATTACTAGTACACATGAAATATAAAAGGATCCATTCTATTCATTCATTCATTCACTCATGTCACAGTAATTTACTGAAGGTTTGATATAGGCCAGGCTCCAAAGTTGAGATAAAACAATGAACAAAATCTAGTTCTGAACTTCAAGACATTTATATTATAATGAGAGATACAGAAAGACAAATAGTTACAATTTTAAAATGAAATGGATAGTGTAGAAGATTAATAGAGTGCTATAAGATTATTTGAGAGAGGCCCATAAGCCAATTTGGAAAATGTTGTAGAAATTCAAGTGAGAATTGAAGGTGGCCTGCAGAGGACAGGTTCAAGATCTATGTAGAAAGAGAATTCACACGACTTGGTAACTAGGAGAAGTGACTAAAGAGGACTCTTACGTTTTGGACATGGGCAACTGATCAGATGAAATACAGAATGACATAGGAGCCTGTGTGAGGGACATATTGAAGGTTTCAAATAATGAGAGCAACGATAATGAATTCAATTTTGACCATGTACTGTTGAGACGTCAAAACGACATCCAGTTGGAACGTAGCTTTCATATATCATATACACATCTATCTGTCAATTTATATGTCTATCTATATATATGTGGGTGTGTAGCTCAAGGTAAAAATCTATTTTGCTGGAGGAACAGGCTCATGAGAGATAAGCTCTAGCAGATGATGCTGGCACATCAATGTCTCCTTAGCACTCACCATTCCAGTATAAGCCAAGAGGGTCCTATTATACATCTCTGCAGATAGCAAAGTGAGTACTTTCTCTCATCTCTGCACAAAGGGCAGATCAGAAGTTCTGGGAAAAATTAATTCCCCTAGAACAAGTATCAACCAACAAATAATGGAAGTTAGAGAATAAATAGTCGTATGGTGGGATAACCCTGAGGTATGTTCCATATTGTCTCCCATAGTTTCCTAGCAGGATTACACCTCGGTTGCCCACAGTGATCAGCAGTTTGACAATGCATCTTTTACTGGCTACTTTCCCTTTTCTGTCTTCCTTTCTCACATTCCCTGAACCGCACCACTCTACATTCTGTGATTACCTCCTAAACACTATTATAGTCAAATTTTTGTTTCAGGGTTTGCTTCTAGAGGAACCTAAACTTAGACATAGGCAAATAAGTTATACCTCATTTGGTATAGTCTCTTTGGAACAGTCTCTTAAATCAATACCCTGGTCAAGATTCACTTTGATCAATGTGCTGGTCAAATAGGCAACACTCTTATTTATGTTCAGTTAGGAAGGCTGCAGTTTGTTATACTTGGAAATACTTTTAAATAAGTTTTTAAAAAACGATTATCACACATGCATTTCATTACTTCTTTCAGCTTTTGAATTATTACTGGTGCTCTACTCAGAGACATCTCTAGGCCTATGAAACACAACTATCAAGACATTACAGTGGATACATAAAAATGGTCTCATCCTAATTAGTTGATTATTAGTAGTAACATTGCCTTTTTACATTGATATCTGTAACTTATTTTTCAATTAGACTACATTATAAACTCCTTACTATTTCATGCCTGATGATTATGTATCAAATATTGGAAAGTCACACCACACTTTATAGATCAGACTAGGTTCAAATGATAGCTTTGCCATTTACTGCCTGTGTGACAATGGGCAAGTTATTTACCCTCTATAAGATTAATTTTCTCACAGAGGATAATGTGGGAGCAAAAAAAAAAAAAAACAATACCTCTTCATAATGTGCTAAGGAGAATTAATTGGGACATCTATGTAACGTACTTCATATAGCATCATATCTAATAATAGCAGGGGTTTAATAAATACTGTCATTATTACGGTCATTGTTGTTTACACTGTATTATTTCATTGTCAAATCCTCTGTGGAAGAAGACGTGGAACTAGGAAAGACAGGAACTGCAGAAGAGACAGTGAGAGACATTTAGGATACAAAGATGAATACATTTCAGTCTCTTCCCTTAAGGGTTCACAGACCAGTGAGCAGATATATAAAATGATTAGACTCAAACAAGACAAGTGACATAATAGATGGCACACAGACATTGAGAGCCTGAAGGAAGTGTGACTAACTTTGTCTGATAGAATTAAGGACGTCTTTATCAATGAGTCTGTACATTGAGAACAGATCATGAAGAATCTTGAAAATGATTCTAAGGAATTTGGATGTTAGCCTGCAGTCAACATGAAGTACTTCAAATATTGTTAATCACAAGACCGGATCGTGTTTACATATTCCTCTGGCAGCAGGGCAGACAATGTGTTGCAGATGGCAAAGAGTAGAAGCAGAAAGATTAGCCCTTGTAATAATTCTAGCAAAAAATAATGAGGGTGCAGATCTGATTTTCACTCTAAGGAAAGCCAGCTCCTTTGTAAAAGCACTTAATCTGATTGAATTTTATTCGGTCATTCTAGCACTTGAGCTGCTCCAAAGAAAAATTGAATCACTGCCAAGCTCAGGCATTGGATTCAAGAAGTTGTGATCCAGATGACTGCCCTATAGTATTACTAGAAATAGTGAAGCACATCCAGGGCTTTATTTAGGCTCTGCACCTGCATATTTTAGGTTTAATGTCAAGTCAGGTTGAGAATAAAAGTTTACAAATATGAAGATGATGTACCAATATGGAACTGACTTTAATAAGTAAAATAAAGTCAAACACAATTTGTATGCTTTTTATGGTTACAAATGCACAGCAAATTCACAAATAGAATAAGAAAATAGGGACAAACTAAAACGTGTTGAAATAGGTTTCTAGGAATATGGGTGTAATTACTGCATTTCTTATTGCTGTATTATTTTCAGATAAGCATTTGCATAAAATTACCTTGCAGTTTAGGAATGGCTCAGAGGTAAGGACATCTCTTTGTTGAGTAACAGTTTATATAAATGGATAAAAACTAATTCTTCAAATTTTAAAAGCACCAAGAAGACAAAAGAAATAGTTTAAATTATTTAAAAATTTACTTGAGAGAAATGACAAGTCGTGAAGGCATTTAAAAATCCAAAAAAAAAATCCAAATTATTTTGTAAACATTCTGCTAAGTCTTTCACAGTAATGAAACTTCAATGGCAAATTTTCTCATATTCTTCTGTTTTTCCAAAACAGAATACATAAACGTTTTCTGATTTTTTATATTGGCATTTGCTAAACTGAGAGATTTTTAAAATACAGTTCAACAGTATTGTTTAACACATACTTAACATTTATTCTTTTCATGGTTACACTAATTTATCTTTTTTATTTCATTGATTTTATTAAAATAAGTGGTTTTTTCAACAATAAAAAAGGCCACAAAATAAATTTTAATTACAAATACTTGAAATAAGTACCAGACTTATCAGTGACTTATTTTTGTCTAAAAGAGATACTTTAGTACATATGCAACAATGTCAATGTTTATATTACAGGCATTTAGGTTAATTTTCATTTGGAGATCTTAAAACTTTCATGTATTCTTCACCATCACTTAAACATTACTTCTCGCTGCCTATTGTTGTGTATTTTGTTTTGGAAAGGGTGTTACAACTCACATTTAAAAAGTTCTAACTCTGGGATTGCAGCTTTTGAGTAAAATGTTTGAATATTTCAATCTTTAGATCATTCTGTTAGCTTATTCAAAGTATGGCTTTATTTTTTGTTTTGTTTTGTTTGTTTGTTTTTTGTTTTACTTATAACAATAGTCAGGAGGTTATATGGTGGTAATGACCACCCCCAAATTTCAATGACTTAAAATAATAACTATTCCCTTTTTTGCTTCCTTTACCTGTTCAACACTAGTTGGAAGGAGGGTCTCTGCTCACTGTGCTTAGCAGAAATAGCCAACATCTTGATCACTGTCAATCATTGTGGTAGATATAAATGAGAACACTGATGGGTATCAAGCTAGTAATTAGATGATGTATCCCTAAAATGGCACATTGCTGTCTGCTTACAGCTCATTGGTCAGAACTAGTCATGCAGCCCAGGGGCCTAGAATGTGCAGTCTCATATTGTACAGAAGGAATAGAGTCAGAAACATTTGGCAAATGACACTAGCGAAATCAATCATTTTAGTCTTCTGCCTTCTTTAGAACAAAACAAGAAAAGAACATTTTACTTGTTGGACAAAATTTAATGGAAAAATGAAAGAGATTCAATTTCTTCACAGATGAAAAACAGAATATTTACAGTCCCACATCCATAGAAGCATGACAACAGAGGATATTAGAGCTGCAACCACATTTAAGAAATCATCCAGTTAAGCCCCCCATTTAATTGAGAATTGAGACAGAGTTTTAGAGAGTTAAACATAAATTATTTTACAATCTAATTGGAAAGGCATTGTACTGGGTAAAAAAGTGATACAATGATGAGGCACTGTTCCTGAACTAAGAAGTTTATAGCTTTTCTGAAAATTCAGTAATTATAGCCTACACAGGAGGTAACACGAGCAACGAATAAGAATCCAGCATTCTTCACTTTTGATTACATAATCTTTTGGAAATGTCATTCTATCATTGGCCCTTTAAGGCATCTTTATACTAATTAAATTAATTAAATTATATAAATACTATAATATTTTAAGGAGGGGTAGGCAATTACTTGATTAGCTCAAACGTTTTTGTGAGATGTATGCTCTATCCTCCATAAATATTTTTGTAGATAAACCGTTCAATAAAATGTGTGACAAAATACCCATCACAAAAAATTTATGATGAACTGTCATGTGAATAGAGGCTCTAACAGCCACTAATATTATATTATCAGGTGGCTAAAATAAGTAGAAATAGTGTCCACTATGCACAATATTCCTATATTGGTTTTGCATATTTAAATAATAATACAGATTTTTGCTATTTCTATCAAATATTATGTCTAGGTAAAATTATATTTGAGATTTCCTTTTAGTCAAATGTACTAATAAGGACCATATTTACCTTTCTACTTGATTCAACTGTATTAGTCTGTTTTCATGGTGCTGATAAAGACATACCCGAGACTAGGCAATTTATAAAAGAAAGAGGTTTAATTGGACTTACTGTTCCGTATGGTTGGGGAAGCTTCACAATCATGGAGGGAGGGAAGGAGGAGCAAGTCAATATCTTACATGGATGGCAGCAGGCAAAAGGAGAGCCTGTGCAGAGAAACTCCTGTTTTTCACACCATTAGATCTCGTGATACCCATTCACTATCACCAGAACAGCACAAGAAAGACCCACCCCCATGATTCCATCATCTCCAACCAGGTCCCTCCCCACAACACGTGGGAATTATGGGAGCTACAAGATGAGATTTGGGTGGGGACATAGAGCCAAACCATATTACCAACTAAACAACTACATTTTTTTTTTTTTTTTTTTTTTTTTTTGAGACGGAGTCTCGCTCTGTCGCCCAGGCTGGAGTGCAGTGGCGGGATCTCGGCTCACTGCAAGCTCCGCCTCCCGGGTTCACGCCATTCTCCTGCCTCAGCCTCCCAAGTAGCTGGGACTACAGGCGCCCGCCACTACGCCCGGCTAATTTTTTGTATTTTTAGTAGAGACGGGGTTTCACCGTTTTAGCCGGGATGGTCTCGATCTCCTGACCTCGTGATCCGCCCGCCTCGGCCTCCCAAAGTGCTGGGATTACAGGACAACTACATTTTTGAATATGAAACAATTATTTTCAAGGCATTGAATATCAAGCAACAAACAATAGTGGCTTTCAGAAACAGGATACAATTTCCCCTGCTTACACTCTAGCCTGAGATTCCAGGGCATGGTGAATTTAAGAGAAACACAGGCAGATCCAAATGATCTCCCTAAGATAAGAAAATGGAGCCAAGAGTCCAGGCGACCAAGGTGGCTAGAGTTTGCAAGATAGAGCACTCTAAAGGAATGAGCTGTACACAGAACTCAGGGGATCTGCAGAGTCCTCCTCACATCTTCAGCTAAGCGCTGATCAGTGCAAGCATACAAAGGAACAACCCTTATCTGGAGAATAAAACCCAAGAATGGATTAGAGGAAACAATACCTATCATTCATATAGGGTAAAAACTAATGCTTATGGAGAATTAGGTGGAGTATGGAAAGAGTTAGACGGGTTTTATCTCAGCAGGGTGGCAAATTATCCCTAGCCTAAATATAGCTCTGATCCAACTTAGCTTAAAAGCAAGATCTTATAGTATCAAACTGTTTTCACATAACTTAAATTCATTATGTAACAAAGCTCAATAATATTTATAGTAATACAAAATATTTTTCACCTTTGAAGGTAAAATCACAATGTCTGATACCAAATAAAAATTGACAACCATACACTTCAAAACTCATTTTATGAGGCCAGCGCTACCCTGATGTCAAAGATGGGCAAAGACACCACAAGAAAGAAAAACTATAGGCCAATATCTCTGATGAACATAGATGCAAGAATCCTGAGTAAAATACCAGCAAACTAACTTCAACAGAACATTAAAATGATCATACACCATAATCAAGCTGGACTTATCCCTGGGATGCAAGGGTGGTTCAATATATGAAAATTAATGAATGTGATGCACTATATTAACAAAATAAAATCATAAAACCACATGATCATCTCAATAGATGCAGAGAAAGTATTTGACGAAATAGACACATTTTTAAGTTAAAGACTCTCACAAACTAGAAATAAAAGAAAATTAATTCAACTTAATACATGCCATATATAAAAAGCCCACAGCTAATATTATATGCAATTATGAAAAATTGAAAGCTTTTCCTCTAAGATCAGGAACAAGACAAAGATACTTAATTTTGAGACTCCTATTCAACATAGGATTATCAATCCTAGCTAGAACAATTCAATATAAAAAAGAAAGTTTTGTTGTTGTTTCAAGATGGCCTCAGCCACAGAGAAACAGCAAAACAGTGCATAAAGATCAATGCTGTGAACTTTAATTCAAGAAGAAAAATGGGAATCTACTGGAATTGTGAAGGACACCCCAGATCCCAAAAAGAAGACCATGTGCAAACAGCCCCCGTGTCAGCATCTGGCTGTCAAAAGTGAGTCAAGTCTCAATACATGAGAGGGGCAGAGAGTTTTCCTTTGTGACTCACCTTTCCACTGGGGATTTGTCCAGGCCAAGGGAGAGCCCTTTGTTTCTCCCAGCTTTGGAGCTAACTTGGGGAGAGGCTTGGAGAAACTCAGAGGGAAAGACATTGGGAAAAGTTGCAGCATTTTCCCCGACTGGAGTTGAAAGCAGGATGCCATTTTTAATCCAGGAGCATACAGAGTCAGTCACTCTTCGGCAACCCAACAGTGTGACTACACAGGTATTTTAGTCTCAGGCCAGCGATTGGAGTGCTTGCTCTGGAGTTTGGTAGGAGCCTCCAGAGCCAGAATTGAGCAGGAAATGTAGAAAGTGCCCCAGGAGTAGGCACTGGAATTGTACCCTCCCCTTGCCACAGGTCTAGGGCAAGAGAAGAACTACTGTAGCCATGATTTCTCCTGGGTGAGAAGAAACCAACTTGGTGACCTGGAAACTCTGTGTGTGTGTGTGTGTGTGTGTGTGTGTGTGTGTGTGTGTGTGTGTGTGTGTGTGTGGTGTGTGTGTGTGTTTGCTGGGTGCCCCAGCCTGCTCCCCTGAGATGAAGGTACAGAGGGGTCCTCTCTACTCCATGCCCAGGCATATCTCCAGACATTCAGAGAACATGCTCACCTGGATTAACAGTCTGATCTGTCCCATCGTTCTTACGCAGAGACCACAGTGCAGCAAAGCACTCTCTGTTTTATGCCCAGGCAGATCTCCAGGCATTCAGAGCACTCACTCACCCATATCAACAGCCTGAGTGTCCACCATTTCTGTGGAGAGACCATGTGAAGTGAGGCCCTCTCCCCTCCATGCCTGGACAGATCTCCAAGCTTATAAAACATCCACTCTCCTGGATTAGGAGTTTAGGCTGCCCTCCCTCCCTGGGCAGAGAAGTTACCACTCAAGAGGTTTCCCAGCGCCAGTCGTAGGCACATTTCTTGGTGCTTGGTGGCTGCGCCCTCAATTCTCCCTTCAGGTAACCTTTAGGCAGACCTGCCTGGCTTGCCCCTGTCCATCTTGGCTCACCCCTACAGCTGAGCAAGGAGCTCAGGCCATTATGTATTCCAAGAATCAGTCCATTGTCTCAGGCAATATCTCGCAGTAAACAAGGTTCAAATATATGTACCCAGCCACATTGGCCACAGCTGGCTTTTACCCAGAAGTGATATCTACTGGCCCGGAGCTTGAACTGCATGGCCCAATATAAAACCACCCAACAGAAGTTGGGTGAAGAAACAAAGCCAAAAGACCCTATCCAACATTCTCTACAGTCATACCCCCCAGGAAGGGGGTAGAGGGAAAGAACAGAAATCAACATTATAGGGAAAGAGAGAAAAAAAATCCGATTCACACAAAAATAATTACACAAATTAGAAGTGCCAGGATCTCCAGATGAAAAGGAGCCAGCATTAGAATTTTGGGCACCAGAAAAAAAAAAATCTGAACATTGTGACAGCATGAAAGGATCACGCTCACTCTCTAGCAATATTCCCTAACCAAAATAGAAACCCCAAAATGGCAGATAAAGAATTGGATTGCAAGGAAGATGAATGATATTCAAGACAAGGTTGAAAATCAACACAAATAAACTTCCAAAGAAAGCCAATAAATGAAGGAAGAGATTAACATCTTAAAAAAATAACCAGAGCTTCTAGAATTAAAAAATTCACTTAGTGTATTTCAAAATACAGTTGAAGACTTTCATCAGTAGCCTACGCCAAACAGTAAAAGAATTTTAGAGCTCAAAGATCAGGTTTTCAAACTAACCTAGTCAAGCAAAAATCTTTTTTTTTTAAATTAGAAAATGAATTAAGTCTTCGAGAAACATGGGATTATGTAAAGCAATCAAACCTATGAATCACTGGCATTCCTGAGAGAGAAGAAGAAAAAGTAAACAACTTGGAAAGTATATTTGAGATAATAATGCAAAAATAATTCTCTAATTTTGCTAGAGAAATAGGTATCCAGATGCAAGAATCCAGAGATCACTTGTATGATACTATACAAAATAAACATCACCAGGCATATAATCACCAGACTGATCAAGGTCAACACTAGAAAAAAAAAAACAAAAAACCTTAAAGACGGGTAGAGTAAAAGGTCAGATCCTCAACAGCAACAACAAGAAAAGTCAGGTTAACAGCAACTTCCCAGTAGAAACCTTGTAAGTCAGAAGAGATTGAGGCCTATAGCCAGCACTCTTAAAAAAAAAATTAATGTACCACTAAACTAAGCTTTTTAAGCAAAAGAGAAACATTTTCCAGACATATAATCACAAAGGGAACTTATTGCCAATAGACCAACCTTATAAAAGATCCATATAGGAGTTCTTAACATAGAAACAAAATAATTACACCTGCTACCACAAACACACACTTAAGTACGTAGCCCATAGATTCTATGAAGCAACTACACAGTAGAAACTACAAAGCAACCAGTTAACTTCACAATAGAATTAAAACCTCACATATCATCATTAACCTTGAATGTACATGGTGTAACCTTGAAGGTACATGGTCCTACTTAAAAGGTACAGGGTGCCAAGCTGGATTAAAAAAAAAAATGACCCGTCCAGCAGCTGTCTTCAAGAGAACCATCTTAAATGTAAGGATACCCATAAGCTTAAAGTGAAAGGTTGGAGAAAGATCTATTACACAAATGGAAAACAAAAAAGAGCAGGGGTCACTATTCCTGTATCAGATAAAACAGACTTTAAACCAATGACAGCAAAAAAGGGAAAAAGAAGGACATTATATAATGATGATAGGGCATTGCATAATGATAAAGACTTCAATTCAACAATAATACTTAACTATTCTAAATATACGCGTACCAATGTTGGAGCACAAACATTTATAAAACACATATCTACTCCTACAAAAAGACACAGTCATACAATAATGGACGGGGTGGAGGGGTGCTGCAACACCTCACTGACAGCATTAAAGACATCTATAAGGCAGAAAACTAACAAAGAAATTCTGAACTTAAATTAACACTTGATAAACTGTACTTGATATACATCCCCAGAGTACTCCACCAATCAACCACAGAATACACATTTTTCTCGTCTGCATGCAGAACATATTCCAAGACTGGCCACATGCATTGCCATGAAGCAATTCTCAGTAAATTCAAAAAAATCAAAGCCATACCAACCATACCTTTGGACCACAGGAATAAAAATAGAAATCTAGGCTGGCATGGTGGCTCATGTCTGTAATCCCAGCACTTTGGGAGGCCGAGGTGGGCGGATCCTGAGGTCAGGAGTTTGAGACCAGCCTGACCAACATGGTGAAACCCGGTCTCTACTTAAAAAAAAAAAAAAAAATTAGCTGGGCATGGTGGCATGTGCCTGTAATCCCAGCTAGTCAGGAGGCTGAGGCAGGAGAATAGCCTTGAACCTGGCAGGTAAAGGTTGCAGTGAGCCGAGATGGAGTCACTGCACTCCAGCCTGGGCAACAGAGTGAGACTCAGTCAAAAAAAAAAAAAAACAAAACAAAACTATACCAAGAAGAGTTCTCAAAAACACCTAACTACATAGAAATTAAACAACTTGCTCCTTTTGGGTAAACAAATAAATTAAGATATAAATAAACAAAATTCTTTGAAATAAAAAATAGAGACATAATAAACCAATATCCTGAAATGCAGCAAAATCAGTGTTAAGACGAAAGTTCATAGCACTAAAGGCTTATGTCAAGAAGTTAGAATGGTCTCAAATTAACAGTGTAACATCACACATAGAGGAACTAGAAAACAAAACAAAAACAAAATAACCGTGAAGCAAGTGGAAGAAAATAAATAACTAAAATCAGAGTGGAAGTGAATAAAATTGAGACTCAGAAATTTATACAAAGGATCGCAAAACCAAAAGTTGATTATTTGAAAGGATAAACAAGATCAATAGACCATTAGCTTTATTAATAAAGAAAAAACAGAGGTTCAAATAAGCACAATTAGATACAACAAAGATGACCCTACAACTGATCTAACAGAAATACAAAAGATCCTCAGAGACTAATACGACCACATCTATACACACAAACTGGAAAACCTAGAGGAAATGGATAAATCCATGGAAACATACAAGCTCCCCAGATTGAATCAGGAAGAAATTGAAATCCTGAAAGGACCAATATCAAGTTCCAAATTTGAATTCAGCAATAAAAAACCTGTCAACCAAAAAAGCCCTGGACCAGAAGAATTCACAGCCAAATTCTACCAGATGTGCAAAGAAGAGCTGGTACCAATTCTACTAAAACTATTCCAAAAAATTGAGGAAGAGGGACCTCTCCCTAACTCATTCTACAAAGCGAGCTAGCATCACCTTGATACCTAAATCTGGCAAAGACACAATGAATAAAGACAACTACAGGCTAATATTCCTGGTGAACATAGATGCAAAGATTCTCAACAAAATGCTGGCAAACTAAATTCAGCAGTACATCAAAAAGTTAATTCACCACGATCAGTTAGGCCTTATTCCTGGGATGCAATGTGAGTACAACATATGCAAATCAATAAACCTGATTCAACACGTAAACAGAATTAAACACAAAAGTCATATGATTGGTGGGTAGATCACAAGGTCAGGAGATGGAGACCCTCCTGGCTAACACGGTGAAACCCGTCTCTACTAAAAATACAAAAAATTAGCTGGGCGTGGTGGCGGGTGCCTGTATGGTGTGAACCTGGGAGGCGGAGCTTGCAGTGGGCAGAGATCGTGCCACTGCACTCCAGCCTGGGCGACAGAGCGAGACTCTGTCTCAAAAAAAAAAAAAAAGTCATATGATTATATCAATAGACAAAGAAAAAGGTTTTGATAAAATTCAACATCTCTTTACAATAAAAACCTTCAACAAACTAGGCATTGAAAAAACTTACCTCAAAATAATAAGAGCCACAAACCCACAGCCAAACATCCTACTGAATGGGCAAAAGCTAGAAGCATTCCTCTTAAGAACAGGAAAAAGACAAGGATGGCCATTCTCACCATTCCTTTTCAACATGTACTGGAAGTCCTATCCTGAGCAATCAGGCAAGAGAAGGAAATAAATGCAACCAAATATGAAAAGATAAAATCAAATTTTTTTTCTTCTCTGATGACATGATTACATGTCTAGAAAACCCTATAGACTTTGCCAAACAGCTCCTAGAACTAATAAGCGACTTCAGTAAAGTTTCAGGATAAAAAATTAATGTAAAAAAATCAGTAGCACTTCTGTACACCAAAGAAGAAATCGAGAAGGCAATCCTATTTACAATAGCTGTAAAAAAGATGCTAAGAATAAATTTTACCAAAGATGTGAAAAATCTCTACAAGCAAAATTACAAAACACTGATGAAATAAACTGAAGATAAAACAAATGGAAAAATATACTATACTTATGGGTCAGAAGAATTGATGTCATTAAAATGACCATATTGTCCAAAGCAATTTACAAATTCAACACAATCCCTATCAAAATGCCGACACCATTTTTCACAGAATTAGAAAAAGCAGTCCTAAAATTCAATAGAACCAAAAGAGAGCCCAAATAGCCAAAGCAGTCCTAAGCAAAAAGAACAAAGCTGAAGCCATCACATGACCTGAGTTCAAAATATATTACAAGGCTATAGTAACCAAAGTAGAGTAGAGTAGAGTAGAGTAGAGTAAAGTGTAGTAACCAAGGTATCGTAACCCATACCAAATAGCACTGGTATTGGTATAAAAATAGATACACAGACCAATGGAACAAAAGAGAGAATCCAGAAATAAGGTCACATATTTACAACCAACTGACCTTCAACAAAGTTGACAAGAACTTACATTGGGAAAAGGACACCCTATTCAATAAATGGTGCTGGGAAAATTGGGTAGCCACATGCAGAAGAATAAAACTAGACCCCTATCTCTCACCACATACAAAAATAAACTCAAGATATATTAAAGACTTAAACATAAGCTCCCAAACTATAAAAAATATTAGAAGAAAACATTGGGAAAACTCCCTTGGATGTTGGTCTAGGCAAACAATTTATGACTAAGACCTCAAAAGCGCAGGTGACAAAACCAAGAATAGACAAGAGGGACTATATTAAACCACAAATATTCTACACAGCAAAGTAAATGAAAACAATTAACAGAAAAAGAGGCTGTTAAATGAAAACAATTAACAGAAAAAGAGGCTGTTAAATTAAAAGAACTGTTTAATGGGAGAAATTATTTGCAGACTGTTCATCCAACAGGAGACTAATATCAAGAATATAAAAGGAACTCAACTCAACAAAAAGAAAAACAAATAATTATATTAAAATGTGGGCAAAGGACATCAATGTACATTTCGTTTTTTGTTTTGTTTTGTTTTTATTTTTTTCTTTTGAGATGGACTTTCACTTTTGTCGCCTAGGCTGGAATGCAATTGCACGATCTCGGCTCACTGCAACCTCCATCTCCCAGGTTCAAGCGATTCCTCTGCCTCAGCCTCCCGAGTAGCTGGGATTACAGGCATGCACCACCATGCCTGGCTAATTTTGTATTTTCAGTAGAGAGGAGGTTTCTCCATGTTGGTCAGGCTGGTCTCGAACTCCCAACCTCAGGTGATACACCCATCTTGGCCTCCCAAAGTGCTGGGATTACAGGTGTGAGCCACTGCACCCGGCCATCAGTGTACATTTCTAAGATGAAGACTTACAAATGACCAAGTGGTATATAAAAAGAGGCTGATCATCATTAATTATCAGAGATATGCAACTCAAAACCACAATGAGGTAACAACTTACCCCAGTTAGAATGGTGATTATTAAAAAGACAATAAATAACAGATTTTGGCAAGCATGTAGAGAAAAGCCAACTTTTGTACACTGTTGGTGGGAGTGTAAACTAGTATAGTCAGCATGGAAAACAGTATGACGATTTCTCAAAAAATTAAAAATAGAATTACCATTTGATCTAACAATACCACAACTGGGTATCTTCCCAACGGAAAAGAAATCAACATATGAAAAAGATACTTGGACTCACATGTTTATTGTAGCACTATTTACAATAGCAAATATATTGAATCAAGCAAAGTGTTCATGAACAGATGACTGGACAATGAAAATATAGTATATATACACAATGAAATATTTTTCAGCCAGAAAAAAATAAAATCATGTCATTTGCACCAACACAGATAAAACTGAAGGTCATTATCTTAATTAAAATAAGGTAGACAAATTTCACATGTTCTCGCTTATATGTGGGAGGTAAAAAAAAAAACTTGATCGGATGGAAATAGAGAGTGTAAAGTAGATAACAAGGACTAGGAAGGTTCAGTTGGGAGCCAGGGTTAGGAGGGATGATGAAAAGAACTGGGTTAAAAGATAAAAACATAAAGTAAGATAGAAGAAATAAATTCAATGTTTGATAGCAGAGTAGGGTGCCTATGCTTAAAAATGTATTGCACTCAAGTGACGGACACTGTAAACACTCTGACTAGATAATTATGCCTTATATATATGTAGCAAGATTTCTCCTATATCCTATAAATTTTTACAAATTAAAAATAGTAAATATTAAAAAAATAAAATATACAGATTTTAAAATATGAGATAATTACTTAAACATTCATCCAAGGAAGACACACAAATGGCCAACTGGCATATTAAAAATTGCTCAACACCTCTAATTAGTAAAATCCAAATGAAAACCACACTGAGATTTCACCTAACACCTGTCAGAAAGGTCATTATCAAAAAAACAAAAGAGAGGTGTCAGCAAGAGTGTAGAAATTAGAACCCTTACACTCTGTTTAGTCTGGGGAATAAAAAATGGTGCAGCCACTATGAAAAACAGTATAGAGATTTCTTAAAAAATTAATAATAGTACTAAAATATGATCCTGCAATCTCTTTTTTGGGGATTTATCAAAAGTAACTAATCTTGGAGAGACATTAGCATTCTTATATTTATTACAGCACTATTCACAACAGCTAAAGTATGGAAGAAACCCAAATGTTTGTTGAGGGATGAATGGATAAAGAAAATGTGGTATATACATAAATAAAATGCTACTAAGCCTTAAAAAGATGAAAATTCTGCAACATGCAGCAACATGGATGAAACTTGAGAATATTATGCCAAGTTAAATAAGCCAGTCTCAGAAAAATAAATACTGCATGATTTATCTTAAATGAGGTACCTAAAATAATCAAATCCATAGAACAAAAGAGTAGAATGGTTGCCAGTGGATAGAGGGACAGGAGCTGGGAAGCTACTAATCAACCAGCCTAAAGTTTCAGCCAGTTAAAATCAATACGTTCTAGAGATCTGTTGTATGATATTGTACCCATAATCAACAATAATGTATTGTATACTTAAAAATTTACTTCTAAGAGTAGATCTCTTGAGGCAGAAGAATTGCTTGAACCTGGGAGGTGGAGGTTGCAGTGAGCCCAGATCGCACCACTGCACTCCAGCCTGGGTGACAGAGTGAAACTCCATCTCAAAAACAAAACAAAACAAAAACTACTTTTTTTTTTTTTTACAAGATGTTGAACATTTTGTAATATGTGTGTAATATCTACACACATATTAAGTGTTCTGATGAGAGTAAAATAAAATAAAGTTTTAAAAATCAACCATTAAAAGAACAAAAAATGAACTAACAATGAGAAAAAATTAAGTGAAATGATAGATAATATAATTAATAGGCAAAGATATTAAAGTTATTAGTGCTGTTTTCTTTATGTTCAAGAAGATAATGAAAAATTGAATTTAAGATATATAAAAGATATTTAAAATATCCAAATGCAACTTTTAGAGATGAAAATAAGTTGGTTAGAATTTAAGGCTGATCAGATACTGCAGAATAAAAGGTCAGTAAACTTGAACATCTGGAAATAGAACTACCCAAAATGAAACAAAAAAGAAACAGTCTGAACATAAAACTAACAGTAAGTCAGCAGCAAGGGGTCAACTTCAAGAGGCCTAATATATATGTACTTAAAGTGCCCCAAAGAGAAGGGAAGAGAGACAAGACACATTTGAAGAAATGGAAAATTTCCAAATTTAATGAAATTGGTAAACGCTGAGCTTCAAAAGCTCAGTGAAGCTTAACACAAAAAAACAAATAAACTATACTACTTCCTATCAAAATTAAGTTGTTAAAATGAGCGATAAAACAACGATGTTGGGAGCTGGCCAAGATGGCTGACTAGAAGCTGCTAGTGTGGGCTACTCTCATGGAGAGAAAAAGAGGGCACAAGTAAATACAGCACCTTCAGCTGAAATAGCCAGGTACACACATTGGGATTCATCAAGAAGAGAATTCAACCCACGGAAAGCAAAGACAAACAAGGCAAGATGAATGCCCACTCAGGAGCAACATGGAGCCAGGGGAGCCTCCCTAGCTCAGGGAAGTGATAAGTGAGTTAGCAGCTCCGGGGACCCACACCTCCCCAGTGGATCTTTGCAAACCATGGGTCAGGAGATCCCCTCATGAATCCCCTCCACCAGGACCTGCAGTCTGACACCCAGAGCTACATGGAGTCTTGGCTTAGTGGCCGCTCAGGCACAGGTGGAGCCCTGGAAGCTCCCAGCTCTGGGCTTCTCAGCAAAAGCGGTTGCAACTCCAGCAAAACAGGAGTTTACACTCCCATACACACCCCTAGAAAAGGGGATGAATCCTCGGGGTTGAGCAGTAATGGTCTGCAGATCCTGTTTCCACTGCACCTTGAAGGATAAGACTCACTGGCTTGGAACTCCAGCCAGCCACCAGTAGCAGTGTTATACGTCCCTGAGATGCAGCTCCCAAGAGGGAGGGGTAGGCTGCCATCTTTGCTGGTTCACAGCCTTAGCTGTTGTTGCCCTCAGTGTAGCTGCCCTGTGGAAAAGTGGCCAGACTGGGATCCCTGACCTCGCTTTCTCTTCAGTAAGTGGGACCTCCTGGCTGGGGTCACTAGCCACCCTTGCCAGTGTTTCCCACCTTTCAGTGGTTCCCAGCTTCTCTGAGATGGAGTTCCCAGGGGGACAGATGGGTTGCCATCTTTGCTGCTTCACAGCCTTAGCCATTGTTGCCTTCGGGCTCTAGGGGGTCTGAGGTGACTAGGGACTGGAGCAGTTTCCTGGCACAGTGCAGCAGCTCTACAGAGAAGTGGCCAGACTGCTTTTTCACACAGGTCACACATCTTGTTCCTCCTCACTGGGTGGGATCTCTGTACTGAGGTCTACAATCTCCCTGCCAGTGGTTCAGGCAAGCAACAGGTTCATACTTTTCTGGGATGAACACCCAGAAGAAGGGGTAGGCAGCCATCTTTGCTCTTTTGCAGCCTTCACTGTTGATATCTTTAGGTGCTGGAAAATCTAAGGTGACTAGGGACTAGAGTGGACACCCAGCATATGGCAGCAGCCCTATGGAAAAATGTCCAGACAGTTTGTAACATGGTTCCCTGATCCTGTATCTTCTCACTAGGTGGGTCCTCCTGGCCTAGGTCTCCAGCCACCCCCTGCTGGGGCTATTAGCCAATAGCAGCTCTGCAACTCTCTGGGACAGAGCTCCCAGTAAGAGGAACAGGTTGCCATCTTTGCTGTCTTGCAGCCCTCACCTTTGCTGTCTCCAGGCTCTGTAGAATCGACAGGGTCCAGAGGCTGGTATGGACCACCAACACAGAGCACCCACCTCAAGAAAAAATGGACAGACTGTTCTCCATGTAGGTCCTGGTCCTCACTGGGCAGGGCTGCCTGACCTGAGATTCCAGTACAACCACCCTGCCCCTGCTTGACCACTTCGGAGGCAGCCCAGCAGTTAAAGGAACACCCACCCAGAGATGAGAAAGAACCAACCCAAAACCCTGGCAGCTCAAATGGCCAGAGTGTTTTATGTTCTCCAAACAACTCCACTAGTTTTCCAAGGGTTCTTAACCAGGATGAGTTGGCTGAAATGACAGAAACAGAATTCAGAATATGAGTAGGAACAAAGATCATCAAGATTCTGGAGAATGGCAAACTTAATCCAAGGAAAATAAGAATCACAACGAAATGACACAGGAGCTGAAAGATAGAACACCCAGTATGAAAAAACACACTACGAGAATTTCTCAATGCAATAGCCAGTATTAACAGCAGAATAAACCAGGCTGAGGAATGAATCTCAGAACTTGAAGACTGGATCCCTGAAATAATACAGTCAGACAATGATAAAGAAGAAAAATAAAAAGGAATAAACAAAACCTCCAAGAAATGTGAGATTATGTAAAAAGGCCTAAAATAGGAATCACTGGCCTCCTTGAAAGGGAAGGGGAGAAAGCAAATAACTTGGAAAACATATTTCAGGATGTTGTTCATGAAAACTTCCAGAATCTTACTAGAGGAGCCAACAATCAAATTCAGGAAATACAGAGAAGCCCTACAAGATTCTACACAAGAAGAAAATCCTCAATACACATAATCATCACATTTTCCAAGGGCAAAATGAAAGAAAAAATGTTGAAGGCAGCTAGGGCAAAAGGGCAGGTCACTTACAAAGGGAACCCCATCAGGTTAACAGCAGACCTCTCAGCAGAAACTCTACAAGAAAGAAGAGATTGGGAGCATATATTCAACATTCTTAAAGAAAAAAAAATCTTCAACCAAGAATTTCATATCCAGCCAAATTAAGCTTCCTCAGTGAAAGAGAAATGAGATCATTTTTCAGCTAAGCAAATGCTGAGGGAGTTCATTACCACCAGACCTGCCTTATAAAAAATCCTGAAAAGAGCACTAAATATGAAAAGGGAAGATTGTTAGCAGCCAATAAAAAAACACACACATCATTACACAGACCAGTGACACTATAAAGCAATCACACAAACAAGCTGGCATAATAAATTGCTAACAAAAAATGAGAATCATATCGACACATATCAATATTAACCTTGAATGTAAATGGGCCCCCATTTAAAAAGCAGAGAATGGCAAGCTGTATAAAAAAAGCAAGCCAGATGATATGCTGTCTTCAAAAGACCCATCTGACATGCAATGATATCCATAGGCTCAAAATAAAGAAATGGAGGAAAATCTCCTAAGAAAATAAAATGGGGAAAAAAAACATGGGTGGCAATGCGAATTTTAGACAAAACAGACTTTAAACCAACAAATATCAAAAAAAGACACAGAAGGTCATTACATAATGGTGAAGGGTTCAATTCAACAACAACCAAGTATCCCAAATATATATACACTCAACACAGGAGCACCCAGACTCATAAAGCAAGTCGTTAGAGACCTACCAAGAGGTTTAGACTCTCACACAATAACACTGGGAGACTTCAACACCACACTGACAATATTAGATCGCTGAGGCAGAAAGTTAACAATGATATTCAGGACCTGAACTCAACACTGGATTAAATGGATTTGATAGACCTCTACAGAACTCTCCACCCCAAACAACAAAATATACATTTTTCTAAGCTGCACATGGCACACACTCTAAAATTGACCACATAATCAGACATAAAACAGTCCTTAGCAAATATAAAAGAACTGAAATCATATGAAACACACTCTTGGACCACAGCACAATAGATATAAAAATCAAAACTAAAAAATATTTCTCAAAACCATGCAATTACATGGCCATTAACCTGCTCCTGAATGACTTTTAGGTCATATAAAAATAAAAAAGCAACAGAAAAGATAATTATGTTGTTAGTTATTAAAGTAACTTTTATTAGTATCTATTCACTTAAAAATATTAATCTAATCGATTAGCTTATAGCAAAAATGATAGTATTATATTTTTAGGCTTATAATATAAATAGAAGCAAAATATTTCACAATAATAGCATAAAGGCCAGAACTGGAGACAAGGATGTATACTGTTGTAAATACTTATACTATAAATAAAGTCAGGTAACATTGTTTAAAGATAGATCAATATAATTTCATATTTTATCTACCCTAAAGCAACTTAAAATAACACAAAAAGAATTATATCAACTTTACTCCTCAAAAAAGTGAAATAGAATGATTAGAAATATAAAATTAATCCAAACGAAGGCAAAGCCAGAGGAAAAAAGTAGACTAAATAATACAAATAGAGAAGCTATATTAATATGATAAATTTAAGACAACATATCAATAATCACATTGACTATAAGTAGTCTAAACAAACTCATAAAGGCAGAGATTGCCAGATCGCCACCTCCTTCCTCCAATAAACTTATTTTTAATATAAAGACACAAATAAGTTCAAAAGTAAATGTACAGAAGATATGTCATGCTATCACTACTTTGAAAAGCCAAATTGACTTTATTAGTAGGTAATAAAATGAATTTCAAAGCAAAGAATATTACTAGGATATAAAAGTTTATCTCATGTTAAAGAGGCCAGTTCCTCAAGAGGACATAACAATCCAAAATGTTTATGCACCCGATAACAAAGCTTCCAAAAATATGAAGCGAAAGTTGATAGAACTGTAAGTAAATACAGATAATTTCACAAATCCAGTAAGATATTATTTGAATTTATTTTGCTCTTCTCTTTCTGCTTTCTTAAACTGAAACCTTAAATTATGGATTTGAGGGTTTTTTCTCTTTTTATAAACATAGAATTATAAAACTTAAAATTGCTATATATACGTAGATAACTTGGTATGTATAACTTTATTTTTGTTCATTTAAAAATATTTTCTAATTTCCTTTGAAACCTCCTTTTCAGTGCATGAATTATTAAACTATGTGTTGGTTTCTAAGTTTTTGGAGATTGTTCTGTTATCCCTCTGTTAATGATTTTTAGTTTAATTCTATGATCAGTGATATACTTTGTAAGATTTCAACTCATTAACATTTGTTTCATAACTTATGATATGGTCTGTTTCGATAAATATTTCATAGTGCACATGAGAAGAATATAAACTCTGCTATTGTAGAGTGGAGTGTTTTCTTTTAGTTTTCTTTTTTTATTCCCCCAAATAGTTCCCCTTTTCTGCTTTCTTTGGGTATTTATATATATTTTTTAGTATTCCATTTCTATGAATCCATTGTGATTTTAATCTTTGCATAACATTTTAGTGATTGTTCTAGGAAATAAAGAATATATACTTCATTTTTCCAGTGTATTTAAAATGAGTATTTTACCATTTCACTTTGATCATTGAAATTATATTACCATATAGATTATTTTATACTCCCCTAAGTGATTGATAGTTGTCTCATATATTTAGGTACATTGAAAATTACAGGAAATGTTGTTTTGCTTTAACTGTCAAACATTATTTTAAGGAACTCAGGCTCACAGCCTCATTTCACTGCTACTTTGAATTCTCATGTCTTTTCCTTCTCCACCTATTGCTATTTATTTTTTCCAGTGTTTTCAATCAGCGGGGCCACAACTCTGCCTAGATTTTACATTTGAGTTCAATGAGAATGAGAGAAGCATGTGTTTCTTTCATCTTACCCAGAAATCAGAACCTGCCTGGTAGTCTTTTAATTACAAATTTAATGTTTTATAGTTCCACAGATATTTGAATTTTCTGCTTCATTTTGTGACAGCAACAGTTGGTATTTAAATAAAATTTTATATTTTATCTAAGTGTCAAATATATTGGCATGATGGTTATAATATTCCTTCATTATAATTTAAATGCTTGTTGAAAGTTTAATGATGTCTATGTTTCATAATTGATAATAATGTGTTGTTCTCTTTTTTTTTCTTAGAAATACTTTTTGGAATTTAGAAATTTAATTAATCTGTTCAAAGTATTACAGTTTGAATTATTATTTTTTCTTCTTTTTGACAAAGTCATTGATTTATTTCCTTCTTTGTACTTACTTTACTAAATGAAATTTTCTTTACAAATTTAAACATTTAAATCTACACATTTACCTATAAGGAGCACTTTATATGTAAAGCATATTAACAAACTTTGGGATGTATATTCATTATCATTCTATTTGAAATATTTTCTAAGCTATATAGTTTTATATTTGATTCATGAGTCCTTTATAAATGCTATTTAATTTCTAAATATTTGCATATTTATAAGTATATTATTTTTGATTAATAATTTAATAGAAGTTTGGTCAAAGAAAATACTCTATTACTTCAATCCACTGAAATTTATTGAGAGTTGTTTATGTACTGGCATATGTTCTATTTTGGTAAATATTCTATGTACAATTGAAAAAATATTTATTATGCCATTATTAAATATAGTAGCCAATAAATATAAATAAATATAAATTAAGCCTGTTTATTGGTGATTTTGTTTAAATCTCCTATATTCCGACTTAATTTTTTGGTCTATTTCAGTCAATTACTAAGAGAACTATTAAATTTTCCAAAATATGTGTTTATAGAAAACTGCCCTTTCAAAAAGGAAAATTTAAGCTTAGTATTTAAAGTCATGACTCTTAGAGCCCTCAAAATTAAGTGAATTTATTTCTTTTTTCCTTTTAAAGTAATATCAGAAAATAAATACTTTACATGATTGGCTTCAAATATATTCTTAACATTCATTAATAAGTTTGTTCAAGTAACATTGGCGTCTGACTCTATCATATTATTCAACGTACTTTACCTGATAATATAATCTGAAGAATGAAGTGACAGTGTATTTTTAAGGATTCCTTAATTATGTTAACATATTTCAGATTAAAATGAATACATACACACACACATCATGTAAAATATGACATTTGGAACATTTCTCATATAATGGTAAATGAGTTAACATATAGTAATAATCATAATAAACAGGCAGCAAGTTATATTCTGAGATTCCTTTATGGCTCATAGTCTAAATGGTTATGATTTTGTGCCATTTTGAAATAATCAAAGGAATTCCCTGAAATAGTGATGGAGTGTCAACTCATTTACAGTCAGTTTTATTAGGGTCTGTGTGGAAAGGACACCAATTCAAAATACTAGAACTTGTTTCTGACCTCATGGCTAGAGCAAAAATGGTGTTTTAGACACCTTTATAAATAACAGTGCCAGCAACTTAGACTCCATACTAATTTATTAATTGGTTAATTTACTGCCTACTAGTCTACTAAAAGCCTTGTAACATGGCTTTACTGATAGATGACAGTTCAGGTAGTTAAATTCTGTGAAATCCAGATCTCCTAAAAATAATTATCAGAATAGCTAATAATATTATAGTTAGCAAACCAATTATTTAAAAAATCGATATAAAGGATCTGACATGTTTAGAAAGATAGCAAATTATTTTCTTTCAACCTTTTGTCACTGCATGATTTCTTGCAAAACTATTTTGGTTCATTTAAGGTTGTCTCTTCCCATTCTCAATAGAAGAATAAAATGTCAACTTGGCACCTGGGTAGTGACAAACATGTTATAAAGCATATATGTATAAGTCATTTCCAAGCACCAATTTACATAGTAATTGTGTTAATGTCAGCGTATTCAATTTTCAGTGGCTGGTTTTAGTCACACTGTTTTTCTATTCTAATCTTGCCCATGTCAGTTACCTTTGATAAGGCAGTGATATCTAGTAATTTATTTTGCTTTTGACAGGTCTGAAAAATTAGTCTGGACTGCCAAGTATATGCAAGCATGTTTGAATGAGGGGGTCATTACTACTTATTTATCCATGCAGTTATCCCTTTATTTGCTCACTTATTCTATAGAAACCTAATTTGTAAACTGACATTTAGTAATCTAATTAAAATGTTATGTATTATGATATTTTATGTCTTTACTAAAGGATGAAATAATTTGTTGTGTTCCTGCAGCCATGTGCTCATGAAGCATGGCAGAAATATAGTGGATATGTAGGCTGTTGCTTTTTAAATAAATTTGAAAAGATTTCTGCCATTATTTCTTAGAATATTTTTTCTACTATTAACTCTTCTCCTGTCCTTCAGAAATGCCCCTTATATACGTGTTGGTTTGCTTGATGTTGTCCTGCATTTATCTGAGTCTGTGTTTATTTTTCTTCATTCTTTTTTTTTCTTATTCTCCATTGATATGATTTGGCACTGTGTTCCCACCCAAATCTCATGTAGAATTATAATCTCTAATGTTGAAGGTGGGGCCTGGTGGGAGGTGACTGGATTATGGGGGTGGTTTTTAATGGTTTAGCACCATCCTCCTAGTGCTATCCCATAGAATTCTCACGAGATTTGGTTGTTTAAATGTGTGTAGCCCCTCCACCTTCACGCTCTCTCTCCTGCTCTACCATGAAGAAATTGCCTGCTTCCCCTTCTGCCATGATTATGAGTTTCCTGAGGCTTCCCCAGCCATGCTTCCTGTACAGCCTGCAGAACCATGAGGCAATTAAAACTTTTTTCTTTATAAGTTACCCAGTCTCAGGTAGTTCCTTATAGTAATGTGAGTATAAATTCATACATTCATATTCCATAATCTCTATTTGTCTTCAATGTTGGTGTTATAGGTGGTGAATTTGTATGGGTCTGTAGCAACCTTAATTCTTACCTCCTCAGAAGAAAGAATTCGACTGAGGGGGCATAAGGTAGAGTGTAGAGTGAAAGACCAAGGCAAGTTTTAGAGCAGAAGCGAAAGTTCATTAAAAAGTTTTAGAGCAGGCATGAATAGAAGTGAACTACGCATAGAAGACGGCCAAGTGCATGACTTGAGTGATCAAGTGCATGGTTCGACATTTTGACTTGGGGTTTCATATGTTGGCATGTTTCTAGGGTCTTGCATTACTTCTCCCCTGATTCTTCCCTTGGGTGGGCTGTCTGCGTGCAGTGTGTTTACTGGAGTTGTATGAATGCTCACTTGAGGCGTTCTTCTCTTACCAATCGGAATGTTCCTAGAGGGTCATATACCAGTTAAACTCCACCATTTTGCCTCTTTGTGTGCATGCTTGGGCTCACTTGCCCGGCTTCTGAGATCTTATCAGGAAGCTGCTGATCACCAGTTTCAGATGTTTCTCTCTCTTAGAAGACTGCCTTTCCCTAGTGCCAGCTGTGACCAATTATTGTCTTAGAGAGATTTAATAACTGCCTGACCATCACATGATGGTTGCCTGACATTTCTGGTGGTGGGGGACCCTCTCCTGCCCTGCTTTTGTCTGCCTTACTACCTTTTGTAACATTGATATTTCTTCCTTCTATCAGTTGCAGTCTTCTCTTAAGCCACTCAAAAGAACTTTTTATTTTAGCTATTGCAGCTTTCAACTCTAGAAGTTTTATATGGTCTTTTTTGTTGTTTTCTAATTTCTCTCTTTATTGATGTCCTCTATTTAATGAAACATTATCTTAATACCTTTCTTTGTTTCTTTCATTATGTTTCCTTTAGTTCAGTAGATGTATTGATGATGGCTAGTTTGAAGTCTTTTTCTGTTATATTTAATCTCTGATTTCTCTCACAGACAGTTTGTATTACCTGCCTTTTTATTATTCTGAGGGGTCACACTTTACTGTTTCTTTGCATGGCTTATAAGTTTTTGTTGGAAACAGGATGTTTCAGATGATATATTTTAGCAACTCTAAGTACTGATTATTCTGCCTCCCACTTGGACTTGTTATTGTTATTTGCTTGTTTATTTTTTTAGTAACTGGCCTGATTAGAGTAGTCCCCAACCCCCAACCCCCACATCCATGGGGGATATGTTCCACGACCCCTAGTAGATGCCTAAAACTGCAGATAGTACCTAACTCTATATTTATTATTATTTTCCAGCACATACACACCTATGATAAAGTTTAATTTATAAATCTGGCAGAGTAAGAGATTAACAACAATAATAAAATCAAACAATTATAACAATATACTGTATCAAAAATTATGTTAATATGGTCTCACTCTCTCTCCAAATATTTTATTGTACTGTCCTCACTTATTTTTTGACTATGATTGACCACAGGTAAATAAAGCCTCCAAAAGTGAAATCACAGATAAAAGAAAACCACCGTATTTTGTTTGAAGTCCATTTCTTTTCATTACATGGTTAAGTCTCCAGCGTTGCTCCTCAGGGGGCTGTGGCTTTGGGTTGCCCACATTCAGCCTGAGATGACAGTGGTATTCGTAGGGGTTTCTTCCTCTCTTTCCTGACCATATCCTGCTGTTAAACACCACTAATTGCTGGTTGATTGCTTTCTTGTTTTTAACAGTGCCCTGGGATATAAACTGTTCTACACACTAACCTGTTCAAATTGTGGCTCATTTGAAGGGTTAGTTTTTGAAGTCTCTCTGTGATATTTGTTCTGACACCAGGAGGGATCCTCCCAAGTTTCTCATTCTTTTTTTCTCTCCTGCAAAATGGCTGGCCTACAGTCTAGGCTGTATCTTCCTAAATATACAAACCACCACCGTACAATTACTTTTCACCACAATCTCTTTTTCAGCGTGACCTTAGGTTTGAACTTCTCTATGCAACGTTGCAAAGAAGTCAGTTTCTTTGGGAAGATATTTGGTGCTATATGTTTTGTGCCTTGCTTCTCTCTCAGGCAAAATCTCTGAAGCAAAGCTCTGGAGATAAGGGTGGGGACAAGGCCAACATTCCTGGAAAGACACCCTGCTCTAGAAGCTAAGCACTCAGGAAGAGGGGACCAGTAGCCTGAGAACCTCTCTGCTTGCATCACTCACGTGAAATCACCACATCACAAACTGGGCAAAGTACAATAAGGGCCTGAAGTATTCTCAGCATGCTATACCCCACGTAGAGCCTCTGTTTCATGTGTGGTGGCTAAGAGGAAGAAGAGATGCCACCTCTGTACTATGATTACCCAAGACTTTCTCTTAGTAACAGGAAACAAGGAGCAGGATGAGAGATATTGAAGTCCTGCTCCTCCTAGGTAAACGGCTCTTGGATTCGGAGTGAGGCCAATAGAAAGCCCTGTGTTCTTGGTTGCATCTGTCTGAAGTAGTGTCTGACTTGCTGAGTTGGGAGAGAAGGATAGAGTGATCTTCTTTCAGATACCACAAATTCCTTTCTTACCAAATTTTCATAAATTGCCTTGAATAGATGTTTCTTCCCTTTCTATTTGCCTTTAGGACCATTTCCAGAGACTTAGATATTTTTAAAGAAATAATTTTCACCAACTTCACCAGGGATCAAGTCAGGGGAGTACCTTATGCTGACATCCAACCTTTGGATGACTTATTTATAAACTCATCTAAGTGCCTGTCACTCACATGCTTAATAAATAATTGTCAGACAACTAAAAATGTGCTTCAGGTAAGAGCACATTTGTTATTGAAAAATACTTACCAGGATTTCTAATCTTGATAAAGTATGTTTTAAGATAATGATTTAAAATAAAATTTATAGAGACAGTTTTTCTTCTGTAAAATCAAGTACAATTATCTGTGAATACTTGAGAATAAAATTAATAGTTTTTAGGTGCACATTTAAAATATTCAAATCAAGAATCTTTATAAATGAGATAAATTTATTAAAATTTTAAATGACTTCTTCTGTAGTGTGGTAACATGCACATTGATGGTTCAACCAATTCTGTTTAATTATTAAGTTCAAGAGAATACGTGATATATCTACTTTAATTTTTTAATTTGAATGAGCATTAGATTTACAGATTATCCTTTGGCCGCAATCACATTTATTAATGCCACTGTTTGGCATCACAATCTAAGTGCTAGTGATTACTTTAACAATAGTTTAAGATTACATGGCTTGCTGATTTGGAAAGGAAGCTCCAGCATTCTCTTTAAAATGGCAGAATTTTCTTACAGACTCATTCTTTATTATATACAACCTAAAATCTTAAATCACTGTCTGTCATTTCAGTAAACTTCTGTGGGTAGGAGTAAAACGAGGAAGGGGAAAATTTAGAAATACAGTTGCTAGATAAACCTTACAGAGCAACGTATATGATTACATCAAATTTTCAGATTTTTTTCTTTAAAGGTCAAAATTATGAATCTATTGCTCAAACCTACGCTTTCAGTTTTATTTATTTGATCCTTATCATAAGATTACAGAGGCTGTTCTTTGATATTCAACACACATGATTTTGAAGCAGCCATAGTTTATTTTTAGATTTTTTTTTCATGTGCACTGTTTTCCCATTGTTATCCTTTTAGACTCCAGTTCCCTTATCCTTGTCCTCATTCAGCCTTTCTTTTTTTGTTGTTTTTTGTTGTTGTTGGTTTTTTTGGGGGGTGGGGGGGATGGAGTTTCGCTCTTATTGCCCAGGCCAGAGTGCAATGGTGCGATCTTGGCTCACTGCAACCTCTGCCTCCTGAGTTCAAGTGATTCTCCTGCCTCAGCCTCCAGAGTAGCTGGGATTACAGGCGCCCACCACCACGCCCAGCTAATTTTTTCTATTTTTAGTAGAGACGGGGTTTCACCATGTTGGCCAGGCTGGTCTCGAACCCCTGACCTCATGATCCACCTGCCTCAGCCTCCCAAAGTCCTGGGATTACAGGCATGAGCCATGGCACCCAGCCTCATTCAGCCTTTCAAAGACCCAGCCTCATGGTCTGTCAGTCACTCCAAAAGGTTAATGTCTGACAAGTCTTAAACTGTTATCTCTCCAAGGAAGATTTTTGTTTCACTAGGGACATACCTCTTAGTTACAGTGATAAACACCTTCTGTCTTTTTCAGGCTTTAGTCAAGAATGAGAGGTATATCTAAATTTTTTGTTGTTGTTATTTCATTATGACTTTCTGTAATGACCCTGAGAACTTATGTACTAATGTCTGTATTACTGTGCATACAATTGGTTTTCAAAAAATATTGAAGGGTACTCACTTAAATAACAGTTTTGAGAGATGGCTTCTACCTGATTCTAGCTATTCCTTCTTTCAATCTCCTGCTTATCATTTAATTGCTTTATTTTTTAAGTAATATTTAGATGTGCCCTAGGCTAGAATAGTGTTTGATTTAAAGGATACATTTCCCATCTCTGTCTCTGTGGCAACATTCACACCTAATTGGAGTGCATGAACAGTCATTTTAGTTTATTTTGCTTCTGAATTCACTTGTAAACTTGTTGAATGAAGGTACTTAATCAAGTTCACAAGGATATCATAATAAAAATGGAAAAGGCAATCAACTAGTGCTATTCACTTTTTATGTGGCTTTTGAAATTGAGAAATATAAAAAATTATCCTTGCAAATTTTTGGACGGTTAAACTCAAATATGTTTGCCAATGAGTTCTAGGATTACAAAGACAAGAGTCAAAACGGATCACATTTTTCTACTATGCATAAAAATAAAATAAAAACTATTTATAGTATATTTACAAAATCTTATCTGAAAGAAATTGAATACATAACTATTCTTTCTAATAAAAATCTAATTATGTATTTACAATTAAAATTGTGAAATTAGAATACACTAGGTCTCCTTATATTTTACATCTCCATGATATAACTGGAAAATAAAAAAGGGAATCAACAAGATCATTATCAGAAGACAAAGAAATAACTGAATAGATCACGCGATCGCTGATTTGGTAAACCTTGCCCCAATTTTAATAATCTTCATACATGGTGAGGAAGCTGAAGAAACTTGCATCCCCGCTTACGGAAATGGGCACATAAACATTCAAAACGCAATTGGACTTGTTCAGCATCACAATGCAAGTCATGCAAGTCAATATATTTAGAATCATTATTCAATATACTTCCAGGAAGGCAGGAGTATTTAGAATATAAGGCACTGAAAAATCAAGAGTTTGCTCAAAAGTCTGTATATATCAAGAAATAGCATATAGTGCTGACTTTGTAAGTACTTCATGTAAGTACTTGTAAGTATGTACTACTTATCACAGGAGGAGACTTCTTTTCTCTACAGATGTTCCCATGTGGCAGGACAGTCATTAGACAAACGCACCTGGCCTTTCTCCACCTTTTCAGAGTTTCTTTCCCGGAGAAAGAGATTCGTGGGTTTGGGTTACAAAGCTTACTGTAGTTGGCCAGCTCCTTCTTCATTTTTTTCTGCTTTGGAACCTGCTTGCCTGCGGAGATCAGTCATCTTATTCTGCCATCCATGACTTAAGTTTGACAATTTTGATTATGCTATCCAGCAATGTCTGTGACTTGAAGACTGAATGTGCCTCATTCTGGACTTCAGTCTTGAGTATAATACTTGGCCTGCATCTAAACCATGCTCACCAATAGAATTGCAACAATAATAAAGCGAATGTTTTCATAGCAAATCGTTTCTGGGGCTATCTCTCAAATGGTTCTGAAACTACAGGAAACAGGACTACATTAGTCTGGTATAACTGCAACCCTACTGAAAACAATCATATAATCCAAAAGGTTGTAAAGATTCTCTTAGACAGAAATAGTTTTAGCTTCATGGCTTTGACAAGCAATGGAATATTGAGTGTTGAGAGAACACTCTGTGATACCTCATACTCCATTTATTGTCAAAGTCATGAAGCTAAAACTATTTCTACCTGGGTAATATTAGTGATATAAAAAAGAAATGATAAAAAGTCACAATACAAAGTGAGACTATATTAATTTTAAAATATCCCAGCTACTCAGCCACCTTAGAAGTCTATCTCAGGTAACATGTAGGTGCATAAATATTTATCTGTATAAACACATATACTTTTATAACGGCCAAAAAAATGAAACTCATATCAAAGATGCATTTACCCAAAACTGCTGTGAAGCCTACCTCAACTCTCCTATTAGAATGGTTCTTCTAGCTCTTTATCTCAATTATTCCTTTTTTCATAGATATGAATTTTTCTTACCCACATTAATTACACTAATTATATCATGTTTACGGGGTATTTGTGATAACTTTTGATTAATTCTTCCATATGCAGGGAATAATACTTGCTTAAAAATTCTTCAATTTTATCTTAGCAACAACATATTCATGCACAAATTTATCAGAGCTTCTTTTCTATATAGGCCATTTTTACATAGTTTTCTATTTCCCTATTTTATATGTATATTTCAAATAGATGTCTTATGTCTCCCATCCTGAACTATAAGTTAAATAAGGTGTTCCATAGCATGCTAAGAATATATGTGACATCTCAGGTAGATGACTAAATACAAAGACATGGCAAAATCAATACACAAGTGGAGAAAACCTTAAAGTGTGGCAAAATAAAACCAGGCCACCGAGATATCCATTGACTGGACATTTGTCATACAGAAGTGCTCATTGTAAAATTCTTTTCAACATTGCATTAAATAAAATATAAAGATAAGATGTTCTAAGGAGAGATTCAGGCTGATCACAGGCACTATGGATACAGACATGACTTGGCACTAACAGAAGAAGGGAGTGAGTATTTAAAATACATCAAGTATATGCTCAAAAAATATATAAAAATCAACCAGGGCCAGGCACAGTGGCTCATGCCTATAACCCTAGCACTTTGGGAGGCCAAGGCAGGCAGACTGAGGTCAGGACTAGCCTGGCCAACATGGAGAAACTCTGTCTCTACTAAAAATACAAAATTAGCCAGGTGTGGTGGCGCATGCCTGTAATCCCAGCTACTTGGGAGGCTGAGGCAGGAGAATTGCTTGAACCCGGGAGGCAGAGGTTGCAGTGAGCTGAGATTGCACCATTGCATTCCAGCGTGGGCAACAAGAGTGAAACTCCATCTCAAAAAAATAAATAAATAAAATCAACCCAAAGTGTAGGGCTAGGAGAATATAAAAAAAGATTAAAAATTTGACATACCAAAGCACAGATAGTGTAAGAAGCTGAAACAATTTGTAAGATAGAGAGATGTTAAGAGCATTTGGAAAAACTATTTTAAAAATTAAAAACAAAAGTGAAAAGCTTGAAATTTATTTTTTGGATAAAAGTAAGACTGATCAAATTATTGCACACATGCCAATATACTGTCCTTCGTCTATGGCTCCTACTTAAGGAAATCTATGCTGATTCTGAAATAATAAAGCCAAAAAAAGCAGTTTATTTTTATACTAGTGAAGAAATGAATCAGAAAATTTCTTTAAAAAATCCCTATGCAGGCCTGGCACAGTGGCTCACGCCTATAATCCCAGCACTTTGGGAGGCCGAGGCAGGCGGATCACCTGAGTTCAGGAGTTTGAGACCAGCCTGGCCAACGTGGTGAAACCCTGTCTCTACTAAAAATACAAAAAATTTAGCCAGGCTTGGTGGCAGGTGCCTGTAATCTCAGCTACTCGGGAGGCTGAGGCAGGAGAATCGCTTGAACCCAGGAGGCGGAGGTTGCAGTGAGCCAAGATCGCATCATTGCCATCCAGCCTGGGCTACAGAGGGAGACTCTGCCTCAAAAAAAAAAAAAAAAAAAAAAAAAGCCTACGCATTAGGATTTCTGAAATACATTGTCTTAAATATTCTTCATTGTGTACTAGAATGTGCACTACATATCAAAACATATAAAACCATGATTTTTTTTAACTAAATGTGAGAATATGAAAGAGTACAGAGCACTTAAATATACAGGGAGTGACCAATAGTTTATCACATGGCATAAGTCCGGCTAGTATGCTTTAGAATAAGATCAAGTTCAGTTAAATCTCAAGATAGGAGTCCCCATATCTTCCATTGCAAAATCCTAGAATAAAGAAAAATAAACTCTTCCCTCCTAGCACTCTGAGACTAGTTTCAATTGGCTTACTGAAAAGGAAAAGTTTCTTAGAAGTGATGTTTTATTTTAAAAGTCACACAAAGTTTGCATTCTATTCTATAGATTGTGTCAATATAAAAAAGCTATGGTCCATCACTTTCAGCCTAGTTAAATAGATAATACTGAAATATGTCACAAGTTGATCTTATAATTTCAAAGATCACTTACACAGAGCTGCATACTCTTGTGGTTAAATGTACCTGCCCTGCCTTTGGTGAAGCACAGATGAAGTCAAAAGCATAGTACTTTAAACAGTGGGAGCCTGTAAGACATTATTTGGCTCTCCGTTTCCTGCAGGTGGAGCATGGCAAAATCAGAGGTGACATCAGGCTTCTCTTCCAGCATTGCTAAGAGTCAAATACTGACCTCACCAAGGTGAACCTTATTCCTGGTAGTATACTTAACACTTTCTTTTTATCCATCTCAAACCCTCTCAAGGTTTTTGTTGCTGTTGTTGTTTGTTTTCGTATTTTTTCTTTTTTTCTTACTACATGACCACTTGTCCTATTAAATATCCAGCCTTAGTAACTAAGTTGGAATATTATCCCAGATTATATTTTGGCCATATTTTTCTTCCGTAACATTTATAATAATGCTTTCTTCATATTGTAAATTGAGTAACCCTAATAAAAATTTCAGAATTTTTTTTACATCTTTCCATTTTTTTCCCATTATTACATAAGATCTTTTCTTAAAAGATGGTGTTCACACTAAAAATAGTTTTTGAGAAGAATGGGAATAACTGTCTTCTTTTGACTTCAGTGATTTTCTGCACTGTTTCTAAACTTGTCATTATTTCCACTTGAATACACATTAAGAGATTGAGATTAGAAGTGTTGGGGTGGGGACCGGGCACGGTGGCTCAGCCTGTAATCCCAGCACTTTGGGAGGCTGAGGTGGGCGGATCACGAGGTCAGGAGATCGAGACTATCCTGGCTAACAGGTGAAATCCCGTCTCTATTAAAAATACAAAAAATTAGCCGGCATGGTGGCAGGCGCCTGTAGTCCCAGCTACTCGGGAGGCTGAGGCAGGAGAATGGCGTGAACCCAGGAGGCGGAGCTTGCAGTGAGCCGAGATCAAGCCACTGCACTCCAGCCTGGGCGACAGTGGGAGACTCCACCTAAAAAAAAAAGAAGTGTGGGGGTGGGGGGGGGAACTGGATAGATAAAAATTACTCTCTTAGCATATTTATTATGCCAACAATGCAACTTAATGCATCTTTGATGATGTGCAATTAGGTATTAAAATTTCTCGTAACTAGAAATGTTCTTGGTCAGTGAGAATTACTGTAGATAATTTCAGGTAACGTGGGGATAATTTGGCTGGTTAAAAGGCCTGGGTCAATATATAAAGCACTCAATTTAGGAAAAAAAGATTGTTCTTCACATTAGTCCTCTGTTTAGCTATATTGGGAAATGCAACTTCATATAAAACATGAGGAGAAAAACAGTAATTATTTCATAATTTTAAATAAATTTCTAAAGATACAAAATGGCAACTAGAAAATAGTCCTTCAAACCATAATGTACTGATATTTTTTTCTAAAGGGTCAATTATCTTTGCACAAAGTTAAGGAGTTTTATTCGCTTTAAATTACTGGTTTAATTTAGATTTCTGATTCTTATTTTAATTAGTTGCCCTGATTTTTTTTCCTTGATTTTCTCTCTCTCACACCAGGGTTTCCATAGGGAAGTTTTTGGGTTGTTGTGGGTGAAAGGATAGCTATATTAGTACAGTTAGATAGATTTATCAGATACATGTGCCAACACTACATTACAAATTCTTATCACATTCCATGTTCTCAGTTAGTATCCTTTGGTGGTGTTTATGCTATTAGGAAAACAATAACACATTAAAATGAAAAGTACAATAAGTGATGTTAGATGTAGATGGGGGTGGATAGAGAAAAGATGGATTTGGGGTAAGTATATATAGTAGTATCATTTCAACTATAATATGCAGTTACAGTTCAATAGAAACTCAACTCACTGTCAACAGACAAGCCACAAGCAGTTCATAAAGTGACAAGAAATTGAACCAGCAATCACTACTTATCACTTTTGGATTATGGATGCATTCATTTAGGGTATTCTTTATGAAAATGCAACAACCATGGCACTAAATCTGTCTGGGGTGAGAATGAAGTTCATAGAAGACATGCACATGTAGACAGTTCTGGTAGCTCTAATAACCAGCAAAAAACATTTGCTTTGTAATTTACATGATCAAAAGTTAAAAGTATGGATATTGCCTTAAAATATTTTATGTTAATGAGTTAACACAGTCAACAAAAATGTGTATTGGATTTTTAGAAATTCAGTATTGTTTTAAAATTTTAATGGTTACTCCAATTTAGGTCAAGTATATTTAAGATGATGCAATATGAGTTTTTATCAAAATTATTAGGATAAAATATTTGGTTACATATCTCGCAGTGATACACATTTAAAAAAAAATCAAAGGACAAAAAAAACCAAAAAAACCCACCCTGATCACTGATATGCTGATACTCACTTAGCATGACGAATATCTGGCAGAGACCTCTCTAGAGCAATATTGTTGCTGACGAAAATATTAAAACCATTTTCCCTGTAAGCTGAGTCATCATGGTCCTCTTCAGTAAGGGGGTAAGGTTTCCCATGTTCACCTTTCCCTAGCAGGAGAAAACAAAATGAGATTATCATCTCTATAAAAGCCATTTTATCTTCTAGAACAGATAGGAAGACTGGAATGTGTATTATCGCCTATTGCTGTGCTCTGCAGAAGGAGCTAGTACTAAGATTTTATTATATTATTTTAATTGCCTTTAAGTAAATGAAATATACTCAATATAAAAAGCAAACCACACAGAAGTAGAAAGTGTAATCTCACATTGCAGAGAGAACCACTGCCAAGATTTTTAGTGTACGTTTATTAATACTTGTATGCAGATTTTAATACACACACTGATTTGTAACTTGATTTTTCCAGAATAATTGTATACTTTTTATTTACTTCCAATAGTTGATGTTATTTGATTGTATTCCAATTTACACCATTCCACTGAAAATATACTATTATTTCTAATTTTTCCATTACAATGAACATCTTTGCTTTTCACAGTTATGCATTTTTGAAGGGGAAGCATAAATCCCCAGAAATGGAATTACTGAGATATCTTTAAAGTACATATAACAGTTTTGACACATCCTGAGACACACTGTAAATTTTCAGCTTCATCAGTAAAATATATATTCCTCATATTTTAATTTGACATTTCTTGATTACTATGAATTAATAATTTCTTATATCTTTATCATTTGTATTTCCTTCATTGTGAAATGATTGTTCAAGCATTTTTAAAAACAGTTTTTGTTTTTTACATACTATATTTATTATATTTTTGTTAATTACATATGTTGCAAATATTTTATTTTATTAAATCAGATTAATTTTTCCATCCAGATGATTTTACTTTTTTCTTTTATAATTTCTCGTTTTATATTTTATATATTTACAAAGAAGGCCTTCCCTAGTCTAGTATCACTTTTAGTATCTATTTAAAAACTCAGAGTTTTACTACCATTCTGTTTTTATTTTATCTATCAAAATTTTTGAAACATCTGGAATATGTTTTGGTGTGAGAAGTGCGATAAATATAATTTTTATTTTTTTCAAAGCAAATGTTCAGGCAGTTATAGAAATACTATTTATTGAGGCTGGTCATAGTGGCTCAGGTCTATAATCCCAGCACTTTGGGAGGTCAAGGCAGGCTGATCACCTGAGGCCAGGAGTTTGAGACCAGCCTGGCCAACCTGGCGAAATGCCGTCTCTACTAAAAATACAAAAATTAGGCAGGCGTGGTGGCACACACCTGCAATCTCAGCTACTGGGGAGGCTGAGGAATGAAAATCGCTTGAACCCAGAAGGCAGAGGTTGCAATAAGCCAAGATTGGGCCACTGCATTCCAGCATGGGTGACAGAACAAGACCCTGTCATATTAAAAAAAAAAAAAATTATCGAGTAATTTGCTTTTTTCTTCCCTGCTTTAAAATGCTATGTACAAAATTTTGTACACTTGCTCATGCATATTTAAACATTATCATGGCATTCACTGCTATGCCAATGCTTGCATTGGAAACATCATTAGTAACCCCTTTTAATATATGCAAAGCCATTTCTTACTGTATTCTTTTTCCAACTGATAACATGTTTATTTTTCTGTATGAACGGTTTAATAAACTGGCCTTTCTGGATTTTGTTTTTTAGATTACATTAGATTTTCAGGTTCATCCTTATATAATTGATATTTTTATATATATCAGCTATTTTTCAAGTGTTCTGCTTTTGGACCTCAGTGGCGTTTTATACAATTTTCATTCTTTTAGTCCTATGCAATTTTTGGTAAATTTTTGTAGATGTGTTTTACCTTCATTGTATTGTTTGTAGTATCCTTTCCTTCATTACATTTTTCTAAATAGCACACACTAAAGTTATTTATTTTTATACTTCTTATTCAGCTACCAAACTGAACTATTTTTAAATAATTTTTAAAAACTAGTGTTTTACAGATACACAATGTTTACTTCAAATAATAATATTTTTGCCTCCTCTTTCTTCATAACTCATGATTTCTTATCTAATTATATAGTTAACAATAAATAATTATTAACAGGCATTTACTCTGGTATTGACTTTAATACAATTGCTGTTAAGTATTACAGAATTAAGCTGAGTAATTAATATGTATTTGTGTGTGTATGTGCTTGAGTGTCTAATAATATGCATCTATAACTCATCATTTAAGAAATAATATTTCTAGTACCCTTTAAAACAAGGTCTTTATTCATTAATATGATTTTAAAAACACTTTTTAAAAATCTTTAGAGATTTTTATATTTTTCACTTTAGTAACCTTGATTTACAAACATGTTATTCATTTTGTATTACTAGAATTCAAGATTTTGTTAGAAAATTTGGTTTCCATATCAGTGATTCCTCAAAAAAAAAGTATCTTTCTTTTCTTAGTTTCTTACTACTACTGCCCTTAAATTCAATAGCCCTGACAGCCAAGATCATACGGCTGGGGATTGATAAGAAATTATATTCTCAAAAAGCAGACTGGAAACCTCTCCAATCAAAGGAAAAGAAACAAAAATCTTTAAATGACATTTGGCCCCAAAAAACCAAAAATAAAAACAAAAAAAAACAAATTTCATCTTCTTTGCTTCCCTGTTTGATTTCTTAGGAGAAAATGTCATTTATTACTTTTCAACGTAAATGGAAAACAAATCAGTGAGAAATTTCATGTATATAACAGCTAGTTATTGAGCATCCATGATATACAAAGTATTGTGTTAAATTACTTCATATAAATTTTTAACCCAACACAGTTACGCCTTGAAATAAACATTCTGCTACCTAAGTTACATGTAAGTAAATAAAAGAGAGACTAATGTTCACTAGCACTTCCATAGTTAGAAATTAGCCATATAACGTGCGGAAATGTTTAAACGACATAAATCTTTCTTCCATTAATGACAAAATTTGCTGTAAGGTCTCTTGGACTTATATAGTCTCTGGTTTTAACTAGATCTATGTCATTCCATACATCCTATTTAAAAAGAAAATTTTATGCCAGGTGCAAGTCAATAAATGTGATACACCACATACACAGAACTAAAAACAAAAATCATATGATTATCTCAATAGATGCAGAAAAAGCATCTGACAAAATCCAGCATCCCTTTATGATGAAAACCCTCAGTAAAATTGGCATAGAAGGGACATACCTCAAGGTAATAAAAGCCATTTATGACAAACCCACAAGCAACATTATATTGAATGGGACAGGAGGGAGTTCACAGCATTTGCCTGAGAACTGGAAAAAAACAAGGATGCCCACTTTCACCACTTCTTTTCAACATAGTCCTGGAAGTCCTAGCCAGGACAATCAGACAACAGAAAGAAATAAGGGGCATCCAAGTTGGTAAAAAGGAAGTGAAACTGTCATGGTTCACCAATGATATAATCATGTACCATGAAAACCCTAAAGACTCATCCAAAAAACTCTTAGTTTACTACTTTACTGAATTCATTTACCAGTAAACAGTAAAAATTCATTTACTGGTAAATGAATTCAGTAAAGTTTCGGTATACAAAATCGATGAATACAAATCAGTAACACTGCTATGTACCAATGGTGACTAAGCTGAGAATCAAATCAACAACTTAACCACTGTTACAAGAGCCGTAAAAAAAAAAAAAAAAAAAAAAAAAAAAAAGTTAAAACACATCCCATGCTCATGGATGGGTAGAATCAATATTGTGAAAATGACCATACTACCAAAAGCAATCTATACATTTAATGCAATTCCAATCAAAATACTATAATTCTTCACAGAACTAGAAAAAGCAATCCTAAAATTCATATGGAACTAAAAAAGATCCCACATAACCAAAGCAAGACAAAGAAAAAGGAACAAATCTGGAGGCATCACATTACCTGACTTCAAATTATACTACAAGGCTATAGTTATCAAAACAGCATGGTACTGGTATAAAAACAGGCATGTACACCACTGGAACAGAATTGAGAGCCCAGAAATAAAGGCAAATACTTACAGCCAACTGATTTTTGACAAAGCGAACAAAAACACAAAGTGGAGAAAGGACATCCTATTCAACAAATCTTGCTGGAATAATTGGCAAGCCACATATAGAAGAACAAAACTGGATCCTCATCTCTCAATTTATACAAAAATCAACTCAAGATGGATCAAAAACTTAAATCTTAGACCTAAAATCATAAAAATTCTAGAAGATAAAATCAGAAAACCCCTTCTAGACATTGGCTTAGGCAAAGACTTCATGACCAAGAACCCCAAAGCAAATGCAAGAAAAACAAAGATAAATAGATGGGACTTAATTAAACTCAAAAGTTTCTGTGCAGTGAAAGATATAATCAGCAGAGTAAACAGAAAACCAACAGAGTGGGAAAACATCTTCACAAACTATGTGTCTGACAAAGGACTAACATACAGAATCAAACATATGAAAAAGTGCTCAACATCACTAATTATGAAGGAAATCCAAATTAAAACCATAATATGATACCATCTTACTCCTGTGAGAATGGCCACAATTTAAAAATCAAAAAATAGTGGATGTTGGTGTGCATGTGATTAAAGAGGAACACTTTTACACTGCTGGTGGGAATGTAAACTAGTACAACCACTATGGAAAACAGTATGGAAATTTTTTAAAGAACTAAAAGTAGAACTACCATTTGATTCACAAGCCCTCTACTGGGTATCCACTCAGAAGGAAAGAAGTCATCATAAGAAAAAGACACTTACATATGCATGTTTATAACAGCACAATTCGCAATTGCAAAAATATGGAACCAGCCTAAATGCTCATTAACCAATGAGTGTGTAAAGAAAATGTAGCATATACATACCATGGAATACTACTCAGCCAAAAAAAGGAATGAAATAATGGCATTTGTAGCAACCTGTATGGAGCTGTAGACCATCATTTTAAGTGAAATAACTCAGGAATGGAAAATCAAACATCGTATGTTCTCACTTGTAAGTGGGAGCTATGATATGAGGACACAAAGGCATAATAATAATATTATGGACTCTGGGCACTCAGGGGTAAAGCTACCAGGGTAAAGGGTGAAAGACTACACATTGGGTTCAGTGTGCACTGCTTAGGTGATGGGTACACCCAAATCTCAGAAGTCACCACTAAAAAATTTATCCATGTAAACAAACACCACCTGTTTTCCCAAACAATGGAAATAATTAAAAAAGAAAATTGTACTGTAAAGTAGCCTTTCCTTTCTTCAACATATTTTTGTTTTCATTTATTTATTTATTTATTCATTTATTGGAGATGGAATCTTGCTCTGTCACCCAGACTGGAGTGCAGTGGCGCGATCTCGGCTCACTGCAAGCTGCACCTCCCAAGTTCAAGCAATTCTCCTGCCTCAGCCTCCCGAGTAGCTGGGATTACAGGCACCTGCCACCATGCCCAGCTAATTTTTGTATTTTTAGTAGAGACAGGGTTTCACCATGTTAGCCAGGTTGGTCTCGAACTTCTGGCCTCAGGTTACTTTCCCAGCTTGGCCTCTCAAAGTGCTGAGATTACAGGCATGAGCCACCACGCCCGGCCAACATATTTTTATTTTCAAATTCATATGCCCTAAGTAAAATGTATACATCCACCCAAAGCTTCTTTTAAAAAATGTTTGTACGCATATTTTTAGTGCTGAGCCTTTAGATTCTGTCACTTCTAAGACTACAAAATAAAAATTTGAAGCTACACATTCATTAGACCATCTGTCAATTAAAGGGAAATTTATTTTATTTGTACATCAATTTGGTGTTCAGAGTGATGAATCTCATGAGATAAAGCTTTTTAAATGAATGAATGATTCTCTAAAGGTATAAAACAAAACTGGTGAGTCACCAATTATGGCATACTAGACATTCCTTCTTTGCAGTTGTGAGAATAGGATTTAAAATGGTATGTTTTTATACACAAAGCCAGCAGTTTTTACTGCAAATTCTATCAACTCATCTTAAGTTCTAATAGGTAGAGCCTCAAGGTTTATATTGTCTCATACAGTCTTACATTGCTTTTGCAAACAACAAAACAAAATAAAGCAGAAGACTCTAAACAAAAAAAAAATTGTATGTTTGAATATTTATGATAATACTCAGAGGATTTAACAGTGATTATTTCTCTATTGCTACATCTATTTCAACACTAAAATTTATAATATAATTTACTATTATCAAATGTAAAATCAATACAGCATCTTTCTTTAAATATGAGAATTAGTGTACCATCTGCTATGTTCAAATTAGTATGAAAGGTATGTGAGATGTTTTAAATAATCAAAATATACAAATTAAATATTATATTTAAATATATAAGTATTAAGCAGAAAAATTGCTGTCTTACAAATATGTCTTTGATACTATGTATACTTAAGGCAGATAGTAGATACTTAACATGTAATTTATGTTAATTTTCTCATTGTCTACCTGGCATTTTTCCCCCTGGCTAAATGACATTTTATTTAGTATGGCAGTCTTGTACATTGGCACACCTACCAATTTTTGATATGTTTATTGATTGTCTACTATATGCACCACTGGGTAGGGAAACTGAAAATATGGATAGTATAACCCCTATCCAAACAGCTAGAAATATTCTATAATTGAAAAGATATAGGGAAAACTTATAAACCAGCAATTGTGATATGGTAACATATTTGTGGAATTGAATGAACTAAACAATAAGACCTAGAAGAGTTTCAAAATTGTGGAAAACTAATGAACTTTGTATAACCTGGAAACTGCAACTAGAAAAAGTGAGATTTCAGCTCACATTGGAAGAAGAGTAGAGAATTAAAATAGTTTTTGTGTTAAGTACGGGGCTAGGGAGACTTTACATAAGAAGAAATGGGGGTGAATGAATTTGTACAGACAAGACTTTTGAAAATCCTGTTTGGAACATAATAAGTCTATCTAAATAGAGATCTCTTAAGATGGAATACTGAGAGATAAAGTAGGTTTATGTCCGGGGGAAAAAAAACCCTGCTAGTGACACTTTAAAGTATTTTAAGTATTTCTTACAAGTAACTAGAATACAAGAGAAACATAAATCAGTGTTTTTACACTTCTTCTGAGGAATTTTGAGCAATAAGCAGCTGAAACACTCAAGAATTTTTATAGCCAGACCTCTGCTCAAATATGATTTTTTGGAGAGAGTTTTCATAATTAACACAATTAAACCAGCATACCCAGGACATCAGGACCTATTTCCCAAATTTGCTTTTTTTTTTCCCATATACTACTTACTATTCTACACTTATGTTTTCACCTATTAACCGACTAATGTTCCCATTGGGATGTATGCTCCGCAGAAGCAGGAACTTTTTGATCTTCATCGTAATGTCTCCAGCAGCAACAAGAGTGACTGCCACATAACAGGTACGCCACACATATTTTATGAGTGCCATATGAAAATGAGGTGCTAAGAATTTGGGCTTATTACTCAGGGGAAATGAAGAAAGTTATTCATGTACTTATTCAAAAGCACATATTAAGCACCTACTCTGTGACAAGGTCTGGGGATGAAATATGAACACCACAGTTATTAACTCTGATATCAAGTTTGAGAGAAAAAAAACCCAGAATATTGTGATTTAAAACATATTTTAATAATCTAGGAGCATTGAGAGCTGGGAATGTGTCTTTATGTCTTTGGGTGAGAAATCATTAGCAAAGTGATTTGTTCCCCTCTGAAATGAATGGAGAAATGAATTAATGCACTTTGTATTATGAGGCAGACAAAGGATTTATCACAATGAGATGGGACACATAAACAGACAGTAACTACTGTTTCATTCTTGGGCAGGGGCAGGGGAGTGAGGGCAGTTTGGAAATGGGGAGATGTAAGTCAAAAGATATAAAACAGCATATATGTAAGATAAACAAGCTTAGAGCTCTAATGTACATAAGGATTAAGGTAATAAAATGGTATTGTATTAGGGAGTTTTGTTAAATAAGTAGATTTTATCTGCTGTTGTCACACAAACAAAAGTAACTGAGATAATACATATGTTAATCTGCTTCACTATAGTAATAATTTTACAATCTATGTGTATCCCATAACATTATATTGTGAGCCTTAAATATACACAATACAATTTATTTTTTTAAAGGCAACAGGTAGGCAGGCAGAAAACAAGTGTCACAGACATGATACTGAGAGATGAGTGCATACAGGGAGATTAGGAATCGCAACTAAGGTTTGGTATGGCAAGAGTGTGGTTTTCATAAGGTGGAGTAGTAACAGACATAACCAGAAAGGTAGTAAATTGTTGGGGATGCCTTATTCTGGAAGTAGTACATCTTAATCAGAGTGAAGTGTAGTAAGTTAATAATCCATACTGACATCTCTAGGGTAATGCCAGGCGCTGTGGCTCACGTCTGTAATCCCAGCACTTTGGGAGGCTGAGACAGGTGGATCACAAGGTCAGGAGTTCAAGACCAGCCTGGCCAAGATGGTGAAACCCCATCTCTACTAAAACTACAAAAATTAGCTGGGCACAGTGGCAGATGCCTGTAATTCCAGTTACTCGGGAGGCTGAGGCAGGAGAATCGCTTGAACCTGGGCGGCAGAGGTTGTAGTGAGCCAAAATCGCACCACTGCACTCCAGCCTGGGTGACAGAGTGAGACTCCATTTCAAAAAAATAAAAATAAATAAATAAAAATTTAAATGTAGCACAAGAATGTCTAATATAAAACCTAACAATAAAGAGAAATGAAGTAATAAAAATCCTGTCTGTGTAACAACAAAGCAGAAAAAGGATGAATCAAGGATTATATAACAAATGAGACATATAGAAAACAAACAGCCAAACTTAAATGAATAGATTCCTTCTTAAAAAAAAAAGTTACCAAGATTAACAAGAAGAAATTCAATATCAAAATAGTCCTATATCTATTTTTAAAAGTTGAAAACTCCAGGCACAGGTGAACACTCTGGTGAATTTTTCTGACAATAAAGTAAGAAATAGTAATATTCTTATACAAATTTTTTAGAAAACAGAGGAACTTATTTTTATTTTCTTGCCAGCATGGATCTGATATCAAAGCCAGGTAAGAGCATTGTGAGAAAGGAATGCCACAGATTTATGCCTCTCATGAGGATAGGTGGAGAAATCCTTAAAAAATATTAGCAAGGACAGGTGGAGCCAAGATGGCCTAATAGGAACAGCTCCAGTCTACAGCTCCCAGCATGAGCGAAGCAGAAGACGAATGATTTCTGCATTTCCAACTGAGGTACTGGGTGCATCTCACTGGGGATTGTCGGACAGTGGGGGAAGAACAGTGGGTGCAGTGCACTGGGCCTAAGCCAAAGCAGGGTGAGGCATTGCCTCACCCAGGAAATTCAAGGGGTCAGGGAATTCCCTTTCCTAGCCAAGGAAAGGGGTGACAGACAGCACCTGGAAAATTGGGTCACTCCCACCCTAATACTGCACTTTTCCGACAGTCTTAGCAAACAGCACACCAGGAGATTACATCCCATGCCTGGCTCGGAGGGTCCTACGCCCACAGAGCCTCACTCATTGCTAGCACAGCAGTCTGAGATCAAACTGCAAGGCAGCAGCGAGGCTGGGGAAGGGGTGCCCGCCATTGCTGAGCCTTGAGTAGGTAAACAAAGCGGCTGGGAATCTTGAACTGGGTGGAGCCCACCGCAGCTCAAGGAGGCCTGCCTGCCTCAGTAGACTCCACCTCTGGGAGCAGGGCATAGCCAAACAAAAGGCAGCACAAACCTCTGCAGACTTAAATGTCCCTGTCTGACAGCTTTGAAGAGAGTAGTGGTTCTCCCAGCAACGCAGCTGGAGATCTGAGAACGGACAGACTGCCTCCTCAAGTGGGTCCCTGAACCCTGAATAGCCTAACTGGGAGGCACCCCCCAGTAGGGGCAGACTGACACCTCACATGGCCGGATACTCCTCTGAGACAAAACTTCAAGAGGCACAATCAGGCAGCAACATTTGCTGTTCACCAATATCTGCTGTTCTGCAGCCTCCGCAGCTGATACCCAGGAAAACAGGGTCTGGAGTGGACCTCCAGCAAACTCCAACAGACCTGCAGCTGAGGGTCCTGACTGTTAGAAGGAAAACTAACAAACAGAAAGGACATCCACACCAAAACCCCATCTGTACGTCACCATCATCAAAGACCAAAGGTAGATAAAACCACAAAGATGGGGAAAAAACAGAGCAGAAAAACTGAAAATTCTAAAAATCAGAGTGCCTCTCCTCCTCCAAAGGAACATAGCTCCTCACGAGCAATGGAACAAAGCTGGACGGCAAATGACTTTGACGAGTTGAGAGAAGAAGGCTTCAGACGATCAAACTACTCCAAGCTAAAGGTGGAAGTTCGAACCCATGGCAAAGAAGTTTAAAAGCCTTGAAAAAAGATTAGACAAATAGCTAACTAGAATAACCAATGCAGAGAAGTCCTTAAAGGACCTGATGGAGCTGAAAACCATGCCACAAGAACTACGTGACGAATGCACAAGCCTCAGTAGCCAATTCGATCAACTGGAAGAAAGGGTATCAGTGATGGAAGATCAAATGAATGAAATGAAGAGAGAAGAGAAGTTTAGAGAAAAAAGAATAAAAAGAAACGAACAAAGCCTCCAAGAAATATGGGACTATGTGAAAAGACCAAATCTACGTCTGATTGGTGAACCTGAAAATGACGGGGAGAATGGAACCAAGTGGAAAACACTCTGCAGGAAATTATCCAGGAGAACTTCCCCAATCTAGCAAGGCAGGCCAACATTCAAATTCAGGAAATACAGAGAATGCCACAAAGATACTCCTCGAGAAGAGCAACTCCAAGACACATAATTGTCAGATTCACCAAAGTTGAAATGAAGGAAAAAATGTTAAGGGCAGCCACAGAGAAAGGTCGGGTTACCACAAGGGAAGCCCATCAGACTAACAGCTGATATCTCGGCAGAAACTCTACAAGCCAGAAGAGAGTGGGGGCCAATATTCAACATTCTTAAAGAAAGAATTTTCAACCCAGAATTTCAAATCCTGCCAAACTAAGCTTCATAAGTGAAGGAGAAATAAAATCCTTTATAGACAAGCAAATGCTGACAGATTTTGACACCACCAGGCCTGCCCGAAAAGAGCTCCTGAAGGAAGCACTAAACATGGAAAGGAACAACCGGTACCAGCCACTGCAAAAACATGCCAAATTGTAAAGACCATCAATGGTAGGAAGAAACTGCATCAACTAACGAGCAAAATAACCAGCTAACATCATAATGACAGGATCAAATTCACACATAACAATATTAACCTTAAATGTAAATGGGCTAAATCCTCCAATTAAAAGACACAGACTGGTAAATTTGATAAAGAGTCAAGACTCATCAGTGTGCTGTATTCAGGAAACCCATCTCACATGCAGAGACACACATGGGCTCAAAATAAAGGGATGAAGGAAGATCTACCAAGCAAATGGAAAACAAAAAAAGGCAGGGTTTGCAATCCTAGTCTCTGATAAAAAAGACTTTAAACCAACAAAGATCAAAAGAGACAAAGAAGGCCATTACATAATGGTAAACGGATCAATTCAACAAGAAGAGCTAACTATCCTAAATATATATATGCACCCAATACAGGAGCACCCAGATTCATAAAGCAAGTCCTTAGAGACCTACAAAGAGACTTAGACTCCCACACAATAATAATGGGAGACTTTAACACCCCACTGTCAACATTAGACAGATCAACAAGACAGAAAGTTCACAAGGATATCCAGGAATTCAATTCAGCTCTGCACCAAGCGGACCTAATAGACATCTACAGAACTCTCCACCCCAAATCAACAGAATATACATTCTTCTCAGCACCACACCATACCTATTCCAAAATTGACCACATAGTTGGAAGTAAAGCACTCCTCAGCAAACGTAAAAGAACAGAAATTATAACAAACTGTCTGTCAGACCACAGTGCAATCAAACTAGAACTCAGGATTAAGAAACGCACTCAAAACTGCTCAACTACATGGAAACTGAACCACCTGCTCCTGAATGACCACTGGGTACATAACGAAATGAAGGCAGAAATAAAGATGTTCTTTGAAACCAATGAGAATAAAGACAAAACATACCAGAATCTCTGGGACACATTCAAAGCAGTGTGTAGAGGGAAATTTATAGCACTAAATGCCCACAAGAGAAAGCAGGAAAGATCCAAAATTGACACCCTAACATCACAATTAAAAGAACTAGAGAAGCAAGAGCAAACACATTCAAAAGCTAGTAGAAGGCAAGAAATAACTAAGATCAGAGCAGAACTGAAGGAAATAGAGACACAAAAAACCCTTCAAAAAGTCAATGAATCCAGGAGCTGGTTTTTTGAAAAGATCAACAACATTGATAGACCACTAGCAAGACTAATAAAGAAGAAAAGAGAGAAGAATCAAATAGATGCAATAAAAAATGATAAAGGGGATATCACCACCAATTCCACAGAAATACAAACTACCATCAGAGAATACTATAAACACCTCTACACAAATAAACTAGAAAGTCTAGAAGAAATGGATAAATTCCTCGACACATACACTCTCCCAAGACTAAACCAGGAAGAAGTTGAATCTCTGAATAGACCAATAACAGGCTTTGAAATTGAGGCAATAATTAATAGCTTACCAACCAAAAAAAGTCCAGGACCAGATGGATTCACAGCCAAATTCTACCAGAGATACAAGGAGGAGCTGGTACCATTCCTTCTGAAACTATTTCAATCAATAGAAAAAGAGGGAATCCTCCCTAACTCATTTCATGAGGCCAGCATCATCCTGATACCAAAGCCTGGCAGAGACACAACAAAAAAAGAGAATTTTAGACCAATATCCCTCATGAACATCGATGCAAAAATCCTCAATAAAATAGTGGCAAACCGAATTCAGCAGCACATCAAAAAGCTTATCCACCATGATCAAGTGGGCTTCATCCCTGGGATGCAAGCCTGGTTCAACATATGCAAATCAATAAATGCAATCCAGCATATAAACAGAACCAATGACAAAAACCATATGATTATCTCAATAGATGCAGAAAAGGTCTTTGACAAAATTCAACAGCCCTTCATGCTAAAAACTCTCAATAAATTAGGTATTGAAATTAGGTATTGATGGTACGTATCTCAAAATAATAAGAGCTATTTGTGACAAACCCAGAGCCAATATCATACTGAATGGGCAAAAACTGGAAGCATTCCTTTTGAATACCGGCACAAGACAGGGATGCCCTCTCTCACCACTCCTATTCACCATAGTGTTGGAAGTTCTGGCCAGGGCAATCAGGCAGGAGAAGGAAATGAAGGGTATTCAATTAGGAAAAGAGGAAGTCGAATTGTCCCTGTTTGTAGATGACATGATTGTATATCTAGAAAACCCCATCATCTCAGCCCAAAAGCTCCTTAAGCTGATGAGCAACATCAGCAAAGTCTCAGGATACAAAATCAATGTGCAAAAATCACAAGCATTCTTATACACCAATAACAGACAAACAGAGAGCCAAATCATGAGTGAACTCCCATTCACAATTGCTTCAAAGGGAATAAAATACCTAGGAATCCAACTTACAAGGGATGTGAAGGACCTCTTCAAGGAGAACTACAAACCCACTGCTCAATGAAATAAAAGAGGATATAAACAAATGGAAGAACATTCCATGCTCATGGGTAGGAAGAACCAATATCATAAAAATGGCCATACTGCCCAAGGTAATTTACAGATTCAATGTCATCCCCATCAAGCTACCAATGACTTTCTTCACAGAATTGGAAAAAACTACTTTAAAATTCATATGGAACCAAAAAAGAGCCCACATTGCCAAGTCAATCCTAAGCCAAAAGAACAAAGCTGGAGGCATCATGCCACCTGACTTCAAACTATACTACAAGGCAACAGTAACCAAAACATCATGGTACTGGTACCAAAACAGAGATATAGATCAATGGAACAGAACAGAGCCCTCAGAAATAATGCCACATATCTACAATTATCTGATTTTTGACAAACCTGATAAAAACAAGAAATGGGGAAAGGATTCCCTATTTAATGGTGCTGGGAAAACTGGTTAGCCATAGGTAGAAAGCTGAAACTGGATCCCTTCCTTACACCTTATATAAAAATTAATTCAAGATGGATTAAAGACTTATATGTTAGACCTAAAACCATAAAAACCCTAGAAGAAAACCTAGGCAATACCATTCAGGACATAGGCATGGGCAAGGACTTCATGTCTAAAACACCAAAAGCAATGGCAACAAAAGCCAGAAATGACAAATGGGATCTAATTAAACTAAAGAGCTTCTGCACAGCAAAAGAATCTACCATCAGAGTGAACAGGCAACCTACAGAATGGGAGAAAATTTTTGCAATCTACTCATCTGACAAACGGCTAATATCCAGAATCTACAAAGAACTCAAACAAATTTACAAGAAAAAAACAACCCCATCAACAATGGGTGAAGGATATGAACAGACTCTTCTCAAAAGAAGACATTTATGCAGCCAACAGAGACATGAAAAAATGCTCATCATCACTGGCCATCAGAGAAATGCAAATCAAAACCACGAGATACCATCTCACACCAGTCAGAATGGCGATCATTAAAAAGTCAGGAAACAACAGGTGCTGGAGAGGATGTGGAGAAACAGGAACACTTTTACGCTGTTGGTGGGACTGTAAACTAGATCAACCACTGTGGAAGTCAGTGTGGTGATTCCTCAGGGATCTAGAACTAGAAATACCATTTGACCCAGCAATCCCATTACTGGGTATATACCCAAAGGATTATAAATCATGCTGCTGTAAAGACACATGCACTCGTTTGTTTATTGCGGCACTATTCACAATAGCAAAGACTTGGAACCAAGACAAATGTCCAACAATGATAGACTGGATTAAGAAAATGTGGCACATATACACCATGGAATACTATGCAGCCATAAAAAATGATGAGTTCATGTCCTTTGTAGGGACATGGATGAAGCTGGAAGCCATCATTCTCAGCAAACTATCGCAAGGACAAAAAACCAAACACCACATGTTCTCACTCATAGGTGGGAACTGAACAATGAGAACACATGGACACAGGAAGGGGAACATCACACACTGGGGCCTGTTGTGGGGTGGGGGAAGTGGGGAGGGATATCATTAGGAGATATACCTAATGTTAAATGATGAGTTAACGGGTGCAGCACACCAACTCCCACATGTATATATATGTAACTGACCTGCACGTTGTGCACATGTACCCTAAAACTTAAAGTATAATAAAAAAATCAGCAAATTGAATCTACCAATATTTTAAAATATAATATATCATGACCAATAGAGATTTATTCCAAAAATACAATGTTGGCTTAACATTCAATATAATAAATACATAGTTCACCACAGTAACAGAATAGGTCTTAATGTTATCTCAATATAGGCAAAATATTCATTGGAGTAAAAGCCGATACACATTCTTAATGAAAATTTTCAGAAAGCTAGGAATAGAAGGGAATTTTCATGAATCTGACAAAGGGTATCCACAATGAAAATACAGCAAATGTCATATATCATTGATGAGTTAGTGAACACTTTCCCCCTGAGGTTAGAAACATAATAATGTCAAGCATCAATACTTCTATTCAACTGGACCCTATCGATACTATCTATTGATACTATCAAGTGATATAAGGCAAGAAAAAATAAAAGCTATATATATGTATATAGTAAAGAAAAAATAAAACTTTATTTTTGATAACGAGTGTATACAAAACTTCCTACAAAATTTTAAAGTATAAAAATTAACTTACTAGTTAATTTGGCAAGGTTGTTACTAATGATGATCTATATATTTCTGTTTATTTTTGTTATTGTTGCCGTTAGTGGTAGTGTTAATGGTGGTGGGTAGACCTGTGTGTGTGTGGGAGGGGTAGAGGGGGAGTGTTGTATATAGTGAGATTGAGGATCTGAATTAAAAATGTATTTGAAAAATGCACAGTACCTACAAATCCAAGGCAGTATTAATGAATAAGAACATAGCTGAAGAAAATTAAAACTACACATATTTGGTTATAGAGTAAACCAGAACTAGCTAGTTACCAAAAAAAAAAAAAAAAAAAAAAAAACCTAAAAAAAGAAAAGAAGAAAAAACAGTGCAACCATGCGGGGATAATAACTAGTCATTGTTAATAATACTCAGTCTCAATTTTCTGATTGTGGCACTTTTTTTTTTTCTTAAATGGAGTCTCACTCTGTTGCCCAGGCTCGAGTGCAGTGGTGCGATCTTGGCTCACTGCAACCTCCACCTCCTGGGTTCAAGTGATTCTCCTGCCTCAGCCTCCCCAGTAGCTGTGATTACAGGCATCAGCTACCATGCCTGGCTAATTTTTTTGTATTTTTAGTAGAAAGAGTTTTGCCATATTGGCCAGGCTGGTCTTGAACTCCTGACCTCAGGTGATCCACCCACCTCGGCCTCCCAAAGTGCTGGCATTACAGACGTGAGCCACCACGCCCAGCTCTTCATTTTTAGATATAGTTTGCTAATATGCCTAGTACCTGGAGATAGCTCACATTTTTACATTAAACGAAAGCACTATGTAATATTTATTTAGAATAAGAGTTAAAATTTTTATATTCATGCTGAATCTATATATTTTAAAAAGATAACATAAATCTATATGTACACATGGATGTTAAGAATTTGCTATGAATGAAATCAATAATTAGCTGTGTTTAAAATATACATGTTGTATAGAAATTTTAGTATTCTATCTTTTTTCAGCTTTCTATGTGGGCTTCTGAAAAGCTTTTATTTCCTAATTTTGTAGTTACCAAATTATCATGAAAAATATTTCTTGTCTGAGACAATGCAGGAGAAATCCTGTTAAATATTACACGTTAACATTTTAATCATGTTGAATCTTATTTAGTTTCATTCACCATTAGCAAATATGGGTTCTGCTTACACAGATAAAATTACAAAGTTTTTACAGTCACTAAGGACTAATGATAAAGTGTTTTTTTTTTGTCTGTTAAAATATCTGTAATTTATGTACTACAGAATTTCTGTTTTCTCTCTCCCCCTCCTATCCTCATTTATTCCCAAGAAGTGCTTGATTTAGTTCCCATGCATTGCATTCCTCACAAAGTGATACCCCTGCCCCCACCCTTGTTTTATTAACTCAAACTAAATGGAACACAACTGCCAAATGTGTCTCACTTGGTCTGCTAGCATCTTCCTTTGAGTAAAAATCGCAAACTGTCAGAATGTCATGGACTGAACATTTTTAACTACATCTAAGAAAATGGGCAATACAATAATGAGTGAAGTATTTTAAATGTCATTTGAAGCATGAGAAGTTGATGCTAAAAACTATCAAAGAAAGTAAGAAAAACTATAAAGAAAATAAAGAAGCCATTGGTAAAGGGGCAAAATAGATTAAATGCATCAAAATAAAAAAGATTAGAAAACTACAAGAGAGAAGACAAAATTTGGAGATATACGCCTTTTGATTGATTTCTTTCAATAAAGAAGTAAAAGACTAATAAAATAAATAATTTTATAATCTCTTATTTGTAGCATTGTAAGAAGACGAATGAAATTGCATTTTACTATATAATAAGGAAAATATAGAGGCTGTGATCCTAAATGAGTTCAAGAAAAAAAAATGACCGTAGGTAAGTATTAACAGAGACCCTGAAATGGTCATGGCTTTTAGATATCACAAATGTTGAAGGTAAGTTTGCACATGCACCCTAAAACTTAAAGTATAATAAAAACAAATAAATAAATAAATAAAAAATATTTTCAATTTAAAAAAAAAGTTTAAGGAAATGTATTATGCTGTGATTACTATGTGCATTCTTGTGTTTAATCTATTTCAGTTTAATTTATGCAAAATGTTTTGTATAGTAATATATTTATAATATATTTTTAATTTATACAGATGTATTGCTAATATTTTATATCCTGTGCAAGTGAGAATGAGAATAAGTAGCCATCTGGACCTCTTCCCCACATAGGCAATATGACCAGCTCAGCCACAGTGACTACGCAGAACAGAGGTCAGTGCTGGTGTTTCCTGTGATTTAACTAGCTCATTCTCATTAGTTCTAGTTAGATCTTTAATGACATAATTATTGGTGTTTGCTTGAAAAGAAATATACATAAACTTAATAATAATAATATCCTTCTCTCAAACTTGAGGTTTTTCATTGTATTGAGTCATTAATGCATATATAATCATATTTAAAAGTTTCTATAACAATTGCCATCTTAATTTCATCATGAGTGACCACAAATGCCTTATAAGAACATATGCCATTTATTATGTAATTGCACATGATGCTAAAAGAAAGGTGAATTCTTATTCACTAAGTACCACAAAAAAAGGGTGGGGGCATGAGGAAAAATGAGAGGATAGAAAATAAGTCACTTGCTATTGTCATCCAAGGATAAAAACATAAACATATTCTTCATCAAGGCCAATGTGGTTGGAGATGGGGTGGAGTGAAGAGTAGGATGACTTAGAATATCAAATAAATAAAAGAAGACAACTCATGAAAGTTTTATAATAAGAAGTATAAGTGATATGTAATTTTCCTTTTAAATATAATTGGATTTACATTTCTATGGAACCAGAAAAGACTTTCAACCTGCCCACTGAAGTATAAACATTCTTTCTCCCTCATTTCGATAGAAATGGAATGAAAAATTACTAGTGATCTATGTCTCACAAACTTTCAATTGTTCCAACAAATGTGGCATACAGAGAGTACAGACAACTGAAATATGCAAACTATTATTCTGGTAAAATTTTTGAATGAAGAGATCCTCCTGGGATGTAGAAAGGCCTTCAATTAGAGTAATTTCTTAAAGGATAACTATTAATAAATCCAAATTCACCAGTATTAGAAATATCTATATTTTACATTAATCAAATAGCTTTTCTGTCTTTATACCAACATTTTCTACTTTCAGCTATGTTTTATAAAATTTTCTTCATTCCTTTCGGTATCTAATAACTATAGGTTATCAGCTGTATGACTTAGAAAGGAAATAAACAACCATGATGTCAGTACACTTCCTGGTATGTAATCTGATCAGGCTTAGTCCCAGTTTCATGCTCCACTCATGGAATTCTCCTTGTCTGAATCTTTCTATAACTACAACTGAAGATCAATTTTACAGAAATTATGGATTGTATCAGTATGAATATTAATAAACCATATTCATGCAATATTATCCTATTCTCTTGGAAACCTTGGAAGTCATTCTTTTTTAAAAGTGTCAGTGAACTGCCACTAAATTTGCCTTCAATAATTTTCTTTTTTTCTGCTTAAAGAACAGACTTGTTTGCAGATGTCAGGAAGTTTTTTTTTTATGCTATAATTTATCATTATATTGGTTGTTCTTTCTCTGAAAAATAACATTGTCAGATCTCTTCAAAATCATATTTTTAAAAATATAGTTTACATGAAAGTACCTGAGAGGTGTAATGATTGTGATGAACACTGTGCCCATTAGAAACTCTACACTTGATACACAATACATGTTTATGAAAGTTAGAGAACTGATCACCATTATATTAAACAGGGTTTTAATTTATACAATGAATGTATGAGTGAGTGTTGAACTTGAACAGATAATTTGGTGAACTACTGTTCTAAAATTTTGTTCTAAAATAGTTGTCTTTATATGCAATGACAGGTTTAGAAATCATCCCTAACTATGGTTATTTTTAATATAATTATCTTTTAAATACATGACTTGAATTGTTTTACTTCAACTTCCTCTCCTAAAATAGCCATTGCTTTTATTAAAATATAATTTTGGCAGAATTTTTTTTAGCCTCTTGTATATTACAGCTTTGGAATGTGGCTGCCAGAAGAGAAATGTACATAAAATTAATACTGGGGCAGGGGGAGGGGGGTGGCGGGATAAGCGTGATATGGCCTGAAAACTTATGCATACCCAATTATTTAGCCCTCATCAATTGCCTTTGCCTTTAGACTCCATGGAAAAACACTACATCAATCTTATAGATAACATATTTCTAGGCATAAAATTCCTATTGAATTTAAGAATTTGAAAAACTAAATCTACATATTGAGAGAAACTGAGCTAACTAGTATATAATAATCTGGTGCATTCAGATATGATTTTTTAGTATCATACTAACAATTATAATGTGAAGAATTAGCCTTTAAAAATCTTTAAGTATTATAAACAAAATATTGATGTGAAATGGAGCAGGAATCCATGTGTAATTTATAAAGTATCAAAAGACTTGGTTTTTGTCTCCCATTCTTTTATTTGTAATGTATATTATCTTGCCACTTATTTTAATCCCCAAAATGTCAGTTTCTTAATCTTTAAGGGGAAAATTTATGTTTTGGGATTATTGTTAGACTTTTACAATAAAACTATATAAAAATCTGAAAGTAATAATAGTCTCTCAAAACAAAGGACATGTGATATTAATGGCTGTCAGCTTTATGTATTATATTAGAAGCAACTGAAAATCCTGGAATGGTTTTCACGCTGTCACAGGTTTGTTTTTTGAATGCTTTGAATAATGTTTTGAATAATAAGCTTCTATTATTCCTTTTTTTGTGGGGGTATTGGAAATGGATGATGTTGCAATTTCAGATTTATCATGTATACATAAGCAGTGTGGCTCTCCTTTTCATTCTTCTCTTTCTCTTTTTCTCCTTCTCTTTCTTCTTATTCTTGCTTGTTTTTTATGTGTGTTTTAGGTCTTTATTTTTTATGTGGGTTTTCTTAATTTGGGTTTAAGGTCTTTGTGTTAAAAATTAATTAATAGTATTTGTCAAAAATAACATAAGCTTTTTTTATGTAGCATCCACTTTCCAAATTAGTGAATACATATATAAATTATTATATGATATGATAAATATTTTATATCATGTTACATGATATTGTATATTATATCCCACCAAATGCTACACTCTATTAGACATTTTATACACATTTAAAAGCTAAACTTTAAAAATATTATCTGAAGCTCTAGTACTTTAAAATAGTAATTACTTCATTGCAATTATCAATATTTTCAAAGGAAAGACTATATAACTTGGAGAGCCAATGTATTAGAAGAAATGGAGGTTCACTGAGGAGCTAAGCTATAAGATCATTAAGGGCAAACCTAAGGGCTAGGTGAGATTCAATTCATACTTGCTGCTTGCTACTTAAGATAAAAAATATAAGTAAAGCTAAGAAAACAGACATAAACTAGATTTAAGTACAAAGGGTTCTTTACAGAACTAGCCACAAAAATGTTGATACTCTTTTTTTGTTGTTGTTATTGAAATCTATGCAGATAGAGCAAATATGGTTCGGTCTCATACTGAGCTAAAGAAAATACTACTAGTAGGAACCAAATACAAACTGAAAGTTTCCTCATAAAAGTTACAATTCATGGTGTTTCAATTAAAATTTGTCTCAGAGGAACTCATTAAAATTACTCTCTTCAGTTAAAGCAGACTAATCCCACAGCAGAGATGAAAGAGAAAGTCCCTATACCTACAGTTGCAATGGTTTTCTTTCCCAAATAAAGCAGATAAAATAATTAAGGATAATTCACTCTAAAGGGCCAAATAGGAAAAAGAAAATTTTGATGAAATAACTGAATCCTAGGAAAATAACTCAATGTTTTACAGTATGATTTAGATAAGGAAAGCAAGCTCCTAAAGTAATAAATAATCAGATGGTGCTCTGCTAACTACATGAGTAATAACCAAGAAGTCTAGAGAATAGCTTAAGTCTCTTTCCAAAAGTACAACAAGCACCTGTGAAAGGAGTCATTCTCTTCTAGGAGGGTTGCTGAACCATATACTACTCACTTACTGAGCTTTTAGCTGTGCAGAGCTTGAGGGAACCTGAGTTCATGGTCTCAGTTTTATTTTGGTTAATAACTCATGCCAGCATCAAATAGATGGGCTTTGTTGCAGTGGATATTTTGAGAGTGACCCTTGCCAGGATTGTGCCAGCTCATAGGAGCTCTAGCTTCTCAGGTCATTTTAAATGACAATTAGTTTTGAGAATGTCAAAAGAGTAGGTTTTGAAAAGATCTCAGTTCTGTAATTCTCACATATGTTCTTTCCAAAATAATTGTTGTCATTAAGAAAATAAATGTAATATGAGAAAAATACCATTTTATAATGCCAGGTAGAAAGGTAAATTGCCATAATTACCAGATAACATGAAGTAGGAAAATAATAGTCAAAACACTACGATATTTTCAAATGTGAGGAGGAGCTGATCCCTGAAAGAGAAGCTCATTATAGAAGGTCACTTGGACTGTAGTTAGGACACAATTAAACAATGATGAGGAGTTGATCATAATACAACTGCATAATGAGAGAATGAGCATTCAAAAGAACGCAACAAAACATAGTGGGAAAATGTCTTAATTTTTCTCCAGTAACAAACTTTACTTCTTTACAATTAATTTTGATTTTTGAATTTTAACTAGTGGTTGGAAGAAAACACATCAAAAACAATGAAATGAAACACATACAGAAGGATTTTTTTTTTCAGAGCATGTTACACAAAGCAATATTTTTCCACAAATAAGACGATTCAAATATTTATGAAAGACAATAATGAAGTCACTATAGGATAGCTGTAGCCACTGCTATCCTATATTTTTAAATGTCACATGCAAAGCTATATTCCTCTCAGGTGGTGAACAGAATAGAGGAAAGAAAAGGAAATTCAAATAGTATTTGAAATTGGCATTTTAGTTATTGCTAATGTAATCCCTGTATTTTTATAACATGGTCAATTCATGTTTGAATGACCATAAATTTTTAGGCAAACTCTATGTCCAATTCAGCCAATAGTCGAGTTACAATTTACAGTTAAAAAAACATCATCTCAGAAAATTTGCTGACCAAAAGTATTAATAAATCAAGTGAAAATTCATTTATTCAACAAATATTTATTACATACTTATTATGTGCCAGGAGCTGTAGCAGTCTTTAGAAAACACACATGAAAACATATATGCTTCCAGTTCATATGGAAACTGCTTTATAACTAGGGAAACGAATTAAGGTAAGGTGTTTACATAGTAAGAAGGTTCTAATTAAATAATTATTCCATATTTTTAAAATTGGATCTCTTATCTTTTATCTAGGTAATTTACCACTTCTATTTTAGAAAACACACCAATTAGTTTACTAATTCTTTATTCACTTTTAGCCAGGAAGTCATTTATTTCTTACAAAAAAAATCAATTCGGCCAGGCGCTGTGGCTCATGCCTGTAATCCCAGCACTTTGGGAGGCCGAGGCAGGCGGATCACGAGGTCAGGAGATCGAGACCGTCCTGGCTAACACAGTGAAACCCCGTCTCTACTAAAAATACAAAAAAATTAGCTGGGCGTGGTGGTTGGCGCCTGTAGTCCCAGCTACTCAGGAGGCTGAGGCGGAAGAATGGCTTGAACCCAGGAGACAGAGCTTGCAGTGAGCTGAGATCAAGCCACTGCACTCCAGCCTGGGAGAGAGAGTGAAAACCCATCTCAAAAAAAAAAAAAATCAATTCTATCAAGCCACATTATTACAGGTACACTGGGAAACAGCAGAATAATTCAGGATCTGCTTGGTTTTTCTAATTCAGTTGTGAGCTCATTTCTATGGCCTGAAAGCAAAATCCATATTCACTTTCAAGGTTATACCAGGGAGTTCTACCCTGCTTACAGGTTTCAGGAATGCTCTCATTTCATTTATTTATAGTTTTTCATTCCCCAAGGTTCCTGAAGTTTCCAGAAATGTTTCAAGCTCAGCGCTCATTCCCACTCTAAGGAAGTTCCACATGTAGAGTGTGCCTTAACTCCATCCAGACACATAGAGATCCTTTAAGCATTATTTCAAAGCAGTTACTATCTGCCACTTCCAGGAGAAAGGCTTAACAATGTAAGCACAAGGAGGATAATAACTAGGTGTTCAAGTGCAGAATGAAAGGGGAATTTATCTACCTGTCTTTTTGGATAATAAGCTGACAGAATCCAGCACTCTGCCTCAGCCCTCCCTGGTCTGAAAGACTTGGCAAGTACATTTTTTCCTCTATTAATGTAGTAGTTATTTCTAGGTAATAAGACATCCTCATAGAAATGACATAATTTGTTGTAAATTATAATGTGTGTAATGTATAAATTCAGGTACTGATAAATAAAACAGTGTCTATTTTGTAGATCTCCTAAGGCAATCAGTCAGCTTTTTGCTCAGCAAAGTGGTTTTAATTAAGGATCAAATGAGAAGTTTTGAAGTCCATGCACTGTGGGCATGCACACAGCATGAGGCCTATTAGCTGTGGTTGGTAGCCCTAGTTGCATGGGCTAGGGAGCAGGGAGGGCTGAGGCAGAGTGTTGGATTGTCAGCTTATTATCTAAAGAGACACATGGATACATTCCTCTTCCATTCTGCACTTGGAGAATGTAAGCTCTTAATTTAAATAACTGAAAGAAAAATTGTTTTCCAAGCATCATCATCTTTTAAGAATGGTCTGGGTTAGGATGGATGATAGTAAATGGCAAAAGGATTTCCACCCTGCAAGGCTTTGCCTTTTTGATTTGGGAAGAGATACCCTCAACGATGATTCTGGTGTTTTAACTCATGAGCAGAGCCCTGGCACATGGTCACTATGGCTACATGGGAGGGCAGGGGTGAAAGATTGAGCATCTAGAGTTGTCTGCTTCTGTACCATAGGAATTTAAGCGAGAAGGGCATACTGCATGAGTCACTGTAATGTATTTTCATAAAAAACCTTACTGAACATACCACTGGAATTTATTTTTAAAATTTTCCTTCTTTGGCTCTTTGGCTCGCCATTTTCCTAGTCCCAGTTATGAATATTTTCATAGTTGAACCACTGTCAGAGTCTCTTCAGTGGCCTTCCAGAACCTAATATTGTGCACCGTCCTCCCCCAACCACCATCGCTGCCTTCCTCCGTCCTGTATGCTCCATTCCGTTATCTTTATCAAATACTGCTCTGGTTTCATCAAACTCTTTATATAATTCCTGAGTCCTTTAGTGACATTTCTCCAAAATCATTAGCCCATAACCTGAATTCCTTAACTTGATCTATAAGGCTTTTGAAGATTTGCTGTATTGAACTTCTTTTAATTCTTGGGAAGGCCCATGCACTGTCTTGGACGTTGAATTTATGCCTTCTTCTGCCAAACACTATCTCTCCATCCTCCCTCCTCATCCTATTTATCTGCATGACTCCTAAAATTTCTTCAGTTCTCAGTTTAGATTATTTTCTTCAAGCAGCCACTGTTTCCTCCCACAACATCATCACACATGGATAAAGACCTCGTTCATCACACTACCTGTGTAGCACCCGGCTGATGCTTATTTAAAAAAAATTAATAGAAGACATGAGGAACTATTATGTAGACAATCTTGATAATCTGGGGTGAACAGCCAGATATCAGATATTTTATCAGACAAACTAGCAAGAAAATGAAAACTAGTTAGAATAATACTACGTACAATAATCTCAGAACAGGCACTAATTGAGGATACAAAATCCACAAAATGATATAGTAAAAAAGTATTGAATTTGGATTTAGGAAGCCAAGGTTCCAATGCTTTCGACTCATGGCATCACATGTAGTTCCTGTAGTTTTTATTCTCAGCAAAATAATTTCTGAGATGTTAATTTTGTATCAGTCTTTTGTATTTTTCATCCAAGTACTCAGTCTCTTTTAATGTCTTGCCTCAGGGACTTTGACAAATGTTAAAGGCAATGTCTGCCGGATGTCTTTGTACCTGTTGCTAAAGTTTTAGGACAGGCAAGAAAGTAAACTCCATTTGGGAATAAGGGAGAGAGGAGAGAGTGTCTACAATCACAGATGGAAGGAAAAGGAATAGATTTGTACAGAGACAGGAAAGAGCTTGGCTTGTCCATTATGTGTCAGGGAAATGGCAAAGGTGTAGAAACTGCGGAGGCTGGGTGATTCAGGGAGACTCCCTGAGGTGGGTAGGGGCTCCTCATCTTACCAATAGTCCTGTCATTTAGCAAAGCAGGAAGTCTTCTAAGCCAATGCGCTTGACAGACTTAAAAGACTCTGTCAGTTGGAACCCAGGGCACAATTACCAGGAGTATGGATAATAGAACAAAGGGGCTTTCTAGAATTTATTACTTTTCATGAGACATTAGACTTTTGCTAGATTCCTGGTTATGCTTTGAAAGGAGAAAGCATTAACTATAACTGACTTTCCTACCTGGCAGGATGGGGATTAGGTATCAATGTAATTTATTTTAGGCCAGGATATACATCTCCTGCATATCAGAATCTGATCTAATAGTCAAATTATGTATATATTTTTAAATTTTATCAGCCATAAATTCAGAGTATGAAAAGCTTCTATAAATTTCCTCACAGACTTGTGAGAATTTACTAGTGTGTAGAACAGAATTTTGCAGTGAGAAATCCCTTCAACAAATGCAAGGTAATAGTTCTCTAATCAAGGAAGTGAAAGATCTAAAGAGAACTACAAAACACTCATGAAAGAAATGCAGATGACACAATTAGAAAAATATCACATGCTCATAGATCAGAAGAATTAATATTATTACAATGACCATACTATGCAAAGCAATTTCAGATCTACTGCAATCCCTATTAAAATACCAATATCATTTTTCAAAGAATTAGAATAAGCAATCCTAAAATTCATATGGAACCAGAAAGAGACCAAATAACCAAAGTAATCCTAAGCCAAAAGCACAAAGCTAGAGGCATCATATTGTGTGGTACTGGCATAAAAACAGATATATAGACCAATGGAACAGAATAGAGAACCCAGAAGTAAAGCCACATATCCACAGCCAGCTGATCTTTGGCAGAGTCAGCAAGGACATACACTGGGGAAAGGAAATCCTTTTCAATAAGTGGTACTGTGAAAATTAGATAGCCACATGCAAAAGACTGAAAACAGACCCAAATCTCTCACCATACACAAAAATCAACACAAAATGGATGAAAGACTTAAGTGTAAGACCTAAAAATACAAAAATACTAGAAGAAACCCTAGAGAAATTTAATGAAGACTCAATAGTCCAGGCAAAGATTCATGACTAAGACCATAAGAGCACAAGCAACAAAAACAACAGTGGGTAAATGGGATTTGGCCATAGAATGTGAAGTAATAAGCATTGGAGACTCAGAAGGTAGGTGCAGGGGGGTGCACATGGTGTGGTGGGGTGCACATGGTGTGTGTGGGGGGTGGATGGTAAATAATTCAGGTGATGGATACACTAAAACTAAGACTTCACCACTATGCAATATGCCCATGTGACAAAATTGAGCTTGTACTCCTTAAATGTATGTGAAAAAAAGTAAGAAATCATTAAAATCTCTAGTTTCTGCCTTAACTATTGCAAAAATAGGGTAAGGTAGTTGTAAAAGATTAATTGCACTGATATGAATTCTTAGCCTATTTTTTTTCTATTTTTACCTCAATAATAGTTAGAAATAAAGCAAAGTGCCTAGACTGCTTCTTTTTAATGAAGAATCCTGGAGGATAGGTGAATGACATTTTTATAGCAAATTTAGCATTTCAAATTCCACCTTCACTCATATTTTCCAAAGATTGATTTAGACCATGAAAGAGTCAAGAAAAAGGGGCTGGTAAGAACTAAAATTAGATTTTAGTTTATACGTTAATTTATTTAAATTATTCACTGATCTGAAAATCAGTATTTTCTCACATTTTAGTCACTATAAATTATAAAAATGAAGTGCAGACATTCTCTTGAAGGTGATGAATGGTCTAAAATATTGTAATAAAATGTGTAATAGGTGAAAAGCTAACATTTCTTTTGTGATAATTAACTTGGAAGTTGTAATCCAAATTATTTACATTCAATATTTTGCCTGAATTTTTAATACATTTCCATTAGAAATATGGCATTATATTCAGTCTGTCCTCTTTTTAATATTAATTATTATTAGCATTAAATTGATCTGCCAAATTATCCTGACCAAATACTTTTGAGCATAGCAAATAAAATTCAAGAAATATTAAATAATACATTGCTTTGTGCTAGTTTCTACTTCTGTTAAAATCACTAATTTAGCATCCTTCTGTTTAGGAAAATGAGATAATAATTAACAGTGTACATTTCCCAGATAGACTATGAAGACAATTATTGTCTCAACAAAGTAAAATAAAAGTCACTGTAATAATTAACTGCTATTTTCTCATATGACATATTACTTATTTTCTAAGAAATTAGTACATTTTACATTAAACCTATTATTAGTACATCTAATTTTTTCCTGAACAATTCAGTTAAAGCACAAATTAAATAAAAATCCAAAGCAAAATCTTTATTACCCGTATTATACAGTTTGATTTCTTTTAACATCTTTACTATTCTTCTATAACACACTTCCTCGTGAGGTGATTAGTAATGGAGACAAATTCTTTGTCTCACTCATGTGTTTACAGAGAAGTGTGAAGAAATGAAATTCCTATCTGTATTCTGAACTCTTAGAAGTGTTGATCGCAGAGATGTTGGATTATCTACTTATGGTCCATGCTATTTTCTCCTTAACATGCCCCTCATTAAACCAGATCCCAATGATGCATGGCAGGGTAAGAAATGTAGAGCAAAGAGAAACAAAATTCAATCTGTCAAAGTAGAAAGGCAAAACCTCCTAGAAGTTCACTTAATTTCTTCCTTGTCTTAAGAAATGAATAAACCGTATCATGCACCAAATCGCTCAGCCAGAGAAATTAGGAAACATCTTCCTTTCTCCTGTTTGTTTTTGTTTCTTTGTCTTACAAACCCTGGCTTCCACATAACCTTTTATTCATTTGATTACGCCTCCAAAATACATTTTGAATCCACTTGCTTCTTTGCAGTTCCATCGCCATCACCCTAATCCTTTTAGTTACTGATTTCTAACATAATCCTACTAACTAGTCATTTTGCTTTTTTTTTTTTTTGCCCCATTTCAACTCATTCTCCACACATAACAATGTGTCTTTCCATTGCACTTACAATGAAAACTGCATTTTATTTACCACATCCTAAAAGGTTTTGCTTAGCATGGTGTCTGTACTCAAATTCTTCTCATACTAGTCTCTCCTTACCTCAGGATGTTTACCTATACCGGCCTCTGCTCTGTTTCTCAAGTAGACAGTCTTTCCCCCAATTTATAACATATTGCTAAACTGTTTTCCAAAGTGCTTGTAGCAATTTCTTGCCACTAGTACGCTATGATAATCTGGGTAGCATGTAAATTTTCAGTCTATTTTAGTCCTTTGGGTGGGTGGATGGTTGTATCTTGTTGGGGTTTTACTTTGCTTTGCCCTGATGGCTGATGAAGCATAGCAATGTTCATACGTACGTGGATATCTGAATATCTCCTTAGGGAAAGTCTTGCTTAAATCTCTAGACTATTTTCTCTGGGATTATCTATTGTTTTCATACTGATTTGTAGGAGTTCCTAAAATATACTGTGAATAAGTCCCCGTGTCAGTTGTATTTAGTTAGTATGATGTATTTTCACTCAATACATTTTGATGAACAGAAGCTTTAATTATATTGTAATTCAGTTTATCAATATTTTTCTTTGTAGCCAGTACTTTTTGTGTCATTTTAAAATTCAATTTTATGACAATTTTAATTAAAGTTAAAAAGGTATTCTATCAGTCAATTAAGGCCACAATAATGCTACATTAAAAAAAAAAGCAACACAAGATTTAGTTGTTTAGAAACAATCTAATAATGGCCCCCAAAGATGTCCATGCCCCAATGCCAGGAATCTGTGAATATGTTACCTTACATGGCAAAAAGAAATTCGCAGATGTGATTAAATTAAGAATTTTGAGATGAGATTATTCTGAATTATTCAGGTGAGAGCAAGACAATCACAGGTTTGTTTGTTTGTTTGTTTGTTTTGACAAGGTCTCACTCTGACGCCCAGGCTGGAGTGCAGTGGAGCGATCTTGGCTCACTGCAACCTCCTCCTCCTGGGTTCAAACGATTCTCCTGCCTCAGTCTCCCAAGTAGCTGGGATTACAGGCGTGCACCACAATGCCTGGCTAATTTTTTTTCTTTTTTTTGTATTTTTTTTTAGTAGAGACAGGGTTTCACCATGTTTGCCAGGCTGGTCTTGAACTCCTGACCTCAAGTGATCCGACTGCCTTGGCCTCCCAAAGTGCTCGGATTACAGGCGTGAACATCACGCCTGGTCAACAGGGTCTTTTATAAGAGAAATAGGAAGTCAAGAAACTCAGAGGATGTGACAACTAAAGCAGAGGTGGGAGTAATGTAGAGCCATAAGGCAAAGAATGGAGGCAGTCTCTAGGAGCTAGGAAAAGCAACATACATTTTCCTCTAGAGCCTTCAGATGAAATGCAGCGCTGCTGATCCATTTTGGACTTCTCACTTCCGGAACTGTAAGGTAATGAATTTGCATTGCTTTTTTGTTTTTTTTGAGACGGAGTCTCACTCTGTGGTCCAGACTGGAGTGTGCAGTGGTGCGATCTCGGTTCATTGCAAGCTCCGCCTCCCAGGTTCATGCCATTCTCCTGCCTCAGCCTCCTAAGTAGCAGGGACTACAGGCACTCGCCACCACGCCCGGCTAATTTTTTTTTTTTTTGTATTTTTTAGTAGAGATGGGGTTTCACCACGTTAGCCAGGATGGTCTTGATCTCCTGACCTCGTGATCCACCCACCTTGGCCTCCCAAAGTGCTGGGATTACAGGCGTGAGCCACCGTGCGGGCCAGAATTTGCATTGCTTTAAGGCACTAAGTTTGTGATAAGTTGTTACAGTAGCAATAGAAAACTAATACAGAAATATAATTTACATGGAATTTATTTGAATATTATTACATAGTTTTGTTTTCAGTTTATGGTTGGTGTATATGTGTACTTGTATCCATGTAGAACTCTTGCAATAAAGTCCTTATATTAATTGTTACTTTAATCGACAGATATTGATTATAAAGTATTTTGATCTAATGATGCAAAAACTTACATTTAAAATCTAGGAAACTGTGTTGAATGGTAACTTTTAAAAGTATATATATAATTAAATAATTATTTACAGTCTTGAACTCTGGATGGTTCAAAGGTCTAGATGTGACTGCTCAAGGATTAAAGAAATAATAAAATTTTAAAAAAATTTCTCTATACCAACTGTATAATAAAAAAGGCAAGATTCAATGTACATGTACATTTGAAAAATAAAAGAAAAGGAGATCCTAAAGAGTCCTATGTCTACAGTGATTTGGAAACAACATAAGGCCCACCTTGTGAATGTTCCCTCCTGGGGCTGGGGAAAGTTCTTCCATTGGTTTCTGTCTCAACTCCCTAAGTATTGTCTTCAGAATTTTGTTTTCATTAAAAAAATTACTTGTGGTAAAATACATATACTGTAAAATTTACCATCTTAAGCATTTTTAAGGATATAGCTAATTAGTGATAAATATGTTTGGGTTGTTGCACAACAGAGCTCAAAAGCTTTTTCTTCTTGCAAAACAAAAACTCTGTACCTGTTAAATAACAACTCTGCATTTCTTTCTCCCCTAGTACCTGACAATTACTATTCTGCTTTCTGTTTTTGTGAATTTAACTACTCCAGATATGTAATATAGGTGGAGCAGGTTCATACGTTATTTGTCTTTGTGATCGGCTTGTTTCACTTAGCAAAATATACTCAAATTATATCCATAATGTAGCATGTGACAGGACGTGGGTTCCTCATAAGGCTGAATAGTATTCTATTGTGTGGATAGTCTACAATTTTTTAATACATTTATCCTTTCATGGATATTTTTATTGCTTCCACAACTCTTGGCTATTGTGAATAATGCTACCATGAACATGGGTATACAAATATCTTTTCAAGACCCTGCTTTCAATTCTCTTGTTTATATTCAGAAGTGGAATTGTTAGGTTATATAGCAATTGCATTCTATTTTTAATTTATTTTAGGTACTGCCATACTGTTTTGCCTAGTGATTGCACCATTTTACATTCCCAGCAACAGGGCAGTGCACAAAAATCCAATATATCTTCATCTTCACCAACACCTGTTACTTTCTGTTTTACTTTTTAATAGTAAACATCCTAAGGGGTGTGAGATGATATTTTATTGTAGTTTTGGTTTGTATTTCCCTGATGATTAGTGATGTAGAACATATTTTTGTATGCTTATTGATATTTTGTATATCTGCTTTGGAAAAAATGTCTATTGAAGTCATTTATTCATTTTTAACTAGGTTATTTTGTTGTTGTTGAGTTGTAGCAAATCTTTATATGTTCTAGGTAATAATGCCTTATCAGATATTTGATTGAGAAATATTTTCTCCCATTTCAATGGTTACCTTTTCACTTTGATGGTGTCCTTTGATCCACAGAAGTTTATAATTTTGATGTAGTCCAATTTACCTATTTTTTTCTTTTGTTGCCTGTGCTTTTGGTGTCATATTCAAGAAATTGCTGCAAAATCCAGTGTCATGAAACTTTTCTCCTATGTTGTTTTCTAAGAGTTTTATAGCTTTAGGTCTTACATTTAAGTCTTTGATATATTTTGAGTTAATTTTTATATATGGTGCAAAGTATGGGTCCAACTTCATTCTTTTGCAGTGGATATCCAATTTTCCCAAAACCATTTGTTAAAAAGACTGTCCTTTTCCCCACTGAATACTCTTGGCACCCTTGTTGAAAATCATTTGGCCATATATGTGATAGTGTATTTCTGGACTCTATTGCAGTCCATTGGCCTGTGTCTGTTTTTATGCCAATACCACGCTGTTTGATTACAGCAGATTTGTCATAAGTTTTGAAATTAGGAAAGATAAAACCTTCAATTCTTTTTCAGTTTCAAAATTGTTCTGGCTATTTGGAGTTCTTAATTTTTTTGAAACATGGAATTCTATATCTAGAATAGTTATCGATCAATATGAATATTGAAATATACATTTTTTCAGGCAAAACTTTAAAATGTATTTTTTCTATGCTCCTTCTCAGGAAGTTACTGGAAAATTTCTCTAACAGAAATTTAGGAGTAAATCCAAAAGGATAACACAGGATCCAGAAACAACTGATCTACAGATGATACAGGGAAAGGGAAGCCCAGGATGATGACCAGGAGGGGACCCAGGATGAAACAGTAGGTTTACAGGATAATCAGATCAAATTGGAATGGGAGGTCCCAGTAAGGAAAATGGCAGGAACAAATAGATTATCAGACAGGATAGATATTTTAAAGCTGTTTTTATGGGCAATTTATAGTTATTGGAATGAATATGTGAAGACTTAGCCAGAGATGCAAAGAAAACTACACAAATGAAAAACAAAAGGCGTGCTTTTTAAGCCCAGGTCCAACACAAAGGTTCATAAACAAAGAAATATCTTATTAAACATTTTGGCTCAACTTAAAAAACTTAAATAAGTACAATAATGGGAAAGTGTGATTAAAAATAAAGTAGAAATGTGGAGAAATGGGAAGAAAGGACATAAGAGATAAAATTCTCATCTGCAATAATAGGAAGTTAATAGATGATAATATAAATCAATGAATGAGATAGAAGTACTCACTAATTATTTTTAAAATATAGAGAGAAATTGCAGCAGCAGTAAAGAGGTAAGAGTGTTACCTCTGGCAAACTGAGAAAGGGAGAAAGTCATATTGAGTTATATGTTTTAATGTGTTATAAATCTACTACTCTTCTTTGTGTTTTAATTATGTACATATATCCCATTTACAATTAGAAAAGCTTAACATATTCTGGATTTGCATTTCTAGAATGAAATATGTTAAAAATTAATGAAGGCTGATAAAAGCAGCATGTATAAGTAGGGTTTAACAAAACCACTACATTCAAGGGTAGAATTCCATTTTTTCACTTTCAGAAAGTAAGAAATTACCAAAGAAACAAACCAAATATCACACTGACTTTGCTCTAGGCAGGTGCAGCCATACAGAGCAAACATTAACATATGTCAGTGTGGAAAATTATGCAAAGAGACTTGGCTGAATTAATTGTTCGTAATGTTATTATGGAACAAAAATAGTTATCAATTTTTGACTTTCCATTTCCCCTCCAAGGTTGAATTACGTGAAACAAAGGGTGCTTACCTATTGACTCTAGATTATTCCACGGTTTGTTTTTCATTTATTGGTTATTATTTTTTCTCTAATATTCAGGAAAAAATTAAGTAAAACACTTTTGGGGGCTGCCAACTGTTGCTAAGATTGAACCTGCTTCCATAACAACAGACCCAGTGTTAAGACAGCTCCGGGCACAGGTAACAACAGCGTCAACCCATTAAATGGGATCCTGCAGGCAGGATGTCATAGAAACTCCCACTGTTGCGAAGTATTTTTTTTTTTGCATTTTTTATTTTCAAGCCTTAGGAACTATGAATCCACGTTCTTCTTCCACTCCTCACTGAGTATAAATATTGCTCTTTTTAGTTTGTGTAAATGCCCTGAGGAAGAATGGTGAGCAACAGCCATCAGGTAAAGAAAATAAAGTTTAAAGGAAAGATGACTAAGTAGTATCAACATTTAAGAGATAGACAAAGAGGTGTCAAAAACAGAGATTCAGAGTGAACAGAAGAAAGAAAAAATCCAAGTATGTCAATATAAGGAAAAGGAGCGTTTCAAGATATAATGGTCAAAACTATCAAACCCAGCTGAACTCAATTAAGATGAGGCTATAAATAGTCCATTAAATTAATAAAATAGTCCATTAAATTAATAAAATGGCATGTTTTTAAAAATAATCTATATTTTAAATACATTTTACTATCTAAATTAATCATCTAGGTGATTGGGACCACTTGAAATATACTGCATGATAATATCTTACTACCTGAATAAAAGGACTTTATAGTGTCTCTAAAAAAAACCCCACAATTAATTTTGTTTTAAAATCAGCATATAGTGTAACACAGGCAAATACAAACACAACCTAGTTGGTTGTGTGATTGAAAAAAAAAAGTTAAAGTGATCATTGCAGCAACAATTACAGTGGTAACTTTTCGTTTCCTCTTTATCACCAAATTGTGGTGCTGGTGGCATTACACCCCTCCACTACAAGAAAACTTCAGTTCATGCAGGTTGAGCAATTTTTAAGATTACAGGGTTAGAAACATGGCATCATATCATTGATGAATGTTAAGTGCTGGGCAGTAGAATGAATTTTAAAATAGTTCACTTTCTTCAAATACTAAAAAAGCAATAGTTAGATAATCCTTGGCATTGATTCAGGTCCTTACAATGCTACCAAGACCTCAGTCATGCTGGGATTATTCAGTGTCTTATTGATCTATTATCTTCTTGTCTTTATGCTGGTCACCTCATGGTAACAGAATGACTGCCGTGGCTCCAGGAAACATGTCCACATTCATGTAAGGAAGATATAAAACAAGTACATGTTTCTTCTTCGGAGATAAAAATCTTTTCTGTGAAGACCCACCAGCCTTGACTTTTCAGTTCAATGGCCATAACTTCCCATGGCCATGCCTAGCTGCAAGACAATCTTGGAAATTATTGTCTTACTTTTTTAGGCTCCATAGTGTGATGTGAAAGAAGATAAAGAAGTTTAAAAATATTATAACTATTGCATTAAGCAATTAACATCTCTACCAAAGTGGAAACCATGTGAAGCAGAACTATGATCTATTTTTTGGTGGGGGACAGAGTCTCACTGTGTTGTCCTGGCTGGAGTGCAGCGGCACAAACTTGGCTCACTGCAACCTCTGCCTCCTGGGTTCAAGAGATTCTCCTGCCTCAGCCACACGAGTAGCTGGAATTACAGGTATGCACCACCACACCTGGCTAATTTTTGTATTTATAATAGAGACGGGGTTTCACCATGTTGGCCAGGCTGGTGTCCAACTTTTGACCTCAAGTGATCTCATGCCTCAGCCTCCCAAAGTGCTGGGATTACAGGCGTGAGCCACTGCACCCAGCTAATGATCTTAACTATAGTCTCTTCTTTTTATTCTTCTCTGTTGTCTACTAATATAGAAAGCCTTTTAATAAGTAATCATAATTGTTAAAAGCTAACTTTGAGCACTTATTAGATGGCAGCTTTAATGCTTTACATGTATTAATTGATTGGATTCCATAAAAACCCCTAAGGTAGGTACTATCATTATTTCTATTTTTCATTCTTAGAAACTGAAGTACAGGTGTTAAGTGACTTTCTCAAGTTCACCCAGTTAATAAGTGAATGAACCAGAATTCAAGCTGGGTAGTCCAGCTACAAAGACATATTCTTAACAAATACTCTGCAATGTGATTCTACATGGTAAGAATAAATTATTTACCTACATGATACCACAGATCTAAGATTTCAGTAAATAACGAAGAAATGATTTATTAATCTGTTACCTGATTTCATTTGATATACTTGTCAAACATCATTTGATGTTTCTAATTGTCAAAACATCAACATTTCTTTTGTCCTTAGGTTTATAGGTCAGCACTTATTTGTAACTCTCAAAAGGCAGAGAAAAAAGGAATGCAGAAAATATAGCCTGCCAGTCTAACTATATTCCTCAGTTTAATAGATCTGTTCTGGGAAAATGTCATGACCAGACCTTTCGCACACCTTCCAGGAAGAAATAATTCAATCAATACTTTAATTAGCTTGTGGAAAAATACCACAGGACACCCAGGTAATCTCAATTTTACTACGGTTTTTACACAAATGTAAAAGATTCAACATTGTTACTTCTAGCTTCTTTTACTGAAAAATGACACCAGGATTGAAAAGACTGTTAGGCCTCATTTTGAAACCTTTGATCTGACATGAAAATGTAAGGCATTAAGAAGGTTTCTGCCTAGAAAAAGTAATTCACTTTTATTCTTGAGTAAAGAATAATGGCTATGAATTCTGAAAATTCTTAAGAAACAATCTGTTGCAATTGACAGTAAACAAAAGTCCATGAATCTGTAGCTACTCCTGTATTCTTTCCTTTAATCTTCCAAGCAAGGCCATCTCGGCCACATATTTATATTTGAGCCTCTTTCAATCATTTTATTCTCCATGAGGGCTTGGAGGAGATAGATCAAACACTCTGATGCTCTGGGATGAGTAGAGAGAAAGATATGAACAACCACCCATTAATTATCTTTGTCCTAACGTATACTCAGATAATGAACATGAACTTTGAAGTCAAACCGATGCTCTACGGATTGTCTGATTCTATATGTTTGCTGTGGGCAATTTACTTAAATTCTTCAAGTTTTAATTTTTTTAAAGATACCAGATAGAGGTAACTATAACTACCTTAGAAACTTGTTGTAAAGTATGAAATATAAAATGTGTAAATCATTTAAATAGTCTAGGCATAAACTCTCAAGACAGGTTGTTCTAGGTTTACAAGGTCTTATCCAATATTGCAAGCACTTAAAGTTTCACAGTTAAGTTTTGTCTCTTTGTCTCTTTTTTTACATTTTAGAAATTTTAGTGCATGATACTGTGAATTAAGTAACACTGTCAGATTGTTCCAGGGCATAATCAAATCCATAATAGGATACATTAATATGTTTATAATGAAACGATTTTCTACATAATGAGAAAAACCAAAAGTATAAATAGGTTCATATACGTTCAGGTCAGTTACAAAAATTTTTTGGTTTTCAGACCATTTTTGATTTTGGAATTATGGATAAAAGAAGTAGACCTGCATGTCATCACCATGTGTACAGTCTCCTGACTGCTTCTCTTGCTTCTGTAGCAAGTCTGCTTAAAATGCAAATTGGGTGCCATCAGCTGAAAGGTCACCAATGCCTTCTTTTCTTTGCCCACGGGAGAAGCTCAAGCTGCTTAAACCATACACATCTTCAATATCTTGTTGTCCTGCTAATCCACCCTTCGGTCCCACTAGTTTGCCTTACAGCTCTCTGCACAGGTCACTCTCGTTTCATATCTCCAATGACTGCATTGCTGTTCTTTCCTTATAATTGATTTACTTTATCCTCCCTGCTGCAACTCCTCCTAGCTAACTCTACCTATCTGTTGAAAGAACTCTCATTCAGCTCCTTGAGGAAGTCTGTCTGACTTTCCTACCCTGCTTCTCTTTTCTGTTTCCATTGTATTATGTGCACCAGTGTTTCTCAGCATTAATTATTATTTCTATTGTCATGCCCTAGAAGAGACTTTAAAATTTTCTTTTTCCGACTGCCCCTCCACCAATGAAATCTTAGTGCTACAGAAGTTCTGTATATCTAGTCATGGCATTGCATACATATTTACACAAAAAAATGAGTCAGAGCTTTGACTCACTTTGCCAACCGATTTTTGCCTACTTGGGGGTGGTATGGCCCCCACTGAAAATGCACGATGCACACACTATTGTATCTGTGGTTTGCATAGCTACTTAGTACAGCTTCAAACATATATTATATTTTTTAAAAATATTTGTTGAAATGCATGGACTTTGCCTGTTTATTCTAAGGTGCAAATGGGATTTATAATATGTATTTTCCTTTCCTATCCATAGGCTATTGCCTTAGATAATTATATGTGTTTGAGGATAAGGAACATTAGTTTAAACAGTTTCTTAGAGGGATCTATGTTATTCATTTTTTAAATAAAGAATAAAAGCAAAAAAGTCCTTAGATATTCTGTGTTCCTAAAAAGTGTTTTAGTTCTTAATAAGAATATGCAGCAAATACTTCTTCTCCAACTTATTTGTATTGACAAATCTCTCTTCTTCCCTTCTCTTTTCCTTCCTTTTCTCTCACCTCCTCCCTTCTTTCTTACATTATAGAAGAATATATGCAAATTTACCTCAGGAGGAACATAAAAATAGTATTATTTTCACATGCTCTTATGATATTTCTTACATATATTGGTTTTTCTCTAATTTGTGAAGCACATTTTTCCATTCGAAATATATCTTTTGGAAGAAATTTTCTTCTAGAACATAAAGTTTATAGGTATAATTTTCTACACATTTATTTACAAATGAGACAGTATCAAGAAAGGAAGCATACTGAAAGAAATGCAGTCATACACCACAAACCATTTTGGACTACCTACTGCACAGACAACAGTGGTCCCATCAGATTATAGTGTCGTCTTTTACTGTAGCTTTTCTGTGTTTAGACATGTTTATATCCACAAACATCATCATGTTATAGTTGCCTACAGTATTCAGTACAGTAACTTTCTGTATAGGTTTGTAACCTAGGAGCAATAGGTATATTGTATGGCCTAGGTGTGTAGTGCGCTATACCATCTAGACTTGTGAATATGCTCTATGATGTTCTCACAACAACAAAATAGCCTAATGACACATTTTTCAGAACATAGCTCCACAGTTAAGCAAAGCATGACTGTACTAATATATATTATCCTCATTAAACTATGATGGCCATGGGGCCGGGTGCAGTGGCTCACACCTGTAATCCCAGCAATTTGGGAGGCTGAGGTGAGCAGACCACCTGAGGTCAGGAGTTTGAAAGCAGCATGGCCAACATGGCAAAACCTCATCTCTACCAAAAATACAAAAAAATTATCTGGGCGTGGTGGCGCATACCTGTAGTCCCAACTACTCGGGAGGCTGAAGCAGGAGAATCACTTGAACCTGGGAGGCGGAGGTTGCAGTGAGCCAAGGTCATGCCACTGCACTCCAGCATGGGCAATAGAGTGAGACTCCATCTCATAAAAAAAAATATATATATATATATTTATGATGGCCCTATCTTCTCTAATATAATATTTCAAAAAAGCAAACACAAAATTTACAAGTATTAAATTATGAAACGGATCATAAATAATTAATGCACTTTCTTTATTACATTTTCCCTTTAGAGGATGCTTAGTTTCTTTCATCATGCATATCTGTTTGTTATCTCTGTATGTGTGTATGGCTATATATGTTTATGCATGTGCATATATGTATATATGCATATTTATATAATTACACATTTGTATTTCATGTGTATGCATAATGTATATTTAATGCATACATACTTCAATATATGCATTACATAAATGAATAAATATACACATATAGACCTATATATAGGTGTGTATATATAAACCTATAAATGCACATATATGCATAGGTGTGCACATATCTGTGCATATATATGTACTCAGAAGTTTATACACACATATGCACATCACATGTATGTTTGTATATATAAGTATGCACGTAGGCAAAGATCAAACTATATATATATGTATGTATATGTATGCATGTTTGTATATATGTGTGTACATATCCATATGTATGTGTGTATGTATGAAATGCATCTCTATGTGTGTGTCTATATGTAAACATATATACATACATAAAGAATGGACATTTCTTGAATTTACATATATTCTTCTATAGCAGTTAATACATTTAATCACAATGACATTTTATATTTCTAATCCCTTAAGCATCAGAATAATTTCTGGTGAGGCAACGTATATATGTCAAAATAGCATTTTTATAACATGTAAAGATATTTTAACAACTGAAATTCCATTATGACAATTTCTTATATTTGATGTCTGCATTTCATGGGATTATAGAGTTAGAATTGAAAAGCACTTCATTTGTCTCCTAGTCAAATCTTCCCTGAAACATGAGAAATCCTTTAAAAACTACTTCAGACTGTCTGGGTCTTTATCTATGGGACATCTATATTAGTAGTGTAGAGAAATATTTTAAAAGAATATATTTTATTTCAATAAAATCTGAATAAATGGCAAACAATTCTTTGAATATACTAGTTACATGTTTTGTTTTGTTTGATTTTCTTGGAGGAAATAATCTGATTATCCTGTTTTAATTCTAATGTTTTGAGTTTTTACTTTTAAAATAACAATACCTTTATATATCTATAGACAGCTCTATATCTAGAGATTATCTATCTACTATCTATCATCTATCTATCTATCTATCTATCATCTACCTACCTATCAAGAAAGTATAAGCCTCATAGTGGCATAGCTAGTTTAACTGTCTTTGGCAGGATTCCAAGCACCATATGAGTAATTGAACCTTCTCCTATTCCCACAGCTCTGAGTCTACGAAAGTGCTTGTCCCAGGTTCTGTCAGGGCAGAGAAGCCGTAGGTGATAAATGAGGGCTGTGTGCATGCCTGCATGCACTGTATGGTACAGTCTGTAGCCATCATGTGTATTGAACAAGCCAAGATAGATGAGGTGTACCTGGCTTAGGTCCCCAGAATACATACACACTAGCCTATGTTGAAAAACCAATCTGCTTTATGAATATAAGACTAGGCTAAAAGAGGACTGTATCACTTCTTGAATCTTAGTTTCCAGAATGGTCAATTAAATTTTCTAAGAAAAGAATTGGACTTACACATTTTGAATATATTACTGAATGAAAAAAACATACAATTGGTAGAAATAAAATGGGAGTGCTTAAAGAATATGGATGCATTAGAACCTGTAACACACACACATATACACACACACACATACACACACACACACACAGTGGACAGAGAAGTAAAAGGAGTGGAAATCAGCAGAAGCTAATATGGATAGAAAAATAATGGTGAGATAATCTGGCAATTTATTCTTTTTATTCACTTTTATAAGTATTTAAAATCTGATACAAGAGAAATATGTAGGCTAGGCATGGTGGCTCATACCTGTAATCCCAGCACTTTGGGAGGCCGAGGTGGGCGGATTACTTGAGCTCTGGCCAACATGGCGAAACCGTCTCTACTAAAAATAATACAAAAAATTAGCTGGCCATGGTGGCAGGCACCCATAATCTCAGCTACTCAGGAGGCTGAGGCAGGAGAATCTCTTGAACCCAGGAGGCAGAGGTTGCAGTGAGCCGAAATTGTGCCACCTCACTCCAGCCTGGGCGACAAAGTGAAACTCTGTCTCAAAAAATAAAAAAAAATAAAAAAATTAAAGAGAGAGAGAGAGAGAGAATGCATAAAAACAGGACTCAGATTTGTAAAAATGTAACATTTGTTATTCCTGTTTAAACAAACTTATGTATTCCAAAGATTGACTTCCTCTATAATGGAAAAGAGTCTTTCTAAATCAAGGTAACTTCCAGTTTAAAGCTGTATCTTCTGGATAAACTCTGTTAATTTCAAGGCTTCTCTCCTGTGTCTCTTTCCCAGTATGATCTAGGCTCTCAACTGCTTCCATATCTTCCTGACATTGGAGGGAAGGGGTAGGGTCTGGGACCCTATTTGCCGTGGTCACTGCTGGAATAACTTGCCATCTATTCTTTCAGCATCAGCAAAGTGCAGAAGTGCAGTGCTTTTTCTGGCAAGCTCATTCTGTGCTGTGGGTCCCCTCACTCCTTATTCCTTATCCTTTAAGGATGCCATATCTTGATTTTTACCTAACCTCCGTGCCTTATTGTGTAGGAGAATTTTTTTTATTCTCTCCATATTCCACAGGATTCAAGGAAGGATAGTGGAGTGGACATGAATCTCAAGACGTCTCTCTGCCTAGACTTGCTCTGTTGTAATGTATAATCCAAAGCAGTGGCTTGGTGTAGGTGAGCAGGCAATTTATTTTTACTGGTCAGGCTCCAGATTTAGTAACAAGTCTGGCCATGGCGGAGCACCCACCAGTTGTTGCTTGGAGGAGAAAATATGTGGCTACCACAGAGATGTGATGGGCCACGCTCATCTCCCTTTCTGACTAAAGGGCTTCCTCTTAGTCAACTTGGGCTGCTATAACAAAATACCATAGACTGGTTGGCTTTACAAACAGGAATTTATTTCTCACAGTTCTAAAGACTGTGAAGATTAAGATTGAACTGCTAGCCAATTTGGTTTCTTGGTGAGTGCCATTTTCCTGGGTTGTAGAAGTCGCCTTTTTGCTGTGTTCTCACATGGAAGAGGGAGAGCATGAGCTCCTGTTTCTTCCTTTTCTTCTAAAGGTTCTAATTCCATTATGAGGCCCCACCCTTACGATTTCATCTAAACCTAATTACTTCCCAAGGGCCTCTCCTCCAGAGACTTCACACTGGGTGTTAGGGCTTCCACATGTGAGTTTTGGTGGGACACAAGAGTTCAGATTTGTTTCCCCAACTGCGAAAGGTATTAGCTACAGAGAGCACTCAGCTCTCAGCCCTAGTTGGGAATTGCCTTTGCTGAAGAGAAGTGCTTTGCCCAGGTCAAGAGTCTAGGCGGAGGCCACCTGCATCCAACTACTGGTCCACCTGTGGCATAAAAGCCCAATTCCCTTGCTTTAGCAAGTGACGACACTGAAGGATTATCTCAGCTACAGTTGGCCTGTGTGAACCTTTTGCTGAGATTACACAGCAGCCCAACTTTCTGCTCTTCCCAATCCTGTTTCTTTTCCTTCTTATTCACATGTGGTGATCCCAAGAGCATTCCATAATAAACCTCCTGCATGCCAATCTTTCTCTCAGTCAGCTTCCCAGATAAACCAACTTGTGATAGGTTCCAAAAGATTAAACAGAATGTAGGATTTGATATATTTGGCAATAACATAGCAGACTTATTGTGTAGTATAATTTGAAGATTTAAGAGTAAACTCTTTTAATTCAAATTGTTTTCTCACATGGAATTCATTGGGGCATAAATCTTTAGAATTGCATATCCAGATATTTGGATTCTGCTAGTTTTTCTAATCCCTAAGAAAAGGTCATTAATAAATTACCAGAAGGTAATATGACCCTTAAAGTCTCAACAACTGCATATGTTGGTGTCAGCATAATTACAGAAACAGAAAAGTAACATCTTGCTCTACTGTATTCTTTATTACTTTGTGTTAGAGTGCCATTTTTTCCAAATGCCTTTCAGTAGCTCATTTTGTTCATCCACTAATGTTTAGATGTAGTTTTGCTTGGAATTCATATACTTCCAAGAACAAGGCTACACATAGGAGAAAAAAATATGCCCCACTGTCTTAATTTCTTTTTGAACAAAGGGGAGAAATAGGAGAGCTAGGTTGGTTGATTTAAATGTCTCAAGATGTAGAGTCTTTCAAGGAACACATGAGAGGAACCAGGCTGAGGTAGTATTAGAAATTTTTTTTCATTTGTTAACCTTATTCACAGTGTCTCTTTGGCAGGTAGGAAAGAAATAGATTCTAGCTCCCTTGGTGCTAGAGACACCAATTACATCAATAGACGCTTCCATGATTCTCTGAGAAAAAATTAGATGTAAACTTTTAAGTTATTCCAGAGTCCTAAAAGAACCAATAAAAATTACTGAAAATTGGGCCCTTACACTGGTAACACTTGTTGTTCAATAAAACCTATGCACTATTTCCTCTACAAACTCTGGACAGTCTTGTGCCTGAGCCTGTGCTTTTACTGTTTTATTTACCTAGAAGATTCTCCTTAAATCTACTTCACTTTTCATGACTGTACACAAATGGTACTTCCTAGAAGAATCCTTTCCTGCTCTCATTACATTCCCTTAGAAATGTATATGTAGCTCTGTTATAGCATTTGTAACCATCAATCATATTAAACAAACAAGTCTATTTGAAGGCAGGGTCAATTTCTCATCCATGTTTGTATTTTTAGCCATATTACACAATACAGAACATAAAAAGGCTTATTACCTGAAGCAATGAATATCATTGTTTTCTATCACTGTTTTCTATTTTTCACTGTCATCCAAGGGACAACTGAATTGAAATTAACTGGAGTACTGTTAAAATAAAAATTCCCCGGACCCCATCTTCTATATACTCAATCAAAATTCCTGGAACCAAGCTTCAGGGATGTGCATGTTAACAAATATCTCAGACAACATAGTTTATAATTTGGGGATTGCTGACTCAGTTGATGAGAAGAGAGACATAGAGACAGAAAGAGACACAGAAAGAGAGACCAAGATCACAGTGTTCACTATTTGGGTTTAGATTAATGGAATAACCTCAGAAATGGAAAGCATTTAAAAGTCTCAAAATGCCATAAAAATGGAAATAGCTAATTAACCTTTAAAAATATCTGTAGGGAAAGGGATGAAAAAAATCATTTTTATTGTTTAGGGTGATAATGTTTTTACTGGTATTAGAAAGCAGGCAATACTTGATTGTAGGTAAACTAGTACTTAATGTACTTTCGTGTATTTTAATAAATGTTTTATAGCTACAATGTTTTATAGTTATTTTACATAAGTTAAAACATAATAAGAATTATTTAACCTAGTTATAAATATTGTCTACTTTGTAACCAATTTTTAAGTTGCTGAAATATAAGTAGAATCAACTTACTGTATAAACTGCACCTTCAGCTGCTTCTAAGAGGTAAACCTGAGGGAATTCAAAACCAATGTAACTGTAACTTGAAGCATTAATTACCTCAGGGCAAATCTCCCAAATGCTTTGTAAAGAACAAACAAGCTACACGTATGCCCTAAGCATTCTTCCTCCAGCTGCATGTATCCCCCAACAGCCTTCCTCTCAGCTTGCGATGATATGGTAAACCCCCTCCTTTCACTGCTCCTGCTCAGGCTTCAGGGCTGTGGTGTCCAGCTCACAACCACAGTAAGTTCTCCCTAGTTCTTAATCTAGTTACATAGTAAAATTATCTGATGGAACTTTTATAATCATTCCAATTCTTGGGCTCCACTCTCAGAAGTTCTGACTTAACATTCTGAAGTGGAGCAGTACGCAGTTTTTCACTATTTGTTAAGTTCTTGAAAATGATCATAAAGTGTAGCCATGAATGAGAAACAGCAGAAAATAAATTTTAATGTGGAGAATAATATGCAAGAATATATAAGCTTTAGGTTTCTTTATATATCAAACTTTTTTTTTCCAGTTTTGAGCTGTAAATCACAACAGTCTCCAATATACTCTAATATCCTCTTATCGGAGAACAAGAGATTAATATACTATGTTTGATTAATCTATATAATAGTTGTTCTTTATAAACAAAAGAAGGAAAATTTCCCATTTTATTCTAAAATATCTGCTTTTGTATGCTATTATGCATAAGAACACTAAGTATTTGTATCTTTGTTCACGGTTTGGGAAAAAGGAGATCTCTTTCTTTGGAAGAGCTTCTACAGATTATGAATCTTAGATAATATATCATAAAGATTTCTGATTGGTGACAATAAGAGCTTTCTTTCTTAGGTCTTAGATCAATTGAGTGAACCAAGAGAACCTGAAGATGAATTCCTAACCTACCTGCAAACTGTACTCAATATTTTGTACATGATGAATCTTTAATATTTTGATTGATGTCGTAGACTGACAACCCAATGAAATGCTTTGTCTAGTCTTTCATTTTTTACCTTAGGCTCTCAGGCAAATTTGAAAGCTGGAAGCTAACTTGGAGTTGTTATTACAAGGCTCCCTTCTCTTTTGGAATAGTTATTGACTCAATAAGCAACATAACATGGAGGGTTAATTGCTTGTCAAATTCCATGACTATTTTGTAACCTTACTTTGTAATACGTCTCTGGTTTGCCCTCATCTCTGTTGATAACCAATTCCAGACTCACGGTTGCGCCTTGAAATCCAGCTTAGATTACCATCCCCTTCTCAACTATTAAAATTGTAGCAAATTGAAGCACCTTTCAGGACCAGCAAGGTGCTTAAGAAATTGTTTTTATTTATTTATTTTTTGAAAACCCCTAAAAGTAGCATTTTCTTATTCTCAAGAAACAATAAGTAAGAATTATCACTAACAACAATACCAGCTTTTTGGCATTATTCTTCTGTTTGGACACTGCAACTAAATTTTAGGTGATAATCAGAGTTGTAGCCTCCATCTCTTTTGTGGTTGCACTGTATAAATTTGACAAAGCCAAGAAAACTATGCAGCTTTTCAAGAAAAAAAAAAGAAGAAAAAGAAAAGTGAGATAGCTAGTATATCCAGTAGATAGTTAGGATAAAGCTCATGAATACAGGTAAATTATTTCTATTATTATAATTACTGGGATAGATAAACATCATTCTGTATAAATGATGTGAAGCCATATATCAGACTAGATAATATGAAAACTGTTCCAATTATATATATATATACACATACATACATACACACTTATACGTATATACACATATAATATATGCCAAATATATTATATGTGTATATATATGCCAAATATATATATATATATATATATATATATATATATATATTTGGCATATATTATGCCAACCTTATTTAAATATAAATATAATATATAAATATATAAATATAAGTATAAATATATATATATATATATTTGGAATATATTATGCCAACCTTATTTAAAATGTTACCAAAATGTTAGTTTTAATGTTGCCAAAACCCTAAGGGACAAATATGAGGAAACTGAGAAGCTTCTGTAGTTATTGTTAGGGTGGTTGGGTAATGTGTAGATAAGTTTTAAACAGCATATGAGACATCAGGCTCAAGAAAATGGAAGTAGAAATGAGATTACTGCATGAAGTTAAGACCCATATAGAGTGAACATTTCTGAGAAAAGGAGAAGGTGAATAAAATATCTTCCTACGTATTTGTTGGTCTTATTCTTGGATATTGTTGGGACAAAAGTTGTCTTCCTTGATATTCACATTCCCAGGCCTTCTTTATCTCTGTCTTAGTTGGATTCCTGTTTATATTTCCTGCATAGACTGAGAAATCCACACCCCCCCAGCTGCCAAAAAATAACATAAAAAATGTAGTGATATTAGTAATACTCCTGGAGATCTCTATAGAAACAAAGCTAAGATACATCTGGAGACATATATATTTTAATATACATTTCATAAGATTCCCATAGACAAAGCCCAACCAATCAACAACTCACAACCCAAAACTACAAAATACATGAAGAACCATTCCACCATGAGAAGAGTCAGGGTACCTGCATGTACACATACTTATGTACATACATTTCCTCACCCCACCCCACCAGGATTAAACTCAAAGGAAATTCAATTAACATAATTATTCAACAGAAACTTTAAAATAAGAAAATAAAAAATTATTAGCATTATTTTGACTAAGAAATTTAAATGTGAGAAAGAAAGACTATATATAGATATAAATCAGAAATATTGGGGAAAAATAGAACTTCTAGAATTAGAAATTCTCATCAAAATTTAAATTTAAGTAAATCAATTTAAAAAGTAGCTACTCAAGGAGATATCATAAAAAGGTGAAAGCCAACTTAAATTTAAAAAAATACAGGATATGGATGAAAGTTCTCAAAAGCGATAGATATAAAGAAAAATCACTCACAACCTCTGGAAATGAAAGACACACTTAGAAAAATGCAAACTGCACTGGAAAGTTTAAAAAATAGACCAGAACAAGTAGGAAAAACAACTTCAGAGTTCAGAAACAAGGCTTTCAAATCAACCCAATAAGACAAAGACAAAGAAAATAAATTTTAAAAAGTAAACAAACCATCCAAGAAAACTGGGATTATGTTAAATCACTAAAACTAAGAATAAATGGTGCTCTGAGGAAGAAGAGAAATCTAAAAGTTTGTAAAACTTATTTGAGGGAATAATTGAGGAAAACTTCCCTGGCCTTGCTAGAGATTTAGACATCCAAATAAAAGAAGCTCAAAGAACGGCTGGGAAATTCATTGCTAATAGATCATCATCTAGACATATGGTCATCAGGTTATCTAAAATCAAGATGAAGGAAACAATCTTAGGAGCTGTGAGACAAAAGATTCAGGTAACTTATACAAGAAAACCTTTAGATTAACAGCAGATTTCTCAGCAGAAATCTTACGAGCCAGAAGGGATTGGGGTCCTATCTTTAGCCTCCTGAAACAAAAAAAATTGTCAGCCAAGAATTTTGTATCTAGCAAACTAAACTTAATAAATGAAGGAGAGATAAAACTTTTTTCAGACAAACAAATGCTGAGAAAATTTGCCACTACTAAGCCAGCACTACAAGAAATGCTAAAAGGAGCTCTAAATCCTGAAACAAAACATCAAAATAGATCAAAATAGAACCTCCTTAAAACATAAATCTCACAGGGTCTATAAAACAATACACACAAAAACCAAGATATTTAGGCAGCATTTGGCATGATAATAGAACAGTACTTCACATCTCAATACTAACACTGAAGGTAAATGGCCTAAATGCTCCATTTAAAAGATACAGAATGGCAGAATGGCTAAAAATCCACCAAACAATTATCTGCTGTCTTCAAGAAACTTACCTAACACATCAGGACTCACATAAATTTAAGGTAAAGGGGTGGAAAAAGATATTCCACACAAATAGAAACCAAAAGTGAGTAGGAGTAGCTATTCTTATATGAGACAGACAGACTTTAAAGCAATGACAGAAAAGACAAAGAAGGAAATTATATAATGATAAAAAAAAGTAATTCAAATGGAAAATATCACAATCCTAAATATATATGCACCTAACACTGGAGCTCCCAAATTTATAAAACAATTACTGCTAGACCTAAGAAATGAGATAGATGGCAACCCAATTATAGTGGGGGACTTCACTGATAGCACAGACAGGTAATCAAAACAGAAAGTCAATGAAGACACACTGGATTTAAACTATACCCTAGAACAAATGGACTTAACAGATATTTACAGAACATTCTATCCAACAACTGCAAGATATACATTTTCTTTTTAAGCACATGGAACATTCTCCAAGATTGACCATATGATAAGCCACAAACAAGCCATTAAAAACAAAATTGTTTTTGATAAAAACAATTATATCAAGTACTCTCTCAGACTACAGTAGAACAAAATTGGAAATCAGCTCCAAAAGGAACCCCAAAACAAGAAATACATAACAGCAGGTTATGGTAACATAACAGCAGATTATACATAAATAATCTGCTCTCGAATGATCTTTGGGTCAACACTGAAATCAAGATGGAAATTTAAAAATTATTTGAACTGAATGATAACAGTGACACAAATTATCAAAACCTTTGAAATACAGCAAAAGGAGTGCTCAGAGGAAAGTTCATAGCATTAATTGCCTACATCAAAAAGTCTGAAAGAGCATAATTAGACAATCTAAGGTCATATCCCATGGAATTAGAGAAACAAGAATAAACCAAAAACAAACCCAGCAGAAAAGAAATAATAAAGATCAGAGCAGAACTAAATGAAATTGAAACAAAAAAATACAAGACAAATGAAACATAAAACTGTTTATTTGAAAAAATAATCAAAAGTGATCGAACATTAGTGAGATTAACCAAGAAAAAAAGGGAGAAGATCCAAATAGTCTCAATGAGAAACAAAATGGGAGCTATTACAACCAATACCACAGAAATACAAAAGATCATTCAAGGCTACTGTGAACGCCTTTACATGCACAAACTAGAAAATCTAGAGGAGATGGATAAATTCCTGGAAATATACAACCCTCCTAGATTAAATCAGGAAGAAATAGAAACTATGAACAGACCTATAACAAGTAGTGAGGTTGGAACTGTAATTTAAAAATTGTCAACAACAAAAAAAACCAGGACCAGATTGATTCACAAATGAATTCTATCAGATATTCAAAGAAGAACTGGTACCAATCTTACTGAAGCTATTCTAAAAGACAGAGAAAGGGAATCCAGTCTAATTCATTATATGAAGCAAGTCAATCTAATATAATACCACAATCAGGAAAGAACATACCAAAAAAAGAAAACTACAGACTAATATCCTTGATGAACACAGATGCAAAAATCCTCAACCAGCTATTAGCTAACCAAATCCAATAGCATATCAAAAAGATAATACACCACGATCAAGTGGATTTCACACCAGGGATGCAGGGATGGCTTAATATTCACAAGTCAATAATTGTGATACATCACATAAACAGAATTAAAAACAGAAATTGTATAATTATCTTAATAAACACAGAGAAAACATTTGAAATCTCCAGTTTTCCTTTATGATTAAAACCTTTGGCAAAATTAGCATAGAAAGGACATACCTCAAGGTAATAAAAGCCATCTAAGACAAACCCATGGCCAACATTATACTGAATGGGGAAAAGTTGAAAGCATTCTCCCTGAGAACTGGAACAAGACAAGGATTCCCACTTTCACCACTTCTATTCAACATAGTACTGAAAGTCCTAGCCACAGCAATCAGACAAGAGAAAGAAACAAAGCCATCCACATCAATAAAATGGAAGTCAAACTGTAGCTGTTTGCCAAAGATATGATTGTATACCTAGAAGTCCATAAAGAGTCATTCAAAAAGCTCCTAGAACTGACAAATAAATTCAGTAAAATTTCAGGATACAAAATCAATGTACACAAATCAGTAGCACTGCTATACACCAACAGCTACCAAGCTGAGAATCAAATCAAGAACTCAATCCCTTTTATAATAACTGCAAAAATAAATACATAATTAAAATACTTAGGAATATACCTAACCAAGGAAGTGAAAGATCTCTACACAGAAAACTACAAAACACTGCTGAAAGAAATCACAGATGACACAAACAAATGGTAACACATTCCATGCTCATGGATGGATAGAATCAATATTGTGAAAATGACCATACTGCCAAAAGCAATCTACAGATTCAATGCAATTCTCGTCAAAGTACCATCATCATTCTTCACAGAACTAGAAAAAACAATCCTAAAATTCATATGGAACCAAAAAACGGCAAAAGCCCACATAGCCAAAGTAAGACTAAGCAAAAAGAACACATCTGGAGGCTTCACATCACTTTGGTTATAGTTACCAAAATAGCATGGTACTGGTATAAAAATAGGCAAGTGGACTAATGGAACATAATAAAGAACCCAGAAATAAACCCAAACACTTACAGCCAACTGATTTTTGACACAGCAAACAAAAACATAAATTAGGGAAAGGATACCATAGTCAACAAATGGTGCTGTGATAATTGGCAAAGCACATGTAGAAGAATGAAACTCAATCCTCCTCTCTCACCTTATACAAAAATCTACTCAAGATGGATCAAAGACTTAAATCTAAGGCCTGAAACCATAAACATTCTAAATGATAACATTGGAAAAACTCTTCTAGACATTGGGTTAGGCAAAGAGTTCATGACCAAGAATCCAACAGCAAACAACAAAAACAAAAATAAATAGATGGAACTTAATTAAACTCAAAAGCTTCTGTATAGCAAAAGAAATAATCAGCAGAGTAAACAGATAACCCACAGAGTGGGAGAAAATATTCACGAACTGTGCATCCGACAAAGGACTAATATCCAGAATCTACAAAACACTCCAACAAATCAGCAAGAAAAAAAAAAAACAAATAATCCCATCAAAAAGTGGGTAAAAGACATGAATAGAAAATTATCTAAAGAAGATATACGAATGGCCGACAAACATAAAAAAAGCTCAACATCATTAACTATTAGGGTAATGCAAATTAAAACTACAATGACATAACACTTTACTCCTGCAAGAATGGCCATAATTTAAAAAATTTAAAATAATAGATATTGGCATGGATGTGGTGAAAAGAGAACACTTTTACACTGTTGGTGGGAATATAAACTAGTACAAGCACTATGGAAAACAGTACGGAGATTCCTTAAAATACTAAAAGTAGAACTACCATTTGATCCAGTCATTGACTCCTGGGTACCCACCCAGAAGAAAAGAAGTTGTTATATGTAAAAGACTTACATATGCCACATAAACAATCATCTTTATAGTAGCTCACTTCACAACTGCAAAAATATGGAACCAGTTTAAATGCCCATCAACCAACAAGTAGATAAAGAATATGTGGCATATATATATGATGGAATACTATTCAGTCATAAAAAGGAATGAAATAATGGCATTCACAGTATCCTGGATGGAGCTGGAGACCATTATTCTAAGTGAAGTAACTCAGAAATGGAAAATCAAATGTTGTATGTTCTCACTTATAAGTGAGAGCTAAGTTATTAGGACTCAGAGGCATAAGAATGATATAATGGACATTGGGGACACAACAGGAATGATGGGATGGAGGTGAGAGATAAAAGGCTACACATTGGGTTCAATCACTGGTCAGGTGATGCGTGCACCAAAATCTCAGAAATCACTACTAAAGAACTTATCTGTGTAAACAAAAACCACCTGTTCCCTGAAAACTACTGAAATAAAATAGAAGAAAATTTAAAAGCAGATTTCAAATAACTTATAATTCTCTATATGAGACCTGATATATATAAACTGGAATTTCAGAAGGAAAAGAATGGAGGACAATAGTAATTGAAGTGATGATGTAGGAGGGCTTCCCAGAATTAATGAAAAACATAATTCTCACATCAACTAATGAAAAACATTGTCTCACATATGAACACAAGCTAATCTGAAGAAGATCAGATAAAACCATATCTAGACCTAAACGTGTTTGTGTGCAACTTCAGAATGCAAAGACAACAAATAACCTATAAAAATAACATACTAATGAAAAATCATAGGAGTGAAGGCAGTACTCCCCAAAGCAACAATATAAAGGGAAGACACATTTTGCATTTGGCATCACAAATAATTGTAGGCTTAGTGTAAAATAAGTCTTCCCAATGAAGATGTACTAAGTAGCTATATATTAAGTCAATAAGACATTTAAGAAATGCTTTTTGTCCAGTATATTCCCGAGGCAAGGAAAGTGCATTGATTCAGAGCTAAAATGATTATAGAATATCAACTTTAAAGCTCCTTAAAGGTAGAAACTCTCTCATTCTTGACTAAATACTGAGAATGTTACACACGGCCTGGATCTGGGGTTAGGGTAGTGGTGGTGATCAGTAAATATTTGTTGAGTAAATGAATATATGAATGGATACAGCATAAACTATATGAAGATACCTTACGTTAGGCATGATCTTATTAGGAAATCAACAGTACATATATTACTAAATGATCAGATAGGCTTCTCTGCATACCTTTTGTGTAAATTAATATGTAGCAATATTCTAAAAGGGAAAGCTTCCAGCTAGGTTATATATTTTAGGCTGAATGAGACAGATGAAAGACCTAATTTCCTTTTTTATTATTTTACTTTTTCATATCCCTGTACTGAACTTCAAACATAGTCAATCTTGCACAAATGAGCACTATTAAGTTCAAGTATTTCTGCTGAAATGCCATTACTAAACACCTCTGCTTTCTACAAACCTACTCAATAAATAGGAAAAAGTAGGACTGTGAAAGACCACTCAAAACCTATGGAATTTTGTAGCTAGAGCACAAATCAAAGAATAATATTCTTAATAAAATTCCTGCCACAGTTAAATTGCTGCAACCATTTGCAAGCAGCAACAATCAATTCCTGGCCGACTAAAGTCTTGCAGCTCATGCTTCCTTCTTCAAAATGTACAGGCTTGGAGATATTCACTAAAATAAAGACCAATTTCATGAAAGGTAAAAATTGAGTAGGACCGTAGATTTTTCAATCAATCATTTTTAAGTTTGGAGGGAGATAGCACTATATTTACAGCTGTGTCATCTATATTCTTTCAGATAGCCAATGAGTGCAAAGTGTAGCAATCTTTGATGCCACTACACAAGCCATTTTTCAAAATAAAGATATTGCTTTAGGATTATATTTAAGTAAGAACTTCATATATGTCCAGACTTTATCTTTAATTTTGAAAAACTTGCCCTATTCACTTAAAATATTAATTTTCTAGGAAAAAAATGTGAACAGACAGACATGACTTTTGCATTATGCTGACGTCATTTCCCTACTTACCAATTGTACATGAGCTGGCAGGGCTAAGGGGAACAGAACTCTAATTCTGCAACATAGCAGAACAGAGTGTGCTTTGGAAGGTTTTCTGAACCTTACCATGAGAACATAAGTTTTTTTCCTCTGGGAATATAGAGGTGAATGAAGCAAATGGGTCACTGCCTTCACAGAGAGTATGTTCTAGTGTGAAGAAAGCAATACTCTATCTAATCAATCTATTAATTAACATCTATTAGAAAAGTGTCAGGTGGCAACAAGTGCTCTGAAGAGAAATAACATGATAGTGACAGTTTGGCTAGAAGCTGGATAACAAGATAGGACAGATAGGAAGACTGGGGAAAATATTCTGGGTAGAGAAAAGAGTCAGTGGAAAGACAAAAATTGGGAAAGAACAGAGTTTGAGGAATTGACACAGGTCTATGCAGCTAGAATTTAGCATTCTGAGTGGGAAAGGGAGAATTGTAAAACAGGAGATCAGAGAAATTGCAAGGTCAGATTTTGTAAGGTTTAAAGCCAGGTTAAGAAGTTTGGATTTTATACACATTTGCGCCAATTACATGTTCAGTTGAAATGATTTAACTGGGGGAACTAACATAGTTTGAGCTATGGTTTGAATATATCTTTCTGGTCATGGTGAAAATAATGGACTACAGAGGCAGGTTTAAAATGAGACAGGAGGCTATTCTAGAATTTCAAGTGAACAATGACGGAGTCTGGAGTGTTATCAATGGAGATGAAAAATGTATACATTTACTATGTAGTTGCAGGTAGAGACAATGGTTGTTGCAGCTGGATTGGATTTACAGGCGAAACAGAAGAAGAAAAAATGAAATTAAGGGCAAACCTTTGGCTTGAAAAGTCAGGAAGATGATGGTGATTTTCATGAAGATTGAGGATTTAGAAAGATGTGAAACATATATTTAAATGCGCATAACATATTATAAAATAAAAGCACTTTTTAAATCAACATATACCTTATGATTTCCATGTTGTAAAAATATTTCACAAATATGCGATATGCATAGAACTGGAAGATATGCACTACAATTATCTGGACTAACACAATGCCTGAAAATAGCAGATGCTGAAATATTAGTTTAAAAATGGATATTGTTCATTCTCCCCTCTTCCTTCTTTTTAATTGCCTACTCTGATTTCCTAATAGCTACATTCTCTTTTTAATTTAAAATACATATATAGTATATTTATGATTTCTAGTATGAAAATAAAATATAGTTATTAGAGAACATCTGAAAAAATATCAAAGCTCACAGAATTAAGTAAAAACAATCCGTAGTCCCATGATTATTCAGATTGACTCACTGCTAAGGTTTGGTGTATATATTTTCAACGTAGTCACTATATGCATGTATATATCTATGTATATGAATATACATATGCACACATTTATTGAGAGTAGAAATAAGATCATAATATGCACCAAAAGAGAAAAGTAAAGAAGAAGAGAAAGAAAAGAGATAATACTTATTAAAAGCATTTAGAGGTTACTAGTTATTAATTGGAGTAAAGGCCCAACTTGTGGTATATTTGCAAGTCAGGGGCACTGATTTCCCATAGTCAAAAACAGCATACTTGAAAAATATTTACCTTCTATACTTGATATTTTGGGAAACCATTATTACATTTAGCTTCTTCAACTAATTGAACAGGCTCTACCAATGATTTTTCTGTCTACTTCTCAGCACAGTGATTTAAAAAATAAATGTCAATGAAACCTACAAACCACATTGCGGTAACTAATGATTTGAAGCACTGGAGGGCTATCAATTAAGTGAGGACTAAATTAAGCAGTATTCTAAGCATTTTTGTCAGAGATAGCATAATTGTGTATTTGCAGAATTTTTGCAATTCAAATACCAACTGTCTGGGAAAAATGAATATTATAGTCCCTTGTGACATTAAACAATTGTTTAAAATAAAAAATTATCCCTTAAGGACATAAACCCCTACAGCACAGCTGTTTGGGGATGTCTTATATGAACAAATTCATTTCTATTGTGTTTGAATTTCTGCCATCCATTTTAGTTATAATTTAATTTAATAAATTTTGTAAATGACCGAATAACTTCCAAAGCTGATCAAGAAAACAAACACATAAATGAATATACAAATACCCTATTATCCCATCTGAAACAGGGGGAAAGTTTAAAATGGAAGTTGAAGATTAGACAATATCTTAATTAATAATTACTAAGCCATTTGAATAATTTAACAGGTGCCAGACTTACATGGAGTTGATAATATTTATGTCTTCTCTTGTGGAACTAAAAACCAGTACACTCTAAAATGTATGTCTGTTTAAAAGCAAGCTTGTAGAACAAATTGGCTGTAAGCTCTTTACACGATCATTACTCCTCTTCTGACTTATTATTCTCCTGTTCTATACATAAAACATAATGTTACACTTTATGAAAGAGGGGACAATGTTAAGTGGATAATGAAAAGCAAAGATTTCCAGGTCCTGTGTATGAGTCTGTGGGCATGGGTGTGTGATATGTGGGAGTGGAGTGTGTGTGTGTTTAAACTTCTAAAAGCTGAGAGGAAAATGGTTTTCTGTAGCAAGACAAAAAGCAAGTGCAGAAAACAAAGCAAAACGACTTGTATCATTAGAATTTCAAAGGCAGAACTGAGTTAAAAGATGGCCTCCCTCTTTATTAATATCTAATTTATCATATACACTACTTTTTTGTTTCACTTATATTGAGGGATACATATTCATTTTCCTTTAGTGTGAGTTGTTCTAATTTTGGCACTTCTCATTCTTGAAATTTTTCAGCACAAATGAAAGGTTCCTCATTATGAGGTAGAATTCCTTTCTGTGTGAATGCAGCTATGATCCTATGTAAATTAACAGTAGCCGTTTTTAGCAGAATGTTGATTTCTTATCAAAAACTCTACACTATCAGTAGTAGTAAGATTCTTCGATTAACCTGTATTTTGTAATTGCACTTGCTGACCTTCTTTGGGTGACAGACCATTTAAAATTTTCAGTTAGGTGATCTGCAGGTGTAACCATATTTTAGTGCCCATTAGTGTTTTACTCCTGAGTTCATTAAACAGAAACTCATTCAAATAATTAAAGGGCTCTTCACCAATAATACACATCTTCATTTCAATGCCTATAGGAATTATCTCTGCTAGCTTCTAAAACAAATGAACAAACAATTTAAAGAAAGCCAGAAAATAATCTTCTTTAGTGACATGTATTTCATTGATAACTATGCTTCATGAAAATGACATATTTGAAATATATTTGATGTGCTGATTATATTATACTCTTGGAGTCCCAGAGAAAAGGAACTGATGTGAACGTCTATTACCATCACAATGTGACCTTCTGGTCACATACAAGCTTGCAGAATGACATGAGATGTCTCACTTCAGAAATGCCACCCATTATACTGGTTGCTATTCAGTATTAGCTATGTGTAAAAGAATAGCAGGGCTTACACACTATTGTCATTTCTCCTTTTTAGATTGTCTAAATGATTGTCATTGTGAAATGGACTATCTCAATCTAAAGCAGACTTTAATATGGGAGTCAAATATCTTACTAGTCTATGAGATTCCCCTGGCTTTACATCAGTCATGACATTCTTACGACAATCCATCTCAACATTTAAAACAGGTTTCTCCTTCTTTTTGCTTAGATCTTTCTCACCCCCAATCCAGGAATGTCTCTTCTTCCAGTCATCTTTTTAGGCTTAATTTAATTCCTCACTGGAATGCTTTCTCTGAACACACTACCCCACATTGATTTCTTCATTTTTCCAAATTCTATGACATATCCGACGGGTTTACATTGTTTACTGCCATTTTTAATTTAAAATTTAAAATACAACATCTTTATTCTGATTACATGTAATAAAAAATAAAATAATGCTTATTATTTTATTACCAAACTGTCTTTTTATCATCCCGCTTTTTAGACTTTTATGATCATACAAAGCATAAATATTAGCTTGAATTTCAGAAAAGTGCAGCTTTTGTAGATCAAAAATTGTTGGATTTTACCAACTTGATGTGGTTTCAAAATCATAGGAAATGTTGTGTTTTCCTTTATTAGCACATGATGCCCCTCCTTATATTATTTAGTGTTTTTTTTTCCTTAATCTTTCATTGCTATCCTATTTCTGGCACTCATAACCATATGCCCATTTCTCTACTTTTACATGAACGTAAGGTACCAAGGACTTCCTCCCACTGTGGCACTGCTTCACTGCTTCTAAGAAGATGTTACATTGAGAAATCTTCCTCTTTCCCATACTTCAGCCTTGTTTCACAAAAGACCATTAGAACATTCTTACTCTGAAAAGCTCTCCATCCATGATAAGATGACATGCTATTTTAAACTCTTAATATTATCATCTTTTCCTTTAATATATCATTTTTACTTAAAAACTGCATATCTATAGAAAATATAAAGCTTTTCCCATCCTCTCTTTATCTAAATTTCTTTATCTTTAGCTATATACAGCCCACAATTCAAAAAAATTTCCCTATCCTGCAGATTTTTATTCTCACTTATTTTTTCATTGGTTAGAATTCTTTGCAGAATATTTTATTCAGAAGAGGTAAGTGGGTAATATATTCTGTCTCTCAACCTTGGATATGTTGAACGGTATATGCATTCTCTCCTAATTCCCAGAGTTGTAGATGAAGATTTTAATGCCAGATTATCTTTCCTTTACACATAATTTATTTCTGCCAAGAGCCTTGAAAAAGATGACTTTATCCTAAACTCAAAAATTTAACTAGCATCTGCTAAGCTGTGTCTTTTTAAAAATCAGTATTTCCTGTCATGCTTTCAACCTTTGGACTGAAATCTTTCTTGATATCCATTATACTTTCTTTTTATATTTGCTTAATTATTGTCTCTTTTTCATTTTATTTTAGATTCATGCATCTATTCAGTTTTAACCTTCCTGTCTACAATTTCTGTCTCTAAATTTCTGCATTGATTTGACATATTTCTACCCTTAATCTTCCTGTACACTAATTTGTTTTTCCAGAGTGATCATCTGCTTCTATACTTGCTATAAATTCTATAAATCGAAAGCCACGTTTTTAGTTCCAGAGAGTCTTTTTTTATAGTTTCATTGATACTTTTAGGATGCTTTTTGGCTGTTGTGGTTAGGGTCTCTGTTAGGGGTGTCTTCACGATGCTCCTGAAGTTCTGTTTCACCAGGTTTAAACTCTTCTGAGTGCCCGTCTAGTATTCCTCTCTCTGGCTGTTGGCTACAGGAGGTGAATATTCTGTTGCTTTTTGCTCTTAGTTTTGCTTTCTCTTGGAATCCAGGTTCACCTGTTCTTTCTTGGTAGCAATACCTGAATTGGTGAGAAGTCATTAAGTCATTTGTCACTTATTGGATATCAGTAGGAAGCCCCTCTGTCCCTAGAATTGATCATTTTAAAGGCTAGTGATCTCTCAGGACCAGATGTAGGGAAGAGTTAGCTGACTTATTCAGGATGTGCCAGCCTGATATGCAGGCTTTCCCTGGCCCACAGAGAATTAACTTCTGAATCTGTTCAGGTTTGGTCAAGACTTGTGATGGTTAATTTTATGGGTCAACTTGGCTGAACCCGAGTGCTAAAATGTATGCTCAAACATTATTATGGATGTTTTTGTGAAAGAGTTCCTTTCGATGAGATTGACATTTAAATTGGTGGACTTTGGGTAAAGCAAATTACTCCCCACCTGCTTTAATGTGGGTGGGCTTTATTTAAGCAGTCGAAGGCTTTAATAAGACAAAGACTAACCTCCCTATGCAAAAAGGAATTCTGCCACCAAACTACCTGTAAACTCAAGCTGTAACTCTTCCCTGGGTCTCCTGCCTGCCAACCTCCACCATCAGATTTTGGACTTAACCAAACCCTCACAATCATGTAAGCCAATTTCTTACAATAAATCTCTCCATATACATATATACACATCCTGTTGATTTTATTTTTTTTGGACAACCCTGACTAATACAAGCTTTAGTCACATCATCCTGGGCCCAATGTGTCTGTATTTAAAAAGAGGTACTAGGTATTCAGAATAATCAGAAGGCAATAAAAATTGACTAAGTTGTGCAGTGTGCTCCAGGTGTCTGATATGTTTATTGATCCCTTCTGAATAATGACCAACAGTGATTCATAAAATAAAACTTGCTCTGTTTTTTATCAAGGTCCCATTTTCCTCTGGCCAAAGTTTTTTAACCATGGCTGTATCAGTCTGTTCTCATGCTACTATGAGGAAATACCTGAGACTGGGTAATTTATAAAGGAAGGAAGTTTAATTGACTCATAATTCTGCAGTGCTGGGGAGACTTCAGGAAACTTACAATCATGGTGGAAGGGGAAGCAAACATGTCCTTCTGCACGTGGTGGCAAGGAGAGAGAAGAATGACAACTGAGTGAAGGGGGAAGCCTCTTACAAACCATCAGATCTTATGGGGTCCCTCCCACAACATGTGGGGATTATAGGAATTAAAATTCAAGATGAGATTTGGGTGGGAGCACAGCAAAACCATATCATTATGCTCCTGGCCCCAACCAAATCTCATGTCCTCACATTTTAAAACACAATCGTGCCTTTTCAACAGTCCCCCAAAGTCAACTCATTCTAGCATTATCCCAAAAGTCCAAGTCCAAGGTTTCATCTGAGTCAAGGCAAGTCCCTTCTGCCTATGAGCCTACAAAATGAAAAGCAAGTTAATTACTTCCTAGATACAATGGGGATACAGCCATTGGGGAAATACCCCCACTCCAAATGGGAGAAATTGGCCAAAACAGAGGGGCCACAGGCCTCCATGACTCACATGGAGTCACACTGATGTAAGGTCATACTGATGCAGGAGTGGGCTCCCACAGCCTTTAGCAGCTCCCACAGCCTTGGGCTGTACCCTACGGCTTTGCAGGGTACAGCTCCCCTCCTCAGTGCTTTCACAGGTTGGTGTTGAGTACCTGTGGGTTTTCCAGGTGCATGGTGCAAAGCTGTCAGTGGATCTGCCATTCTAGGGTCTGGAGGATGGTGGCCCTCTTCTCACAGCTCCACTAGGCAGTGCCCTAGTGGGGACTCTGTGTGGGGGCTCCAACCCTACATTTCCCTTCTGCACAGCCCTAGCATAGGATCTCCCTGAGGGGTCCACCCATGCTGCAAACTTCTGCCTGGATGTCCAGGTGTTTCCATACATCCTATGAAATCTAGGTGAAGGTTTCCAAACCTCAATTCTTGTCTTCTGAGAATCCACAGGACCTACACGACCTGGAAGCTGGCAAGGCTTGGGGCTTGCACCCTCTGAAGCAATGGCCCCCATTGTATCTTGGCCCCTTTTAGCTATGGCTGGAGCTAAGACAGCTGGGACATAGGGCACCATATCCTGAGACTGCACAGAGCAGGGGGGCCCTGAGCCTGGTCCAGGGAAGCACTTTTTCCTCCTAGGCCTCCAGGTTTGTGATGGGAGGGGTTGCCGTGAAGGTCTCTGACATGCCCTAGAGATATTTTCCCCATTGTCTTGGTGATTAACATTCAGCTCCTTGTTACTTATGCAATTTTCTGCAGCAGGCTTGAATATCTCTCCAGAAAATGGGTTTTTCTTTTCTATCACATCATCAGGCTGCAAATTTTCAAACTTGAATGCTCTGCTTCCTCTTGAATGCTTGGCCACTTATAAATTTCTTCTGCCAGATACCCTAAATCATCTCTCTCAAGTTCAAAGTTTCATAGATCTCTAGGGCAAGGGCCAAATGCTGCCAGTATCTTTGCATAGCAAGAGTGACCTTACTCCAGTTCCTGACAAGTTCCTCATCTCCATATGAGACCATCTCAGCCTGGACTTCATTGTTCATATCACTATAACATTTTGGTCAAAGCCATTCAACAAGCTTCTAGGAAGTTCCAAACTTTCCCACATTCTCCTGTCCTCTTCTGAGCCCTCCAAACTGTTCCAACCTCTGCCTATTACCCAGTTCCAAAGTCACTTTCACATTTTCAGGTATCTTTACAGCAGCTCCCCACTCTCTGCAGTACCCAATTTACTGTATTAGTTTGTTCTCATGTTGCTATGAAGAAATACCTGAGACTGGGTAATTTACAAAGGAAATAGGTTTAATTGACTCACAGTTCCACAGGGGTAGGGAGGCCTCAGAAAACTTATAATCATTTTGGAAGGCAAGCAAACACATCCTTCTTCACATAGTGGCAGGAAAGAGAAGAATGAGAACCAAGTGAAGGGGGAAGCACCTTATAAAACCATCAGATCTCGTGAAAACTTACTCATTATCACAAGAATAGCATGGGGGAACCACCCCCATGATTCAATTACCTCCCACCGGATCCCTCTCAGGACCCTTGGGAATTATGGGAACTACAATTCAAGATGAGCTTTGGGTGGGGACACAGCCAAACCATATCAGTGGCTTACTATTAGAACCAAATGGGATTGACTAATAGCAATCTGTTCTGCTGCTTTCCAGGGAGCCTGGCATGAGGACTTTACCTCCCTGTGATAAATGAAACCTACTGGTGACTGTTCTAGACAGTCATATGCTCACATCTAGGGTCTTTTTTGCCTAGGGACACAATGAGTGTTAGTCATTAGGAAAAGGGAGAACAGAAGCAGTAGAAACATTCTAAGACAGAAAAAAGCTAGCTTCATACTAGACAGAGCTCTGCTAAGGGGTGGTCCCTTGCTGTGCATCTACAAAGCTGCTATGAGGTTACTAATGCAACTTTCAATTCCTAAAGTATTGAAAAGTTGCTAATGAAAGTATTTTCTGCTTTTCGGTACTTTCATGATCATGTTAAAATAAATTTTCATTAGCTAACTGAGGTAATCTGACTGTGTATTCATTCCTTTCAATATTCAGCAAGTAACACATTGTTACTGTTTAAAAAATTTGAAGGCATCTTTAAACAGTTTGAAAACCTTATGAGGACTGTCTATTTCATTTTAAAAGTACTACATTTTTCTTTGTCAAATATATTTTGTTCTTTGTAAAAAAAGACTACAAATTTCTTTCATAAAAAGAAATAGCATTTCTTTTTCAGTAGTTAAAAGTGGTATTTTTCACACAGTCATGTATGAACTTGAAAAAAATTTCAATAAGCATTTATTACTTTAATAATACTTTTACAATATCATGATTTTGATTAAAAATAAAACTAAATACAATTTAAATTACTAAAGAGGAATTTATGCATGACTACTTATTTTAACCTAAGTGTATGTTGAAAAAGGGAGAAAAAGAAGAATCATCTGTATCTACTGGGGTGGGGTGGAGGGTCCTAGCTTGAGTCTGTTTATCCCTACTGGTGAGACTTAACTCATCTAATGAACCAGCCTAAAGGCATCTGCTGGTTTAAATTTATATTCCTGAGAGTTTCACAGCTTTGTATTGTTCCCAGGCAACTAGTGGATTAGAGAAAGCAAGATGTAGAAGCCCATTTGTGTCTATTGGACATTGGTTTCCAGTCTGATTTAAGAATCTTACAGTTGAGTTCTTTTAAGAGAATGACTGTTGGAAGGAGCTGTTTTGTATGAGGCTCTCTGTGTGAGAAAGAACTGCAAGCTTTGTATCAGTTGTATTAGTGCCTTAATGATGAAGTACAACACAAGGTAGAGGAGAGAGGCATTCTCCCACGTCTCTAAGAAACCATCAAGTATTTCAGAAGGCTGTGAAAAATAGGGGATAATGCTTTAGGGACATGATGATATGTGGCTTCAGGAGCCCCTAGGGTCCCAGAGCTTGTGGTAGAGAGATGCTGAATTTGGGTGGCTGTCAAACATCAATTGTCAGTGCAGCAGCCAGAGTAAAATAATACTGACATTAGTATTTAGAGAACTTGTATGTGACTTCCAAGGGGCTCAGAAGTATGGTAAGACTTTATAGAGAAGAGACTAGAGGGCCTGTATGTGGTGGAGAGCAGAAGTCACATTAATTGAATCATCACTGTTGATATGGTCTCATTACATCCATAGATGGGTGAGGCACAGGGAAATTCGGATCACATGTGTTATAAATGTTAACCTGAATTAGTGAAAATACTGAAAGTGGGAAAAGTCAATAAGAAGATAAGAAGAAAGCAGTATATAAAAACAGGGTTACCCCAGAACTCATTAAAGTTACAGTACTGGCATTAATTTGACTGTGTGTGTATGTAAATGATAAATTTTATATTTATATATATATACATATATATATATATAAATCGCCTGGCTTCATATATATGTAACTTAAAACACGACTTTTCTGAATTTGTTCTCATGTTAAAATAGGATTAATATTTGACCATTTACGCCTCATAGAGTTTTTGTGAGAAACATGAAAGCAGTATGTAAAGAAAGTAAAAGATTTGCTGTAATCCATACTAAATTTTTGTTGTAAGTGTGACGCTGATATCCCAAGTTTGGATAATGCATTGAATGCCTCTGGTTAGATTATAAAAATATTTGTGATGTATTTGTCAGAAGGTTTATAAAGTATTTTATTAAGCTGCATACATTTATTTCTATTATAAAACAATCACTAAAATTAAATATCAATCCAATAATGTCTTTGTTTGTAAACTTTTGCCACAATTTCAAAAGTTATTCTTTAATGATTACTATTTCTTTAAACAAAAAAATTCTATGCATAAATGGATCCTACTCATAATATTGGTATCCCAATGATTATCTATGACCAAATACTATTAGATTGCTATCTAGGTAAATGTCTATTAAATTAATCTAGTCATTCTAGTCCAATAATAAAATTGGATCCCTAAGGCTCAGTTGGTCATCCTGGAAATGTAAATCATTATCGAACGAAACGCCTAGTAACGCTAATTCTATTGTGCTCTCCTGGTCATTTCACATCAGTACACCATTGTATTAAATTCTTTATCCATTAAATCTTATTTTCTCATCTTATTATAGTATCTATGTTTCATAAACAATGCAAGTCTATTATTCATACTTTTTGGCAGATAAATTTTCCTTTAAATTAGTATGATCTCAGTTCTGAGTTTCTAGCTTTCCAGAGGATGCTCTATGTTATATTTTTGTGATTGCAGAGTCTCAGAAGGAACAGTTGTTTTTTGTCTGGCATGAAAGCTGCTCAAAACCCACTGCTACTCAGGCAAAGAGCATCAAGTCAAACTGGCATTGTGGTTCTGAAGTCAGTCTCTGGAAAGTGTTGCCATCAGGCTCCAGAGCTGGCACTTTTCCTTCTCTAGTGGGTAAACACACACATTTCCTCTACAGCACTCATTAGGTAATGGAGCCAAGAAGGCCCATAACTCATCACTGACAAATTTGTGCCAGATCTTGGATATGAATTTTGGAGGATGTTCAAGTACTCACTTGGATCTCTATAAAGTTATGTCTAAACTGCAATGCTTTGCTTTAATGATAATCTGGGCTTGAATGAATCACAGTCCCTCAAATCATGGGAGACTCTCTGTAAATACAGCATTAACATGTTGCAAAACTTTGTTAATGTCATAATGGTGACATCATAGTCCCTGTCATCAAAAATTTGTTCTCTAATTTTAGTTCTTACTCTTCTTCTGAGAACGTGTTGATATACATGCTACATTAGTATGTAAACTGTAACTCTAAATGTAAGGATGACTTTAACTCCTCCCATCAAGTCTATGGCAACAGTGGCAAATCTAACTTCATGGAATTTCAAGAGCAGAGCTACTATTAGCAGAAAGATTAGCATTTGAGCTGAGGTAAAAACATTAGGTACGGTAGGTATTAGAGTTTTCTGTGTGGCAAATTGGTAGAAAATACAAATTTACATTTTGGCCTCATTTAGCAGCTATGCAGGAACGAGTTAAACTAGGAAAAATAAAATTGGGCAAAAGACCTGAGGAAAATGAATGGTAGACATAAAATCAATTTAATCTTAGTGTACTCAATAATTTGTATTCCAATCCCTTGCTCTACTAGATGCTTCTGATCTTTTTCGTCTTGATTCTTGCCAGATACCGTGTTCCTTCAGCAGAAAATTTTCTTGTTTCTTCATGATCAAGGCTTATAATCTACACATATGACTCCTCACAAATGTGGGGCATTTACAGCTAGAAACAATTTGATAGTAATCACAACTACTAACACATGAAAGGGATTTTTGCAAAAGCATAAATACAATACTAAGAGGAAAAAAGATTTGGGGGAGAAGCTCCCAAAATGTTTCTCTTGTAATATAAATCCAGAAGCAAAGCGAAATAGCTCTACTTGAAATATGTTTATATAGACCCCCTTGTGAAAAATTTTTGAGATTGTGTATCCATTGAATAGATTTGATGGCATGAGAAAACATATGCTAGTTGCTTCAAGTTATAGTCATATAGGCACAGCAATCAGGGTTATGTGATGATATAAATATCCTTCATATTCTATATGCAAGACAAACACTAAAGCCCAGGAAGTTTAATTAACAAATAAATCTGTGATAGTTGCTATTATTCAACCACATTTTAACTACTGGGAAAAATAATCTTATGCATACTTGCCCATAGGAAGTTGATATTTCTAAAGAGAGATATTATGAGTTTTGCAACAAATAGTTAAATTGAATTCTGTTTAAAAGCTGGCATTATTTATATCTTTTAATATAAACTGATTGCAGTTTAATAAATCTCCTGAGATATTTCTACACTGCTGTTTTTATTTTAAGATTGAAGGGATTTTTCCTCTAGATAATTGTCATTCAATTTAGTCTCAGCCTAAGTTGTGTTCTAATTTTAGACAGCTAAATGATACATCTCAACAGAATGCTCACAATCTCTTTTCATTTCCATTTTACATTTTCATTATTATGCAATGAGTGACAAAGGAAATATTTCATTAAAAGTTAATTTTAACCTTATGAATAATAATGAATATTGTTTTGGTAATACCTCCCAAAGCTGACCACTTCCCAACAAATCTCATTATGATATCTATTGAGAGCACATGCTAGATGTTTAAATTATAGTGAACTATTAACAATAAATAATGTGACATTGTGGATAGTAATAAAAAGGGTGCCAGATAATATTTTTAAGAGACATGAGGCTTCAATAAAAGATGACCAGAAACCCATTGTAGCCATAGCAATGGTTGCTATTTTTACTTTCTGAAGGCAATATAGTCAGTCTCACCCAAATGGTGCACATTTCTGCTTCTCATTCTGTTTAGTTCACAATCTTGTTCAATTAGGGAGAATAAAGACATTTAGGAGCAAAACAGGTCCCTGATCAGCACTAAAGTGAGATGTTGTTTAAAGGAACTTAGGAAAGCCTACCGTTAATCATTTAAAGCATGGTAAATTCCCACTTCTCGAATGGGGTTTCAATGCATATCCTTTAAATGTTCATCTACGGCAATTTGCAGTAATTAGTAAAACCGCTTAGTGACTTTAATCATGAGATTAAAGAAGAAATGAGAAGCAATCTCCAAAAGAGGAAACCAGCAAGCATGTTGTGGCAGGTTCTCAGGATACTTTCCTAATGTAGGAGTGCCGTTATTCCAAAAGCCCAGTTCAAATGATTCAAGACCATCTTGTGACTTAGAGCCCTTGGACAATTGGTTATATTTCATGAAATCATATATTTTAACTCATTGAACGTAAATACATGTGTGTAAATATAGATAGGAAGATATTGCTAGAAAGAAAACTTAAGCAGAGTAAAAGGACAGAGAGTGAATAAAAGTAATTACATCCACATATGATAATATGGTGATTGGCAGGCCTTTCTAAACTGGGGACATATGATCTGGTGACCTTAAGGAAGGGGAGAGTAGGTTTGTGAAGATATGTATGAGAAGTGCTCAAAGTAGCAAGAGCAGCAAGTGAAAAATTGCTGGAACATGTTTAGTATATTTGTGGAAGAACAAGGAGGCTATTGTGGCCAGTGGAGAAACTGAACACCAATCAGTAAGAGTTGAGGTCAGAGACATGGGTCAGGTGTAGATCATGTTGGGCCTTATGGGTAGTGGAATAAAGTTGGATTTATTTTTGAATATGATTAACAGCCTTTGAAGGCATTTGAGCAGAGGAGTGAAATGATCTGATTATATATGTTCAGATGATCCTTCTGGCTTTTATTTGAAGAGCTCTGGAGCAAGATCAGTTAAGAGACTTATTGAAATAGTTTAGGCAGGAGACATTGGTGGTTTGCATCAGAATGGCCGCAGTGCCAATAAACAGCGAGGGCACCTCCTACAATGCCTTATGCTTTTCAAGAACCACTATAGTTATTTTTTTTCTAAAATTTCCTTCCAGAGCTATAGTATTTGGCATTTAAAAGTATTTCTTGAATTAGTAAATGAATAAAATGACAGAAGACTCAATAAAACCTTGGATATTCAAACCTACCATTATGACTATTTAAGACAAATTGAAGTAGCAAAAAGACATAATTTCATAGAATTCCTGAGGCTTATAGTGGAATACATACATTGATTAGATGAGAGTATAATCTGTTTCAACAAAATAGATCATATAGAACAGTTGAAACCAGCTTTTTAAAAACGTTGAGTTCACTCATATTTTAATCCAAAAACAAGTGGCAAATGCAGTGACAATATTTTGAGTTAAAATAAAAAGAAAAAATTTTAAAGTTCAAAACTAAAAACAAATGCTTTCTAGAAAACATATCAGTGATATAATGATTTCACAAAACACATACACATCTCACACACACACATACAAACACACACACACATCTCTGAATGGATTACTTAACATGTATGTTTTTACCACTTATAAAAGGAAGTTATGATAAATAGGAAAGATCATATATTTAGAAAACAGTTATCCAAGCAATTGCATTTTCCCCTTCAACTCCCAGCCCAATTTGTTAGATCTATAGTTCCATAAAATGTCATAGGCAGAGTTTACTTTTATTTCAGAAATGTATTACTTAAAAAAAAATTATACGTGGAGAAATGTCGACTAGATAGCTCTTCAGCTACTATAATTATACTCAATGTATATTGAATAATGAATCAATATCAAAATGTACATTCTCTTTTATACTGTATTAAAGGAATTTGTATTGAAATTCTTTTCATTCAACTTTTATTAATAATCTGAATGAAGATTTTAAAAATGCTAATCTATTTTGTGATAATGTACAGCTGAGAGGTGCAGCCAAACTGTTAAAAGATAAAATACAGTGTCAATAAATTCTCACAAAATATAAAACTAGTTAAATGAACTATAATGGTATTACACATAGAAAATATAAGAAAAACAATAATGTTTAAATATGACTACGTTAGTGGCTACTCATAAGAAGGAGAAATCAGAGTTAATTGGATAAAAGCATAACTCTTAACTGATGTTAGCATATGCCTTAATGCCTTAACATTTGGTTTACCTCTCTTTGGAAGCCTTCCTGGTCCTGCAATGTTGGGTTTCATACCCTTCTTCTACCAATACATTGGTTTGGCCAATGCTAACACCAAAATAATGAAGTGTAAGATTATGAAATAATAAAAACTCTGGATTTCTTTGAACATTAACAAATGTGAATAATCTTTACAGTTAGGTTTAACTCTAAGGGCACAGATGTGCCAAAAGAGAATCCTGATGCTATTCATGAGGTCCTAAGGTCTTTCAATTGCTCCTTTTACATTTTTTTTCTTAATTCAAGAAATCTCCATTTCCTCAAAGGTGGAAATAATATATTTTTCTTATTACTCACCTCTAGTATTTAACAACATGCCTTCCACTGCGTATACCACCTATTTATTAAAAACAATTATTTAAAGTAAATGAAGGGAACTAAGATGGCTACAAATGTGAGAAATCATAGAAGAGCCTCAGGGCTGAGCAAGAGCCTACCTACCAGCCTACTGGCCATTACACTTAAGCACCATCTACTGGATCACAGACCAAACTTCAATAGCAAAAATATTTTGCTAACTTACACCCTGTAAAACCAAGGACAAGAATTCAGCTACGAATAAAGACCCAGAACAAAACCTTGACCCTCTGAAAATGTTCTGAAATAAAGTAAACTGATTATAATCAAATTACACCACAGTTAAAGGAACATCAGCCCACACAGGTGAAAAAGAACCAGCACAAGAACTCTGGCAACTCAAAAAGCCAGTGTGTCTTTTTCTTTTTTCCTCCAAATGACCACAGTAAGTTTCCCAGCAAGGATTCTTAACCAGCTGAAATGACAGACATAGAATTCAGAATATGGATAGGAATGAAGGTTATGGAAATTAAGGAGGAACTCAAAACTCAATCCAAGGAATCTAAGGATGACAATAAAATGGATCAAGAACTGAAAGACAAAACTGCCATTTAAGGAAAGAATCAAACTGATCTGATAGAGCTGAAAGACACACTACAAGAATTTTATAATACAATTGCAAATAGCAGAATAGACCAAACTGTGGAAAGACTCTCAGAGCTGTAAGACTGGTCCTCTGAACTAATTTAGTCAGACAAAAGTAAATTAAAAAATGAATAAAAAATAACAAACAAAGCCTGGGCGCAGTGGCTCACGCCTGTAATCCCAGCACTTTGGGATGTTGAGGTGGGTGGATCACGAGGTCAGGAGATGGAGACCACCCTGGCTAACATGGTGAAACCCCATCTCTACTAAAAAATACAAAAAAAAAAAAATTAGCCGGGCATGATGGTGAGTGCCTGTAGTCCCTGCTACTTAGGAGGCTGAGGCAGGAGAATGGCATGAACCCAGGAGGCGGAGCTTGCAGTGAGCCGAGATCGTGCCACTGCACTCCAGCTTGGGCGACAGAGTGAGATCCCATCTCAAAAACAAACAAACAAACAAACAAAAACTTCAAAAAACATGGAATTATGTCAAGAGATGAAATCTGTAACTCACTGGTGTCCCAGAAAAAAAGGGAGAGAAAGCATGCAACTTGAAAAACATATTTGAGGATGTCATCCAGGAAAATTTCCCCAACCTCACACAAGAGTCCAACATTCAAATTCAGGAAATGCAGAGAACCCCAAGACACATACTCATTAGATTCTCCAAGGTCAACATGAAAGCAAAAATATTAAATGCAGCTAAAGAGAAGGAGCAGGTCACCTACAAGTGGAGCTCTAGCAGGCTAAAAGCAGACCTTTCAGCAGAAACCTTATAAGACAGAAGAGATTGGTCGCCTGTTTTCAGCATTCTGAACTCAACACTTGATCAAATGGACTTAACAGATATTTATAGAACTCACCTCTCAAAATCAGAAAAATACACATTCTTATCAGCACATGGCACATATCCTAAAATTAACCACACAACGCAGCATTAAGAGGAAAGTTTATAACACTAAACACCCACATAAAAAAGTTAGAAAGATCTCAAATTAACAATCTAACATCACACCTTGAGGAAATAGAAAAACAAAAGCAAACCAACCCCAAAGCTAGCAAAAGACAAGAAATAACCAAAATCGGAGCAGAACCGAATGAAATTGAGACATAAAAAAAATACAAAACATCAATGAAAGCAGAAGTTGGTTATTTGAAAGAATAAATAAGATAGACCACTAGCAAGATCAATAAAGAAAAAAAGAGAATATCCAAATAAACATTCAGAAATGACAAAGCTGACATTACAAACAATCTCACAGAAATACAAAAAATCTTCAGAGACTACTACAAAGACCTCTATGCACACAAGTTAGAAAACCTAGAAGAAACGGATAAATTTCTGGAACATACAACCTATTAAAACTGAACCAGGAATAAATTCAAATCATGAATAGACCAATAATTGATTCTGAAATGGAATAAGAAAAAAGGCTACCAACCAGGAAAAGTCCATGTCCAGATGGATTCACAGCCAAATTCGACCAGACATACAAAGAATTGGTACCATTCTTACTAAAACTATTCCAAAAAGTTGAGTAGGAGAGATTCCTCCCTAACTCATTCTATAAGACCAGCATCATCCTGATACCAAACCGACAGAGAGACACAACAAAAAAGAAAATTATAGGCTAATATCTTTGATGAACATAGATGCAAAAATCCTTAATAAAATACTAGCAAATTGAACCCAGCAGCACATCAAAATGCTAATCCATCATGATCAAGTAAGCTTTATCCTTGGGCTACAAGGTTGGTTCAACATATGCAAATCAATAAATGTGATTCATCACATAAAGAGAACTATAAATAAAAACTATATAACCATATGAATAGATTCAGAAAATGCTTTCAATAAAATTCAGCATCCCTTTATATTAAAAACCCTCAACAAACTAGGCATCTAAAGGACATACCTCAAAATAACAAGAGCCATCTGTGACAAGCCCATAACCAATATCATACAGAACAGACAAAAGCTGGAAGCATCACCCTTGAAAACTGGCACAAGATAAGTATACCCTCTCTCATCACTCCCTATTCAATATAGTACTGAAAGTCCTAGTCAGAGCAATTGGGCAAGAGAAAGAAATAAAAAGCATCTAAATAGAAAGAGAGGAAGTCAAACTATTCCTCTTTGCAGTCAATATAATTTCATAACTAGAAAACCCCATATTCTCTGCCAATGGCTCCTAGATTGTATAAACAACTTCAGCAATGTTTCAGGATACAAAATCAATGTAGAAACATTAGTAGCATTTCTATACACCAGCAACATCCAAGCTGAGAGGCAAATTAAGAATGCAGTCCTATCCACAATAGCCACAGAAAAGATAAAATACCTAGGAATAAAGCTAACCAGAGAGGTGAAAGATCTCTAAAATGAGGATTACAAAACATTGCTCAAAGAAATCAGAGATGAAATAAACAAATGGGAAAACACTCCATGCTCATGAATAGGCAGAAAGAATATTGTTAAAATGCCATACTGCCCAAATCAGTTTACAGATTCAATGCTATTTCTATTGAACTACCAATGACGTTCTTCACTAACTAAACTAAACACACAACTAAAAAAAGCTATTTTAAAATTCACATGAAACCAAAAAAGAGCCTGAATAGCCAAAGCAATCTAAGCAAAAAGAACAAAGCTGAAGGCATCACAGTATCTGACTTCAAACAATGTTACAAGCCTACAGTAATAAAAACAGCATGGTAGTAGTACAAAATAGACACATAGACCAATGGAACAGACTAGAGACCCCAGATTTAAAGCCATACACCTGAAACCACCTGATCTTTGACAAAGCTGACAAAAACAAGCATGGGGAAAGGACTCCCTATTTAATAAATGGTGCTATGGTAACTGGCTAGTCATATACAGAAGATTGAAACTAGACCACTTCCTTACATAATATAAAAAAATCAGCTCAAGATGGATTAAAGACTCAAATGTAAAACCTAAAATTATAAAATCCTTGAAGAAAACCTAGGAAATACCATTTTAGACTTAAGCTCTGGCAAATATTTCATGATGAAGACATCAAAAAAAACTGCAACAAAACCAAAAATTGACAAATGCGACTGAATCAAGCAAAAGAGCTTCTGCACAGCAAAGAAAACTATTAACACAGTAAATGGACAACACATGCGATGGGAGAAAATATTTGTAAACTATGCATCTGACAAAGATCTAATATCCAGAATCTATAAGGAACTTACACACTTTAACAAGCAAAAAGTAAACAAACCCATTAGAACGTGGGCAAAGGATATGAACACTTTTCAAATAGGCAACAAGCAAATGAAAAAAATGTTCAACATCACTCATCATTAGTGATCACTAATCACTGCTAATGGGGATGTAAATTAGTTCAGCCATTGTGGAATTTTGGAGATTACCCAAAGAACCTAAAACTGAACTGCCATTCAACCCAGTAATGCATTATTGGGTATACACCCAAAGGAATATAAGTCATTCTACCATAAAGACACATGAATGTGTATGTTCACTGCAGCACTATTCACCATAACAAAGACATGGAATCAACTTAGGTGCCAATCAATGGTAGACTGGATAAGTAAAATGTGGTAAATATACACCATGGAATACTATGTAGCCATAAAAAAGAATGAAATCATGTTTTTTGCAGCAACATGGATGGAGCTGGAGACCATTGTCCCAAGTAAACTAAAGCAGGAACAGGAAACTAAACATCACATGTTCTTATTATAAGTGAGAACTAAACGTTGAGTACACATAGACAAAGAAGGGAACAACAGACACTAAGACCTACATGAGGATGAAGGGTAGGAGGAGGTTGAGGATCAAAAAAATACCTATTGAATACTATGCTTATTATCTAGGTGATGAAACAACATGTACACCAAACCCCCACAACTTGCAATCTATAGAATCAACCTGCAAATGTATACCTAAAATTAAAAGTAAAACAAAATAAAATAAAATAACTGATATCTAAAAAATCACCAAATATTCCACAGAGGTGTAATTACCAGAACGAAACAGAAATGTAATGTAACAACATTAATGAAAACACTAACAAAGTATGTAATGAAATGCATGCTGCCTATCATGCTAATATACTTTTTTTTTTTATTTGAGACGGAGTCTTACTCTGTCGCCCAGGCTGGAGTGCAGTGGCGCATCTTGGCTCACTGCAAGCCCTGCCTCCCGGGTTCATGCCATTCTCCTGCCTCAGCCTCCCAAGTAGCTGGGACTACAGGTGCCTGCCACCATGCCTGGCTAATTTTTTTACATTTTTAGTAGAGACGGGGTTTCACCATGTTAGCCAGCATGGTCTCGATCTCCTCACCTCGTGATCCGCCTGCCTCGGCATTCCAAAGTGCTGGGATGAGCCACCACGCCTGGCAGCTAATATACTTTTATAAAGATTAGTGAGATTTCATTGGGAAGGAGTTTCTGAATTTTCTTATTTTAAAATAATTTCAGTGCTTTTTAAGTGGGCTAGACATTTCAAAACATACTGAAAGAAAAGCAAATACAATGTGAAACACTGGATCACACAGCAGTGCAATGTAGTTAAAGTAATATTCAGACGGGAATTTAGTTTCCAAAATGCTTATTCTACAATAGAAAAATGACTGAAATTAGGAGGTATAAATTTATTTTTAAGTATACCATGGAATACTATGCGGCCATAAAAATGAATGAAATAATGTCCTTTGCTGCAACATGGATACACTTAGATGTCATTATCCTAAGCAAATTAACCCAGAAACGGAAAATGAAATATTACATATTCTTACTTATAAGTGGGAGTTAACCCATTTGTGGGTTAACACTGGGCATACCTGGACAAAAAGATGGGAATAGTAGACACTGGGGACTACAGGGCAGGGGGAGTGAAGTGGGCAAGTGTTGAAAAACTACCTACTGGGCACTATGCTGAGAACTGGAGTAACAGGTTCAATCACACCCCAGGCCTCAGCATCATGCAATATACCCTCATAACAAACCTGCACACATATCCCCTGAAACAAAAATAAATGTTGAAATTTTAAAAGTAAAAAATAAAAAAGTTACTGCAAACAAAATTTTTAAAAAGTTAGAAAAAAATTAGAGAAAAATAAAATAGATGAACAGAGTCAAAAACTGGCTTTTGAAATAACTCATAAAAGTGACAAATTTTTGTCCTGGCACAATGGCTCATGCCTGTAATTCCAGCACTTTGGGAGGCCAAGGTGGGCGGATCACCAGAGGTCAGAAGGTCTAGACCATTCTGGCCAACATAGTGAAACCCTGTTCCACTAAAAATACAAAAATTAGCCGGGCATGGTGGTGCATATCTGTAGTCCAAGCTCCTCGGGAGGCTGAGGCAGGAGAATCGCCTGAACCCGGCAGGTGAAGGTTGCAGTGAGCCGAGATCACACCACTGCACTCCAGCCTGGGCAACAGAGTGAAATTCTATCTCAAACAAACAAACAAAAAAGTGACAAATTTTTGTAGAAATAGATTAAGAAAGCAAAAAGAAAAAAAAAACTAACAATATCTGAAAAAAGTAATATAAATTTAAGCATTGCAGGCATTACGAAAATCTTATGAGGACATAAGAATATGTGAATAAATTTGTATTAATAAATATAAACATTTAGATATAATGGACAAATTACTAGAAGAATACCATTAATTCCAGAAGAAATAGATAATCAACTACTACTGTAACTACATAAAACGTTAGCCAAGCAGTTAAAAATCTATGCTCCAAGAAAAGTTCAGGTCAACAGAGCTTCATCCACAAAAAAATCCATAATGATCACTAAAGAAATAATTTTAGTTTACAACAAACAATTATGAAGTATAAAAAACAGCAAGTATTAAACAGTCATTTTATGAGCTCATTATACTGTTACCAAAACTTGACAAAGACTTGATAAGAATAGAAAATTTGGGGCCAATATTAATTCATAGATAAAGATTTGAAAATGCCAAACAAAATATTAACAAATCAAATGTAGCTATTAAAAAAAGGAAGATTTAGTCTAGAATAACAAATTTGGTTTCCATTAGAAAAGCAATAGATATAATTTACCCAATAACAGATTAAAGGAGAACATTTATCTATGTTAATAAATGCAAATGAACAAAAAACTTTTAATAAAATCAGCACTCCTTCAGGTTAAAAGAAAGTCACAAACTCTCAGCAAAACAGATTCAGAAGTAACATAAGTGTATTTGTTAAAGTGCATAGTGTATTGGTATTGTGTTAATAAACATGATAAAATGTATTTACATTAGACAAATTGATCTAACAATAGACAGGCAGATAAAATCTCAAAATGAGCATTTAAATTGCTTTTGTGAGAATCATAAAATGCCAAAAGTAGCCATTATTACCAACTATTCAATGTTACACTGCAGTTCTTAGCAATTATAATAATAGGAGAAAACTAAAACTAAAATTATAGGGTCTAGAATAGAAAAAAACATTTTTAAAATCACTGTCATTACTAGCAAATATGAGTGTCTACATTTTTAAAATCCAAAATAAACTATTGGTAAATGTTTTGAATTAATGGAAAACCTTAGAACATTTTCTAAATTCATATCAGTGTTAAGAGTTATTAACATTTCTATATTACAACTACAAACAACGAGGAATTTCAGTATAATCATTATGTGAACAAAATCAATATAATATTAGTTTACTAAGATTAATACTAAACATAATCTGAGAACAAAATTACAAAGCCATCCTTAAATATAATAAATAAGTAGCAAATAAATATAATAATGTACCATAGAATAGATTATTCTATATTGGAAAATATCAGTTATCTCCTAATTTATCCATAGGCTAAATACAATTCAAAAATTCCCATTTTTTTGTGCATATCTGTGTATGTTAATGTGAAATTTAAAACCGAATACAAAATTTTAAGGAAGAGTACAATGTAAGAATGACAACAAAAAGAAGAGCAAGAATGTAGCTCTTTTTTGGTGAGCTATACCAGATAGTAATAGTTGTAATAAAGATATAGTACATTAGCTATTATGGTATTAGCACAGGGATTTTTACTCACAGAACAGGATAGAGAACCCAGAAAAAGAACACATAAATATGGAAACTTAATTTATAATAGAGTCAATAGTTCAGAGCAATGGAGGGAAAGACAAATTTCTTAATAAATGTTAATAATAATTGGTTAAGTGAATAAAAACTAAATAAATATTGGATCCCTACCTCACATTATGTAAAAATGAAGACTAGGTGGATCTAAGACCCAAATGTAAAATGTAAAATTATCAAGCTTGCTTATTTATTTATTTATTTATTTATTTATTTATTTAGAGACAGAGTCTCCAGCCCAGGCTGGATAGCTCACTGCAGCCTCGAATTCCAGGCTCAAGTGATCTTCCTGCCTCAGCTCCATGTAGTTGAGACCACAGGCACATGTCACCATGCCCGGATGAATTTTTTTTTTTTTTTTTTTGGAGAGATGAGGTCTCGCTATGTTTCCCAGGCTGCTTTCAAATTCCTGGGCTCAAGCGATCCTCCCTCTGCTGCCACCCGGTGTGCTGGGATTGCAGATGTGAGCCACTGGGCCCAGCCAAAATTATCAAGTTTTTAAAAGACAATGTAGAACATCAGTATGACCTATCTTTTAAAAATGATTGCTGGATTTGGCTACCTCAAAATTGAAAACTATTCATTAAACCATACATAAAGAGATGTTTTAAAATAATCTACAAAATGTAGGATACGTGCTTGTCACTAAATAAAACCACCAAAGGATATCATTTAAAATAAATTAAGAACACTGTGTGGAGCAAATAATTCAAAAGATGGAAACAGAAATGAATAGGACTTTTACCAAAAAGGAAGAACAAATGTCCCCATAGCATAAAAAAGATATCAACTACATTTTAATTTGCTTGCATTAATAAAATGCAAATCTAAGTGACAGTGAGAGACTATTTCATATCACCAAATTGGGGGAAAAGTCAATTTCAAATATTCACAAGGATGTACAGCAGTGAGAATTCTATCCATTATTGATTGAAATGAAATTGGTGTATCAATTTTGGCAGCTTGTCATGACCTAATAAAGTTCAACTGTGCATTCTCTAGACATACAAATCTACTATTAAATATGTACCTTAATATTGTCCCTACCCCAGAACCATGCACAAGAATACTTATAGCAGCATTATATACAACAACTAAAACTATTCAAAGGCCCACCAAGAGGACAATGTTACAGAAAATTAAAGAATAGTAAAAATGAACCAACTAACATTTCACACATTGACCTAGATAAATCTCAAAAATATTTTTGAGTGAAAGAAGAAAGTCATACAGTAAAATTAAATTTTTAGATAAAGTTCAAACACTGGCAAAACTTACCAGTATTTGATTCAGGATAAATACACTGGCAGTAAAAACTACAGAGAAAAATAAGAGAGTAAACACAAAATTAAAGTCTTAGAGGGGACACAATGGCACAAATGATCCTTTTCCTTGGCCTGTATATGAAGTACAAAGATGTTTATTTGATTTTGACTCTGTACCTGAGTGTGTGTGTACACACACGTATGTCTTAATACACTTTTATTTATGATATATTTCACTGTATAAAAATAATATTCTAGTATATAAATTTATCATATATCCTCCAGTGAATAAAAAAAATTCTACCATGTAAAAGCTTTTCAATTACACAAAGAATTTGTACTTAAAAACTTGTGATATTACCAATTTCTTTTGTGATCAATTTTCCCTTGGTCATAGCAAAGATGAAGATAGAAAAGACAAGTTTATTCAGGAGGTGGAAAGGGTGGTATGGAGCAGATATAAATGTGAAGCACTGGATTTTGTATTCAAAACTCATTTGTACAAGCAAAGGATAGGCATACCAATTCATGTAAAAGTAACTTACATGGATTAATAATTACAGTTATCATTAGTTGAGTTTCCAATATGTCCAAATAATTGGACAATTACTGTGGGTATATTTTCTTTAATCCTTAAATAAATTCTACAAAGTAGAATATCAGAAACAGAAATTGATTTGCCACAGTGCATGTATGGAAATGCTAGGATTTGAACCTAGGTGTGTCTTTCTCCTGTTGTGTCCTTGCTATTACTCCATATTTTCCAATTATTATTATTTGACAGTGGAGTATAATGGACCATGATAAGACCTGGTTCTTAATCCAGAGCTGCAAATTATTAGCTACTTGAACTTGGATAAAATTTAATAAATTTGTAGGAACTCAATTTTACTTAATTTGGGATAATTATACCTATCAGAGTTATTCTGAGGTTTAAATAAAATACATATGCAAAGCACTTAGTATAAAACATCCATTCAGTAAATTTGGGCTATTTTATTATTAACTTGTGGAAGATTCAGTTGGTAAGATTATGAAAACATTTCCAAAAAACTTCAGCATCCTGGGGTCATAAGGAGAAACAAGTGGTTGGATTAATATAGGGTTGATCAAGCAAATAGAGGAAAAAAATAAAAGTACTAGAAAAGTGAGGATGCTGGTAAGGAACTCATTTTCACGACCATTCATGGGGTCACTGCCAAGGTGGAAAGATGATAAAACCTAGAAGAAGTTGACGCTCTGAAAACAGGGAACATCTTTGGAATAAGCTGCTTTAAAAAGCTGGGGGTGGGGCGTGGGGCAGGCCTTTTTTGGAAGAAAAGGAATGCAAGAAAATAAAAAAGACTGTAATTCAGTCAGCCATACCTGATACAGAGCTACGAACATTTCACAGCCCAGAACAATTTTGTTACTAACTCTAGTTGAACAAGAGGACCTCACACCCTGGCTAAGTTATAATTCTGCTGCTGATTTTACCTTGAATGCAGTGTCTCAGGGCTGCTGAGATGTCTTTACCAAACTGTAGCTGCTCCATTTCTGTGACATCCTTATTGTGAAAATAACTTATTTGGCTGAATAAGAGAATATGGGCTTCCTATCATGAGTTACTCACTTTCACTGGATTTCTACTGATATACCCTTCTGAATTTCTGTTCACAACAGCCTAACAACCTAATTTTTCAGTCCTTCTAGAAAGACTTATTCTTTTTTGTCTTTTTTTTTTTTGAAACGGAGTCTCACTCTATCGCCCGGCTGGAGTGCAGTGGTGCGATCTCGGCTCACTGCAAGCTCCACCCCCCGGGCCATTCTCCTGCCTCAGCCTCCTGAGTAGCTGGGACTACAGGTGCCCGCCACCACACCCAGCTAATTTTTTGTATTTTTAGTAGAGATGGGGTTTCAACGCGTTAGCCAGGATGGTCTCGATCTCCTGACCTTGTGATCCGCCTGCCTCGGTCTCCCAAAGTGGAAAGACCTATTCTTTCTTGCTACTTTGTCCTTTAACTCTAGCACCAAGTCTAGAACTCTGCTACACACAGACCTACTTGATTCCGTTTAACTGCCTGATTGCTTTTCCAACTATTGCCAACCTTAGAACCCCAGCTGCTTGACCTGCTGGCTTGCTGTACGTCCCGCCAGTGTCTAGAAACATTGGTACAAATTAAATACTTTGCATTGCCAGTTAGATACACTTCAGCTCTAAGGAGTCAATCTTGCTCAAGATACATATCTACCAGGTCAAGTCTCATTGATAAATCCCAGGATACCCCTAGAAATTATGAACAAGCAGTTGGGAATATATAGTACTATATATTTCTTAAATTTTAATGACTTTTACCACAGCTAATATTAGAAAGACTATTCATTATTTGTTTTCTCTCTGAAATTTGAAGTCATTTAGGTTCTGTCCAGTATCACCTCCAATATCCCCATGAAACATACTTTACAGTGTGCAGAAGAAATGCTAATTAGAGATCCTTTACGTGACAAATGAGACACTGCTGCGAGTGAAATAGCACTTTGGCGTACACTGAGCTTCATACCTGAGCGCATAGCCTCTTTCTGAATGCTTTCATAGTCATGCCAGTCCTTTCTTCTCAAACCATCTGTCCATGAATAGAATTGCCCATCTCCCAGGCCCAGTGGAAATGTCTGTGGAAAAGGAAAGTATTCAAGCATAAAAAGGAGGTATTTCCTTTTGCATGGTAGGTAAACACAGCCGGGCACATAATAGGCAATCAAAGAATATCTGTTAAATAAGTGAATCTTCTGAGTATAATGAAAAGAAAGCTATCGCTGGTGACCAGATTTATACACATTTTAAATCTTTTTTTTAACCTTTAAAATGAGAGCACACCTCTCCTGCAACAACTATCATTCCCTATTTTATTTCATCCAGAGACGCTAATATTTAGCGTGTCACCTGTAAGCATAAATGCCTAGCTGTTTTTATTTGCCCAAAGTGTAAATATTGGTAATGCTACCAATTTTGGTGTTGCATTTAATTAATTTTGTTTTGATTGGTACAGTTTTATTTATTTTGATCAAACATATCTGAACGGCTTTGTAGTAACATTAGCAACCATTCATTGAATGCTCACTATGTGCCAGGTTCTACGTTAAATACTCTGTGTATAGAAGTTTGTTTAATCTTTATGATAGCCTCGAGTTGTAAATCCCCATTTTTCTGCCGAGTAAACTGAGGATCAAATAACTAAAATGGCTTGAGGTAAACCACAGTGGCAGAGCCAGGACTTGGACCAGTTCTGTTAAGACCAAAACTGTGCTCTTAAAAACTATTAAATACTGTCTCTCATCTAGATTTCTGGAAACATAGTGCATGTTTACACTTATAGTTGAAATTATCACCCATTCATCCACTGTAGTCACAAAATATAGTTTATGCTTTTCCAAAGTCCGATATGTTATAATGTCAACTTGAAAATTATTTCTGTGTACATTGCTGAAGCTACTTCTTTTTTATGATGTTTATTTCTGGTAATAAGAAACAATAATCATTTTGAATAAAGCTTATCTTCACAATCTTGTAGTCAAGATAATGTAAAATAAGTGTTTTCAAATTCACATGCTATTTTTTCTTTTGTTCTTTTTCAGAAATAAGTAATACATCCACTGAATGAAGAAAATAAAATTCTAGAAAGCAAAAAAAAGTCAATTTAGCCAAAAGATGAATAATTTCAGTGAGGTAATTTTATTCTAACAGCCTTTTCAAGACATAAAATGTCTTATTTCTTAGTTTTAGATAATACAGCCATTATGCTTTTGAAAAATTATCTACCTTTAGCCCATCTTCATAGCTTATAAAAGATATACTTGTTTTGAAAGGATAAAAATGGGGCATAATATTCTTTTCTTAAAAAAGGTAGTTGAAAATAAAAGAAAAGATTTTCCCAATCAGGTGACTATAATCTACACATTTCAAAGAATTTGTTGCTCATAATATTGGTGAGCTCAGAAAAAAAGAGGGACAAATATACAGATTATGGTGAGTTTATGTAAAATATCAGGAATACTGATAATTTTTAAAAGGAAGATGAAACAAAAGTTATGGAAAAGTAAATAGAAAATGACATGGTAAAAGTAAAAGAAAATGGAAAAGTACAGTTTTGGGGATATATAGCAAACATTTAAAAAAATCAAACATTTTTTTGAATTGATGATCAACTTATAATTAGAAATTTTTGAACTCAGCTATACAAAGAAAGTATTAAAGAATCAAATGAATATGAAATATGTAACCCATGTTTTGTCTCAGCCATGCTCTTACAGTGATAAGTACTGAACACTAATGAAAATCTCCTACACTGATTTAGATAACACTAATTTACAAACATAACTTTCAGATTAAAATAGATAATTTTAAAATAAATTTTGACATGAAACATGGAGGTATTCTTGTGTAAACTCCAGCGTTTAAGCTCTCTCTGAATACCAGGGACACTCTATTTTCCTTATTTTGATATATGTAATATAGCGAATTCTTAATAAGTAGTAATATAATGCAGATTGAACAAAAGTTAATTGAACACAAAAGTTAACATTTACTCTCTCCAGCAGCCAAATGAAAATGACAATAAAGCATCAGATGCATCAGGAAAGAAGATACTAGAACTCACATAAAGTTTTTGTAAATAGCTGGGAACTGCTGGGAAGGAAGTATTTTTTTATGGCACGGAATTTTCAAAATGTGTAAAAACTGGGGACACTTTATATATCTGACTGTCAGGTTAAATGTGAAAAGATAAAGATTGACCATTTTTAATAAGGGGCAGTTAGACTCTTCTGGGTTCTCTCTTCGACTCAAACAAGGGAGTGATTTCTGAGGGCCATCCACTGTACTCCCACCCATAGAAGACTGGAGCGTCAATGGTATGTTCTCAGGCCACCAGAAACAGTTAAATATAAGGTTGTCAAACTGCAGTGAAAATCAGGGTTCCATGTTAGCCTATGTTGTTAGCCTATGTATCAAACATTGTTAATGAAGTTATCTTCCCTTACTAGACCTCCAGAAAGCTGCCAGTCCACAGCTTACATCCTTACATAAGAGATGGAGGAATTCCTACCTGGAGAATTGAAATCAACTGGAAGAGATGCAGGTACTGGCTCCTAGGTGCACACCCAGTAACCATGTGGGAAATAGCCTAATTAGCAAGCCCTTCTCTACACAGAGAACTTCATATCACTATTTTCACGACTTCACTCATGAGTATGAATAGGCAGCAAAAGATTTCCAGGGATTTTGGGGAGCCTTTAACGTATAATTAAGAGACCAAAAAGAAACAAAAAGCATACCAAACTTGAAGAAAACAGAGGCAATGTAAGCTGCAGATAAAAGCTTCAAAAACTCTAAATTTAATTTTCTCAAAGAACTTTAAGAAAAGTTCCTTCGGAGATACAGATTTTTAAAAAGAAGCATTTAGAGAATCAGAGAGAGTTCCTGAAATGTAAAAATGTGATATCAGGGAGAGAAAAATTAAGACACAGTTTGGAAAATGAAGGTCAAAGGAATCCTACTGAGAAACAGAAAAACAAACAAAATTAGAGACAGAAGGAAAAAGATACAACATTGCAGAGAGGTGGCAAAATGGTAGCAAGTCCAGAGATCCTCCAGTCCAACTGTATAAGGGAAAGGAGAGAAGCTCCAGAAAGGATGTCTCTGTGGGAAAACACACACACACACAGAAACACACACACACAGACACACAGACACACACACACACACACACACAGAACTTCTTTCCTTTAAAAAAAATATTGAAATGAGAATTACAGTTCTTCCAAAGAGATTAGAATGCATTAATGATATATATTAAAAACTAAGCAAATGAAAAGTGGGCCAGTTGATAAGGCTATAAGAAACAAAAACAATGTATAAAAAAGAAATCCTAATCATAGCAGGTTGTTTGATTCAGATATGAATAATCTAACCGGAATATTGGCTTAACTAACATAAGTATACTGGAGGTTGAGGGAAAGACTGGAATAAGACAGTTAAATAGATATTTTCTATAATGGGAAAGCAGTAGATAAAACCAAAATAGGAAAAAATAGAGAACAGTGATATACACGTTATCTATAAATATGGAGTCATATGACAGAATGAAAATAAAAGATTGACACAGTTGCCCCTTGGTATCAGAAATTGCAAGTAGGGGAGGTGGGTAAGAGGATTGCTGGTTACCACCATAGTCTTCATAGTATGATTGGATTTAAAACATTATTTGCAAGTATTATTTTATGTAAAAAATAAATCCCAAATAAAAATTCTTAGGCATTCTCAGCCACTATTAGTGCTCTAGCAAGGTGTGTTAGCATCAAGAAAACACTTTATAATGGTAGTGGAATCAGGCTAAATCAGACCATCTGAAACTGCTTTAATAAAGGGTATCTGGGGGATTTGCTACACTAATAACTTTTTAATCTGTATCAATGCTACCCATAGACCAGCAGCATCAGCATTACCTGGGAACTAGTTATTTTTAATTATTTTTATTTTCATTTATTTACTTATTTATTTATTTATTTATTTTTGAAACTGGGTCTCACCCTGTTGCCCAAGCTGAAGTGCAGTGGGGCAATCTTGGCTCACTGCAACCTCTGCCTCCTGGGCTCAAGCAATTCTCACGCCTCAGCCATCCAAGTAAGCTGGGACTACAGGCGTGAGCCATCGCACCCGGCCATCATGGGAACTTGTTAGAAATAATTCCTTTTTCCCAGCTCAGGTCTAGTAAATCAGAAACTTAACAGAGAGACAGAAGTCTGTGTATTAACAAATTCACCAGGTGATTCTGAGGCTTATTATGGGTTGGGAACCTCTAATCCGTATGAATTGGAATGTGACACAATGGTCACCGTAAAAAAAAAAAAAAGTCAAATTCATTAACATATAATGTACCACAATCTACTGAAGAATCTTTTTCATATTGAGGGCTGATGACCAATATAAAGACTAGGTATGCTTGCATACCTAATCTAAATCAATCTCAGCGCATTTGTATATGATTACATTGGTTTTGAAAGCTTAACCATCCAGTAGATGGTGCATAAGTATTCTGACCTTTCCTTTAACATGAGCAATCTCCAGCGCCCAGACCCATTTGCGTCTCTTTTGGATTATATCATGCGTCCTCTGTTTGATTACAATAGTACAGATCCATTATCTATGACCTTGTAAAATTAATATAAACAGTATTGTACCTTCTTGAGGCATATATTTCAGACCCATCATTAGGTTGGCCATTTACTTGTAAGCACTATTCCGGTTTTTCACCTTGAGGACTTTTTATTCACTGTGATATCACTACAAATAATTAACTTGAAAAAATATCAGGGACAGACGAGACAGAATCCATTAAGTAGAAACCACATGTAGTAGTGAGGGCTGGGATCCCAGAGCCCATTGAAACTAACATCCTTTCAGATGGGTCATAAGAAACTATTTCCAAGGATAAAACATTACTCAAGGGCAATGTATTTACCAGAGGTAAAAAATTAAAACACTTTTGGAGTCAGGGATGTGACACAAGCACCTTTTGGGGACAGAAATGTGATACACAGTCTTCACAGGGACATGGAAACCAGAGTGTACTACTCTAAGGAGTGATGGGCTCTGGTGATGCCTGCTACTGTTACAAACTTTTAGCAATCTTAAAGCACCTCCCAAGGGCTGTTGGTCTGGAAATCCCTGGTGAATCAAAAAACTTTGTTTCTTTATCTCTAAGTTAGAGCAAACTTATTTATCATAACTACAAATGCAGATGACAATAAAAATACACATTTGTGAAACTGTGAAGAAAAGATTATCTGTATTCTAAAACCTATCTTAGTTTTCATAAATCAATCAGTGAACTTTTATTGTCACAATCAACCATATACCTATGATTCTATTTGTTCCTTGGAAGAAAATATGATGTAGTAGAAAAACTCTGGATTCAAAGGCAGACGATATAAATTAGGGTTTCTAACTATAGGCAAAAATCTGCATGTCCTCTAGGTCTTCTAGGTCTCTCAGCTCACATATGAAATTAGGGTAATAAGAACAATACCTACCTTACCCACTTTACAAGGCTTTTTGAGTAGTAAATCTTATATATGATAAAGTATGTGAAAGCCCTTGGTTTATCAAAACTTGATATATAAATGCCAATTGTTTTCATCATCCCTGCTATTTTTATAGATAGTTGAGTTATTTCCATTGCCCTTGAAAAATCTTAACATAGTCACTGAGAAAAACCTTAAATCATTAAACAAATAATAAATTATGTGGTTGAAACTCTGTTACAGGAGATGTTAACAAAATATTGTGATGGGTATGATTCTTGTATTAGGCATGATTAACTTTTTATATGTTGAAGACACCTAGGAAATGTTTTAAGCAAATGGAACACTATCAAAAAACTAACACAATGGGAGGACTGTATGGGAAAAAGGAGAAAACTTACTTGTATTCTTATGTAATTTTATCCACATGAATACTAAGAACCAGGTGATAAACTAGTGTTTAGAAAGGTTTACATCATATCATTAATAAGTTCTTCAAGATCACGTAACTAATTAAGTGGCAAGCTAGAATTTGATCCAAGTATGTCTGTCTTTAAATCTTATGAATTAATAAAACCAAACAAATGTGGAGACTTTTTCTGATTCTCCCATTATTCATTTATTCAAACTTTATTAGATAAATTCCCTTAGAAAAATGTTAAGAAATGAACCAAGAAAGATAAGGTGAAGCCACACACAAAAAAATTAATACACAGGTCTCTGAACTCTATGCACTGAGCAAAAGGAAGTCAAGAAAGACTCTCTAACTGAAGAGTAATAGCATAAAATGTTATGTGGAAGTTAAGGTTTTTCTGTTATTCTTCTAATATCTCTTTCCTTCCTCAGTTTGAACTCAATTACAGAACATGCAATGGGTCTCAAATAATCTACACAGAAGTTTCTGCATTTTCATATATGTACAAACACAGATAAATTAGTATCAGAACATAAATTTTTTTGGTGGAAAGAATTATCTTGTTATTTACATTCTGAATAAATTCTCAAATGTGTCATTGTTAACAATTTTAAGATACTGACAAAATAAAATAGACCTTGAACTGGTATCCGTTGCTAAAACTTCTAGTCAGTCCATACTCTTGACTTCGTAAACATATTATCTGAAACAGGATCAGGATCTCAGATGTGTGAAGCAGGCAGAAAGATGTACTAAGCAGTGTAGTTCTTGTATTTAGATCTTAAAATTTTTCAATAGAATCTGGAAATGGGTGTTGTTATGTAAAATCTTGACTTAAAAATTTTAAACTAATTAAAATATTTGCAAAACATATTGTGCTGGTTTATGTCTTTGGGACATATCAAACCTTCAGTTACTAGTCCAAAAACTCGGGCCAAGCTTATGTCAGTCTTAATCATGACTCCCATTCACTCTGCCTCAGAAATTGATGGCATTGTCTCTTATTGGTATAAACTTGATGAAGCTTACCAAGACCTGGAACTTGCAAATTTATCCTTTGTATTTATATCAGTATCTGAATAGCCTGAGAGCACAAAATGATTTTTCATGTACCATTTTAATGATACTTGCATAGTAATTCCCCAAGGTGGGTGTGTAGATCATTATAGCTAAAGACAAACATTGACAACACAGGCTCGTAGAGAGAGTTGCAAAAGTCAAAAAGTCAGAGACAGAGTCAGTTCTGGCAAATGGTAATTGATAATGCTTCGATTTTATTTTGAGGATAAAAAAAACTGAATGCCTTAATCCTCAGCATCCCAGATGAGATCTTTTATCTTGATGACACATCTTTTAGGCTAACCACACAAATTACAGGGTGAAATTTTATCATATAGTAAAGTTCACTTTTATTATACATATTTCCTTATGGGATTTATTTGCAAGAAAAGGTTGCTTTCACACCCACACTAACACTTGTTTTAAATAACTATATTAATGTGAATAAAGAACACAATTTGAGAGTTCTGACATCTCTTGCTTCCTGCTTCCATCACCTTGAAACTACTTTTTAATGAGATTTTCATTCTTTGGTCAGTGGGAAGATTAAACATCACCTCTTTGCATAGGCAGAGGTCAGATTACCCTCATTTTATGATTTTTTTGGTGTGCTTCTGAGAAATTTCTGAAGATGCTGCCCTGTTTAGATAGGACTACTGTCTGGGTAGCTGTTAAGGAAAGAAAAAACATTTTGTGTTGATCCCCTTTTCTCCTATATTATTGCTTCTTAAGTTTCAATAACATAGCCAGAATTAATTGTTAGTAAACAGAAGCTTCTGTTAGTAAGAAACCAGAGAGATGAGTAGTAAACTATTCTCATGAGAAAAAAGAATAACATTATTAAAAGTAATTTTGTTAAAGGAAATGAACCGAAAGTGCCAGGTAAAATCCTCCCTGATATTAAGCAGGGTTAAGAAATCAGCAGTGGTTATAATCCAGCTGACATACAAAATTTCCATCTAAGCATATGATGTAGGATAGTTGTGCTACTGACCCTCAAAATTACTATAATTTTTACTTGTTTCCATCACAACAGAAACCTGTTAGCTCAGCAGGAAAGTCCTCTGTATCCCTGCTTGCTATGCAGCTGCATACCTTGTAGAAATAGTGAAAAGATCAGCATCCTACAAAAATGACAAATTTTCTGAGAACTTTTTTTTCTCAAAGTATTCTCTTTGTGATTCCTAAGGGTGAAGAAACACACACACACACACAAACTCCACAAATTAGTGTGAATGTGGATAGCATTTCTGTAGAAACATAAAAGCAAATAAAGATTGTTTCAAAAAAGGCACATATTATATTAACCTTCCAGAATCATCCATCCCCTTGTTGATGGTTATTCAAACACTCATGGTTTTCTGGGGTCATTGAGCCTGGGTTTTATAACCTGCTGAATTTTTCTTCAGAAGGATATTCTAGAATTCCATCCTATCAATTCGTCAAGGAAAACACACAGCATTCTCGGTTGTTCTCCAGAATCAATATTATCTTAAACTGTGATGCTATTTTCTTATTAATCTGAGTTCATTGTGTTACAACTAAAGGGAAACAAATAACACAGAAAGATGAAATGGGGATTAGGTAGAAAAAGCTATGATCTTTTTTCACAACAAGGGTGATAGTGACAAAGAAACCAAGAAAGAGTGTTAGTTTTCTCCAACTTGTATGTTACCCAGGTGCTTTCATATATCTACTACCAAAATAGACAGCTTGATAGTACAAGAACCAGAATCACAACTGAGTATATAAAATTAGCATGCAATTAAGAAATGATTGGATAATAGCATGGCTAAGTTATCTGTTTCATATTCCTAAAATATGCCTATATAAATATGTTTAATTTGACCATAGTTATCATCATGTTCACAATAACCAAATCATTATTGCATCAGCCGCATGTGCACAAATGTAGATAAGACCTCAACATTGTCTTCAATTAGGTCTTTACTACTTTCAGTTTTGTTGGAATTTTAAATGGCTTCTGAAGTGATGATTTTAAATTTTTATCTGAAGAAAATTGTCCTAAATGGTGAAGACAATTGAAATATCCAAACTTTGTATTTGAAAGACTCAAAACAAACATGTTTTTTGCCTGTCTGTCCTAATAGCTGAGTTGGTGTTTTAAGCTCATTCAATCTTTGGAAAAAATTAATGAAAATATAAAGCCATTGTAAATCATAAAAAATTGAACAAACTTCTTTTTCTTCAGGAGTATCACAACCTAACATGTAAAATGGATGATTGGTAAGTCAGATATGTTGTCTAGAGACATAGGGAAGGGGATATTTATACCATATTCCCCTTCTAGCACCAGTATTTTAGTGCTGATGTAATTTTATTCAATCCACCATTCGGCTGCCCACTCAACATGTATTTATTGAATGCCTGCTCCTGCACTAGAGATACAGTGGTAAGCCAAAAGAAATAGCAGTTCTGAGGGACATTATATTCAAGTAGAAGGAAGCCCTCATTCATATAACCAATATTAATTGAGTACCTAATATGTGTCTGGCACTGTTTAGGTACTTGGGATTTATCAGTGACTAAAGCAGAGTGTCATACCCTTGAAGAGCTTACATTCTACAGGTGTACTATTAAAAAAAACACAAACAAGGAAACTATACGATGTTACCTTCAATGAGATCTTCTTATGTTATTTAATCATTTTGAAGGGACAGAGGAGGACAGAGATGTGCTGAGTTTGAGAGACAATAAATTTAAGATTTCTAAGACTTAGAAGGAGAAATTCCTAACAGAGAATTGGATTTACTGGCTGAATGTAAAATATAATATTTTCCACTAGAAAATTTCATTCTAAAAAAGTATTTCACAAGTTATTTTACTTAAATACAGATATTGGTTCTTACGTGGGTAAGCAAGCATCTTTTTAGGCAGAAGTGCCAATACTTTTAAATATCAAAACCAGGTTGCTTTCCATTATATTGGCTATCTAGCATAAATATAATTTGTCTACAGTGTTCGGAGGAAGAAATAGTCTCCATTTCCTTGAATACCAAATGATAAAATGTCAAGACTTGACAACTAGAAGAAAAAGCACTTAAAATCTAAATCTTAAAAGGGTCTTGGACCGTGACTTTCACAGCTAATTATTTCAAATACCAGCAGAGATGTTTTTCAAGCTTTAATTTAAAGTATCTTGTTCAACAAATTGTAGACATGAGAGACAATAGATCATTGTGTTTTCCTGGTATCTACTCTGTACTCTGAAAATAATTTACTTACGGGAAAACAACTTCGATTATTATAATTATAGCTTGCCATCAAAAAGTTTTTAAATTTAAAACACTGTTTTATAGAACATAAATATAGGAATTGAATGGCATATTAATAAATGTTGAGAAAGATTTATGGGCATTTGGTCATAAAACAAAACAAAAGTCTAGATAGCATTTATCATTTCTGTGTTAACAAGTAAGATAATTCATATTAATAATGAGAAACATAGATGCCAAGGAATAATTTTTTTAAAAAATTACTTAAAATAACGGTTATTCTTTTGCCTATATTTTTTAAGAACAGAAGGATTATATATATATATATATATATATACACTTGCTTAATCTGACATATTATATTTTCTGATTGCAAAGTGATCAATTAATCTATCCATTTTAATTTGGCTTTTTTTTAACATATATTTATCTGCCTTCCCAAATGTCTGAAATGGACAGAAATTTCATATTCTTTCAGGAGTTAAAATAATTAATGGTTAAGAACAAAAATTCTGGTCTCAATTTGTTAATCTATAGAATGGAAATAAAAAACTTTATCTCATGTAGTTGTAAGATTAATTTGATTTGCTTGTCAAATATCCATTATTATTTACTTATTTATTATTACTTAACAAACTGTCAATGTACATGAATATACATCACAAATGTATCACTTCATTAAATATATCACTTCATTAAAAATCCTGAACACTCTTGTCTTTCCAATTGTTATTAACATTCAGATCTTTAAAATTATTTAATATAACTACTCTAGAAATAAAGTATAAAAAATGACTATGAGGAATTTCTGGTTTCAGCTCCATCCTATATAAAGTTTGAAGATTGTCTTCTTGTCCTTACAAGAATAAAGCTAAACAAACTGAAAATCTGCAAGTTTTCTTGGACCCATTAGAAAACTGAGATTTCACAGCAAACCACTGCTCAGAATTTTAGAAAGATATGAAAATCTAGAGAGTCCCAACCAAGGTCTCTTTTCTTACAGCAGAAACTGCAGGACCCATAAACAGGTAAAAACACTTAAATGATAACGTTAATGAATTGATGGAAGCTGAGAGTCAGAAACTCCTGGAGCAATAGTCTTAGGGAGCCCCCATTGTACACTAAGCATACCAGGTCATCATGAAGAAAATCCAAGAAAAACCCTCTCATGGTTCTGGCATAGGGAAAGAAAAAGTAACCTTTGTAAAATATGCCTAGAGGGTTCTCCATAACAAAGGCCTAAGGCCTACTGTCAAGAGAAAAAGACTTTACTAGAGTCTTATCCAAGTTGGGGAAAGGTCATTTTCCTAAGGACTTTAGTCTACTCTAGCTTATCTGTCTCACCTAAGGGAGCTGGGATGGGCAAAGAGAGGAAACTTATGAAGGGGAACTTATGAAGGCTACATTCCAGGAACAAAGCCCACTAAAAGACTAAGATTTAATCTTAAAATTATATAATGCTCCCCTCCCCCATCCCTTCCCATCATAGTAATAGGGTTACAGTATAAAAACGGTGGGTTAGAGCTGAAAGAGCTGAAAGACATAGCCTCTATATAAAGAGGAGTCCTTAGAGAAGCCCAAATACAAAGGGGACATGAAAACCAAGACATTAGAACTCAGTTTTTGACACCTATACCTAAACCTACAGTAAACATTCAATACAGGCCAATTTCCCCAGAAAAACAAAACCTTATACAAAGATCTAATTATTAGTTAGTCAGTTCCTGTTACCTGATATATCCTAACAGTCTGACGAGACAAATCAAGCATAACAACTATATTCATATAGGACAAAATTTTGCAATGAGTGGGCAGTGAATTTAAAGTAACTATAACATGTTAAGGGCTCGAATGAAGGAAGTAGACATAGCTAGAAAAGATGGATCATGTAAATATAGCAGTGGGAAGTTTAAGAATGAATTAAAAGGAAATGCTAGAAATTCTAAAATATTTATAACAGAAATGAAGAATTATTTTGATGGCTTTATCAGTAGAACAAACGTGGCTGAGAAAAGAATCACTGGGCTTGAAGATTTGTCAATAGGAACTTCCTTAAGCTAAAATTAAAATAGAAGAAATTGAAGACTAGCTCTGATATTTTTTTATCTTGCCCAAATTCCTATCTAAGGGGTTTGGACAGTCATGTTCTACAAACCATAAATTCTCATCAGATGGGTTTATTGAACCCTATATATTGCGACTTACTTTCCAATGTGACTCCTGCGTAACATTATGTAACAAAGAAGTCAAAATATTTTACCCTACATTTTGAAACGGCCTTGCAAAGCTGTCCTTTGTGGGGGAAAATTTGCATCTGTAGAGAGTCTCTATTAACATTGCTAGATCTTTTTCTTCCAGGCCCTCCCAATCCTGAAGAGATTAACTAAGAGTCCAACACCTTTTAAAGGACTAATTAGGAAACATTTGTCATCTGTTGTGTCTAAGGGCAGCCACAATAAGATTTCAAAAGAACCTTGGCCTCCTGGTCTCAGCAATCTTTTATCTTAACCTGAACATTTCCTTTCTATGGACCCCAGATCTTTAGACAAACTCAACCAATTATCAACCAGAACAAGTTTAAATTTACCTATAGCCTGGAAGCCCCCCTCCCCCACTTCCCATTCCCTTCTTAGAGTTGTCTTGGCTTTCTGGACCAAACCAATGTATTTCTTAAATGTCCTTGATTGATGTCCCATGCCTCCTTAAACTGTATAAAACCAAGCTGCGCCCCGACCACCTTGGACACATGTTCTCGGGACCTCCTGAGGGCTGTGTCACAGGCCATGGTCACTCATATTTGGCTCAAAATAAATCTCTTCAAATATTTTACAGTGTTTGACTCTTTTTGTTGATAAAACAATGGAGAAAAAAAGAACATCCAAAACTGAGAGATAAAATATTTGAATAATCACTATGAATTTTTCAAAATTAATGAGTGACACAAAACCAAAGATCCAAGAAAAACAGAGAATACCAATCAGAACAAATACAAAAAAAAATTACACTTAAGCATATCATATTCAAATTGCAGAAAACAGAAGACAAGGAGAAAATCTCGAAAGAAGTCAGAGTGGGTGGGAAGGGCTTTAATAATGCTTTACCAGTAGATAAACAGGAGTAATACTTCTAAAGGACATATTTTTAGAAACTATGCAAGTAAAAAGAGTTTGGAATGAAATATTGAACATATTGAAAGAAAAAAAAAACAAAAACACTGTTAATAGAATTCTATACTCAGTGAAATTATTTTTCAGAAGTGAAGAAGTTGTAAAGATTTTCACAAACAAAAACTAAGAGAATTTATCTCCAGGAGAGCTTCCCAACAATAAATGTTAAAAGAAAATCTTCAGGGACAAGGAAAATGATATAGTATATTTCAAAAACTCAGATTTATGTAAATAAAGAGCATGAATAAATGAAGATAATATGGAATATTTCATTTTTCTTATTCTCAATTAACCTAAGAAATAATGGTTTGTTTAAAGTAATATTAGCAACAACATATTGGGTGTATATAACATATGAACAGATAAAATGAATGGCAGCAATGTTCCAAGGGACTGGAGGAAAGAACTGGTACATAGAAAGCAAGGTACTGTTATTTACTGTGGACTTAGATTAATTAGAAATGCATAATGCAAACTCGAGTAACTATTAAAAATGTAAAAGGAAGTGTAATTGATGCCTATGAAAGGGGGCAAATTGAATTATATAAAATAGTTAAAACTACACAAGGCAGAAAAAGAGGAGATTAAAGAAGCAAAAAACTACTGCAACAGATATAAAACAGTTACAGACATAGTGAACATATTAATAGCACTTTAAATATGAATGGTCTTAATAGAGCAGTTAAATCACAGAGATTTTTAGAGTGGATATAAAAACATAATTCTCAACTAAACTTTATTTACAAGTCTACTTTAAATATAAAGACTAGGATAGGATAGAAGTAAAAAAGATGGAGAAAGGTACTCCATGGTAACACTAATCAAAAGAAAAATGAAGTAGCTAAATTAATTTCAGACAAGTCAGACTTCACAAGAAGAGAGGAAGATTAAAATGATAAACTGGTTAGTTCTCCAAGAAGACATAGTATCCTTAATATGTATGCACCTAATAACAGAATATCAGAAACTGATAGAATTGCAAGAAAACATAGACAAATCCATTGCTACAGTTGGAAACCTCAAAACCTCTCTTTATTAATTGATATATCAAGTAGGCAGAAAACTAGTAAAGATAGAGTTGACCTGAACCATACTGTCAATCAACATGATTTAATTGATATTTTTAGAATATTCAATCCCAAAACAATAGAATATACATTCTTTTCAAAAACATTCACCAAAGTAACTACATCATAAGCCACGAAACACACCAAATTTAAAAAGAATAGAAATCATACAAATAATTTTCTCGGGTTATAAAGGAATTAAACTATAAATTAATCAGGGAAAGACTGAGGTAAAAATCTCCAAATACTTGGAGATTATATAACACATTTCTATACTGTACATGAGTCCATAAATACCTCAGAGAAATTTGAACTAAATGAAAATAAAACATCAAAAATTGTGGTATGCTCTGGAGGTAAATTAATAGCAACTAATGCATACATTAGAAAAGAAGAAAGCTCTAAAGCCAATAATCTAAGTTTCAACCTCAGGAAACAGAGAGAGAAGAGCAGTTAAAGCCTAAAGCAAGCAGAAATAAAGAAATCAAAAGGCCGGGCACGGTGCCTCACATCTGTTATTCCAGCACTTTGAGAGGCCAAGGCAGGCCGATCATGAGGTCAGGAGTTCAAGACCAGCCTGACCAACATGGTGAAACCCTGTCTCTACTAAAAATACAAAAATTAGCTGGGCATGGGAGCATGTACCTGTAATCCCAGCTACTTAGGAGGCTGAAGCAGGAGAATCACTTGAACCCAGGAGGCAGAGGTTGCAGTGAGCCCAGATCACGCCACTGCACTCCAGCCTGGGTGACAGAGGAGACTCTGTCTCAAAAAAAAAAAAAAGGAAAAGAAATAAAAACAGAACAGAAATTAATGAAATTGAAAATAAATTAATGTAATGAAATTGAACCAATTAAGTCAAAAGCTAGTTCTTTGAAAAAGCGTTGATGAAATTGATAAATCTCTAGTGAGCCTATCCAAGAAAAAAAAATAGAGAAGACTATGGAATCCTACCTAAAATCCTGACAAGCTATTTTATAGATATTAACAAACTGATTCTAATGTTTATATGGAAAGACAACAGACCTAGAATAAGTAACACAATACTGAAGAAAAGGGACAGTCAGAGGACTCAAACTACCCAATTTCCAGACTTATAATATTACAGTTATCAAGACACATGGTATTGTCACAAGAATAGACACACAGGTCAACAGAACAGAATATAGATGCCAGAAATAAACATGCACAAACATAGTCCACCGATCTCTGACAATGAAACAAAGACAAGTCAGTGGAGAAAGGAGAGTCTGTACAGCAAATGGATATCTGTTACATTAATACATGCAGCAATATGAAACAATATCAACATCTAGACATAAATTTCATATCTTTCACAAAAATTAATCCAAAATAAATCAAACACCTAAATGTAAAATATAAAAATTATAAAACCCCTACACGAAATCTTAGGGTACTATCTAGGTGACCTTAGTTTTGGTGATGAGTTTTTAGATACAAAAGCGCAGTCCATAAAAGAAAATATTGCTATGTAAGTCTTTATTTAAATTAAAAACTTCTGCTTTGCCAAAGACAATATTTTTAAAAATGGAAAGACATTGTAAAAATTCCATTTTAAAAAATGGAAAGCTACAGACTGAGATAAAATGTTTACAAAATACATATCTGATAAGGGATTGCTCTCTAAAATATACAAATAACTCTTAAAGTTTAATAACAAGAAAACAAATAAGTCAATTTATAAACAGGCTAATCAACTGAACAGACATCTCATCAAAGAAGATATACAAATGCAAAATAAGCATATACAACGATCCTTAATTTCATTTGTCATTAGAAAATTGCAAGTTTCAATTTTAATAAAAAACTAGTACACATCTATTAGGATGGTTAAAATTTCCAAAATTGACAATACCAATTGCTAGGGAGGACGTAAAGCAACAGGAATTCTCCTTTATTGCTGATAGACAAGAAAAAATGATATAGCCACTTTGGAAGTCAGTTTGGCAGTTTCATACAATTCAGTAACCATAGTCTTAGCTATTTACCTAACTAGTTTGAAAATTTATGTCCACAAAAAAACTCAGTGCAAATGTTTATAGCAGCTTTATTTACAATCCCCACAAACTGCAAGCAACTAAGATGTCCTTCAATAGCAAGTGGATAAATGAATTGGAACATCTATACAATGGAATATTATCTAGTGATTAATAAAAACGAACTATGAAACCACAAAAAAAAAGGATGAAACTTAAATGCATTTTTTTTCTGGCGTGAGAAGCCAATTTGAAAAGGCTGCATACTATATGATTCCAACTATGTGATACTTTAGGAAATGCAAGACTATGGCAATGATAAAAGATCAGTGGTTGGCCGGGCGTGGTGGCTCACGCCTGTAATCCCAGCACTTTGGGAGGCCAAGGTAGGCGGATCACTTGAGGTCGGGAGTTCGAGAACAGCCTGACCAACATGGAGAAACCCTGTTTCTACTAAAAATACAAAAAAAATTAGCCGGGCGTGGTGGTGCATGCCTATAATCCCAGCTACTCAGGAGGCTGAGGCAGGAGAATCGCTTGAACCCGGGGGCCAGAGGTTGTGGTGAGCTGAGATGGTGCCATTGCACTCTAGCCTGGGCAACAAGAGCGAAACTCCATCTAAAAAAATAAAATAAAATAAAAATATAAGAGCAGTGGTTGCCAGGGGTTCATGAAGGGGCAGGGAAGAGCTGAATATGTAAAGCACAGGTAATTATCTAGGGTGATGAAACTATTCCATATTATACTGTTATCATGGACACCTGGCAGTCTGCATTTCTCAAAATCCATTATATTTTACATGAAAAACAGGGAACCTTAATGTATGCTAATTAGAAAGCTAATCATTGGCTGGGCGAGGTAACTCATGCCTCTAATCTGAGCGCTTTGGGAGGCTGAGGCGGCGGATCACAAAGTCAGGAGTTCAAGACCAGCCTGATCAACATGGTGAAACCCCGTCTTTACTAAAAATATAAAAATTAGCCAGGCGTGGTGGCATGTGCCTGTGATCCCAGTTACTCAGGAGGCTGAGGCAGGGGAATCGCTTGAACCTGAGAGGCAGAGTTTGCAGTGAGCCCAGATCACACCACTGCACTCCAGCCTGGGTGACAGAGAGAGTCTTGGTCAAAAGAAAAAAAAAAGCTAATTATTAAGGAGGTCAGGGAATTTCAGAATGGAATATGAAGAAATCTAACCATATTAATGTATCAAACAACCTCACTGAAGTGGGTGGGGGAAGAAGGCGCTAACCTAAGTAACTTTGGAAATGAGTGGGGAAAACTAAAGACAAACAACACAAAACAAACTTGAAATAAGCACCTTGCTATGGTCGGAAAGTTGCTTTCCCCAAAAATTCATATGTTGGCACCTAATACCAATGTGATTATATTGAGAAGTGGGGCCTTTGGGGAATGATTAAGTCATGAAGTTTTCACCCTCATGAATGGTATTAGCACCCTTATGAAAGAGGCTTAAGCAAGCTATCTTGCCCTTTCTGCTACGTGAGGACTAGAGAAGACACTGTCTATGAGGAATGCCCTTTTAACTGACACCAAATCTGCTGGCACCTTGATATCAGACTTCTGGTCCCATAGAATATGAGAAACAAATTTCTGTTGTTCATAAATTACCCAATGTAAGGCATTTTGTTGTAACAGCCCACATGGATAAAGACAGGACTGTACTCTAGTTGATAAAGGTGTGGCCCCCAGGAATATGGCTTAACAATTCTGATGCTTCTGCACATATATAGTGGAATTTAACAATATTAATATAAGTAAATGGATAGGTGATGGTGGAAACCAGGTGTGTCATTATTAGTGTGGAAGTTTACAAATAAGGAAGGGAAGGAGGCTAGAATGATCCATCTGGTATGAACTAGAGTTAGAGACCTAAGTATGAACTCATGTTTAACTTAATATAGCAACAGATAATTACATATAGAAATATTTAGACATACGTGTAAATACATGATTAGTATACAAATAACCCTCCTGAGAAGGCCTAGGGGCAAGGACATCCCAGAACTAGTGAACACATCTAGATCTCACATCAGTTTTTCAAAATACTATTGTCTAATCCAAGAAACCAGGGCTCCTTGGGGAAATGGTTGATTATATGACTGAACTGGAAATGTGCAAGATGAAACCGGAGCATCTTATAATGTTAGAATGCAAGGAAGTGCTCAAGAAACGAATAAATAAGACCACCAACAATTAAATAAACAAATGAAAAACAACACCAATACCTAAAAGGATGTGAATGATTCAGAGAAACACAAGAGCCAACTGAAAGAGCTTTCAAATGGCTAAATATGGAACAACAACTTATTGAACAACATTCAAATTACAAATCTGGAATTTGAACAAGAAAATTAAAAAATAATATTTGGTAATACAAAGTACTAAAAACATGTCTGTGAGACTATACTGATATAAACAAATGATTGAATAAATAAATAAAGTGGGAAAAGACCAAAATATTTCTTGCAGAAGAATTCCAATTAATTATGTACATATTCCACCCTCAACTAGGTGGAACGTAACTCTTTATTCCTTAAGTGTTAGCATCATGGCTGCCCTCCAATGGGTACTGTAAGACTGAGTGGGGCTGGCAGTGAGAATAACTTTATAGTGGACAAACATTATCAAGGTCAACATCAATACTGATAAGTCATAGTGATATTATATACCCTGGATATGATGTAATGAAAATAGCACTTTACCTCAGTAGTCTTTCTCTCCCAAACACATAATCCCATCTAATCATCAGAAAAACAGCAAACAAATCCCAATAGAGGGACATTTTACAAAATGCCTAACCAGTATTCCTAAAACATGTCAAGGTCATCAGTAACAAGGAATCTGATAAACTGTCATAGCTAAGAGAAGCCTAAGGAGATATGATGTTAAATATAATGTGGTATCCCAGAGTCATGTAGGAATAGAAAAAGGACACTAGGTAAAAACTAAAGATATATAAATACTACAGACTTTAGTTGAGAACACTATATCAATACTGCTTCATTATTTGTAATAAATGTATCCTGCTAATGTAAGATATTAATAATAGGAAATGCTGGGTTTTGGGTTTAGAAGGGCAATATTTCTCTAAATCTAAAACTGATAAAAATAAGGTGTCTTAAAAATGACCACAAGTCTTTTCAGAAATTATCTTGGAGTTTTAACAATAGTTACACTTTTTTGTATGATTAAATATACCCATAAGCTGAAGTGTATACTTATCTTTGCAATTCATAGCTTATTGTCAACATTATTCATTCTTTACTATGATATGCATTAGCATAATTAATAACTGTTAAGTAAATAAAGGGGAAAGATGGCAGAGGCTTTCTCTATGCTGTACTAGTTTGCATTTAGATGATGATAAACTATTCATTTTAATTATTTTTATTTACTGACTTGTCTTGTTACTACTCAAAATTCTAATGCACCAAGAAGTCTTTTTGCCAGCTTGGCTGGGAAATAGAAATCTATTCAGCAAAATGAATTTGTGGAAGGGCAAATATAAATTTCAATAAAATGAAAATTAAAACAGCAAGCTCTAGCCTCAGTTTATTAAACCTGTGAGTAAATAAATGAGGCAGTCTTACTAATATAATTCCTTATTTTGATCCTCTGTTATTATACCTACAAAAAATGAGAAAGTGAAATGTGTTTATTTGAATTCAGTGACAGTTGTGGACATCTGTTAAAAGATTGGATGCTAATGTTCATTTGCCTTTGTTTTTTCTTGTTTGTACGTACTTGTTACGATTCAATAAAATGTAGCATTAAAATGAATAAGTATGTATTATTTTTTAAATGGCTGGTCTTTTAGAGGTACATCATTTTTTTTTTTTTTTGACCAGAGACCCTGGGTCCTCCTTTCTTAGAAAGATAGTCAGAATTCATAATTCTTCAAATAGAGTCTTAGGTTATAATACATAGATTGCCTTTTGTGGAGGGAACTATTAAATAATATCAATCTCGCAGTGACCATATATACCACCTATATACACTGAGCTTGTCATGGATAATTTCCAGAATGCTAAAATATCTCATAGAATCTCTGTGAGAAATTGTTCACATCAGAAGTTTTCCATATAATTTTGAGACATGTAATACTATGAAATTATTTGTGAGTTTTGACACAAGTAATTAAGAATATGACATCAGTTTAACATCTTGAGCAAATATTATTCTTTGCAATTAGACGTCCTTGTAATTTAGCTTTTCTTCTAGAATATAGAGAGTAGAATCAGGAAAAAATGTACTTGAGAATTAAAAACTATAAAGAATTTGAGAACTCCTGTAGTTTAACCTTTCTCATGTATTTTGTGCAATTATTTATGCTTGAAAATCTTTTTGTTTTCCTATAATTTTTGCCCAAAGATAAAAAGAATACTTTTTTCTACATAATAGCTCTTTAATTATTTGAAGATAATGGTTCTTCGGTTTCTCACACAGACATGATTAAAGGAGACTTCATCACTCTTATTAGGCTCGGCAGGTTAACAACCATCCTCACTTGTAATGTTCAGGTAGAGTTTGACCAAACCAGGAAAATGCAATCTTAACTTTCTTGGTTTGGAACCAATACTTCTATTAAAACAGTCACCAAAAACACTCTAGGTTTTCATTTATAAAATGCATTCTTTTTTTTAAATATATAATTCTGTTTTGTGACCTTATGAGTGAAATAATACACAACGCCTCCCAGCTTTGCGGAGTATTTACAACATGCCATCAAAATCCTCATTCATGCTCTTTAGAAAAATACCAAATCATACAAATGTGAGAAGGCCTTCAGCAGATTTGGCTGTGTTGAAACTCAGATATGTCTGATTTAGTAATATTTTTCTAATGTTTTCAGGTTCATAGTTAAACGATTTTCTTTTATTTAATTATGTTTTAAGAACTCAACATTTTTAGTAATACATTGGTTGTACATCTATTTTTGCATTCCAATAATTCTAATTCTGCTATATAATTGTCTGACTTCATATTTACAGTAATAATTGATTTAGTAAAAGAATTAAAATGAAAAGACAAAAAATAATGGAAAGGTATGCTTTCAATAACTTTAAACTTGCTGGGGAAAAGAGACAGTATCATTTTGAGATCAGACGACAGCTCAACTTCCAGCATGTACAGGTCACAGGTCTCACTTTGTAATGCTCTGAAGCTCACTGCATGGCCTCCAAATGACATCAATAAGGATTCCACAAAGAACTAAAATATCACAATTCTACTGTCTAAATATAGCCTCCCACTAATACTCGGTTCCTCACTCCGTCTTCTTTCATTGACTTAAACAGTGATTGTCCCTTTAAGAACTGAAGAATACTCTTAACAAACATGGAGTACAGGAAAGATTCTACAAGTCATACAGAATGAAAATATATTCTAAATCAATTTTAATAAAATACGCTGTAGTTTAGGAATAATCATAACAAACTTGATGTGTATCATGTACTTACTGCGTGCAAGTTATGAAGGCTTTTCATTAATTAACTTATTTAGTCCTTAAAAACCCCATTAGAGAGAATTTGTAATTACTGTTCTTGTAGTTGAGGAAATTGAGGGACAGAGAATTCAAGTACTGAAGGTCACATAGCTAGTAACAGAGAGAACCAAGCGTTTATATGTCAGTAGTCTGGTTCCAGATCTAGTTTTAACAGCTACTACCATGCAGCTTCCCAGAAAGAGGTGTTGTATTGGCTCGTGTATTGGCTCTGACAAAGGGTTTATTTAGAAAAAGTTTATCTATTTATTTAAACTCTTCAGGAAAGGCTTCCCAAATAGTGACTGAAACTTAACGTGTCAAAACATAACTTTTGATGCTTCCTCTTCTTGCTTGAATCAACTTCCTCTTCTTCTCTCAGGAAAGAGCACCACCATCCCTCTTGCTCCTTTACTGTCTCTCTCCTGGCAATTCCAAAAGCATCCCCATTTTGTTCCCCAGTATTTTCTCGTCTTCCTATAATCCACTCTCCACAAAGATCCAAAGTAGGCTTTTTAAAACATAACTCAGATTGTGCACATTTTACTTGAACATATTTAATGAATTAATTCATTTATAATTAGAATAAAATCCAAGGTGCTTACTAAGGCTTAGGAGACCCTGTATGATTTGGCTTTGCCGAACTCTATGACCTAACGTTGTAAGACTCTCCCATTTATTAAAACACGTTTCGGCCAGGCACGGCGGCCTGTAATCCCAGCACTTTGGGAGGCCAAGGGGGGCGGATCACGAGGTCAGGAGATTGAGATCATCCTGGCTAACATGGTGAAACCCCGCCTCTACTAAAAATACAAAAAACTAGCCGGGCGTGGTGGTGGGTGCCTGTAGTCCCAGCTACTCGGGAGGCTGAGGCACGAGAATAGCCTGAACCCGAGAGGCGGAGCTTGCAGTGAGTGGAGATCACACCACTGCACTCCAGCCTGGGCGACAGAGTGAGACTCCGTCTCAAAAAAAAAAAAAAAAACAAACAAAAAAAACAGAAAAACAAAACAAAACAAAACAAAAAACACGTTTCATCTGCTCTGATATGCATTCTGTTCTAAAATTTTGTTCCCAGACTCAGGGACTTTGCATCTGTTCTCTCCTCTGTCTAGAATGTTCTTTCCCCTGCTGCGTACATGACGGTCTCTTTCTCATCATTCAGGTCTCACTTCAATGGCACTTACTCAAAAATGCCTACAACAATCTTCTCCAAAGTAGGTGCCCTCTGTCACTATCTATTGCATCACTGTTTTATTTTCTTTGTATCACTTATCATTATCTGAAACAGCTTATCTTACTGGCATGAAGAGTGTCAGTACAAATTACTAATGCAGTTATTTTAAAAAGATACAATCACTCATCAAGGACTGCCAAGAACATTCATTATAACAAAATATGCTTTCTCATTAAACACCATGAGCATCTGGGGAGCACCTGTTCTTGTCTTTTCCTGTGTCCCTTTTTCTTTATGTTTCATGATCTCCTACTATCTCCCTGTATCCACATAATTTGGAAAATTTTTTTCTCAGATCATCATTGTTGATGAGCTGAATAAATACAACTATTCTTATGGGGATTAGAGTATTTAGAAGGATTTGTCCAGCAGAATTAGAATGCACTTCTACTGAGTCCCAGCTGGAAGAGCGGAGGATGTTTAAATGTTTTCTCACTAGAAATTAGTTCATTTTATTCTCTTTGTTTAGATCTCCAGATACACATACATACATACAGCTAAACATATATATATTTATATAAATATGAAATACATGGCATATGTACATATTCTTTCCCTGCTCTACAAACACCAGGTAGACCTCTGAGTAGGTAGTGGGAAAACAAAGAATGCATTTTTCACCTAGTTTATATTTTCAATCCATTGATGGGAGACTTGATGGAGATGCCAAAACAACAAGGCATAGAACTTACTGCTGAGAGCTCAGAAAGGAAAAACTATGTGATGAGATCTCCGGAACAAAGATTTCCAAGTAAAGAACAAACATTATGGTAACTTTTCTGATAAAATTGCCTGTGCACTTCAGAGGGAACTTCTGCATGTAAGAATGGGACTGGAAATAGGAAGAGATTATGGAACAAAGACTTCCAGGCAAAGAACAAACATCGCAGTAGCTTCTCTGATAACACTGCCTATGCTCTTCAGAGTGTACTTCTGCATGTAAGAATGGGACTGGAAATAGGAAGGGATTATGGAACAAAAGGATGAGAGTCTTTTCTTTGTCAGAACTGTCCTTTGACCTAGCTTTTAATATCCTGGATCTAATAATACTGTAGATTACCAAGATGTCATTTCAAAGACTGTGTGGTCCGGATTGGCCTCTGTCAGCTTTTAAGTCGCTCAGGACACTAAAAGGTCATATCTCTCCCAAAAAAGTGGACTCTAGCACAAGTCCCAGTCTATGTAAAGTTCATCTTTGTGTCCATGTTATTACATCTCACACCACTAGTTCAGGCTTTCATTTGGAGACTTTTCTATACTAAATTTGCTATTATGGAATTTTTCCTGAAAAATTTTGCAGATCCTTGCTTTTTAACTGATTTTATTGTTTGTGGTATCTATTTATCCATTTATCAAACTTTTCAGATGTTTTATCCTTTACATTTGTTACCAAAGGCGCAAAGATGAATATAATGTGTGTGATTAAAAAGCTCAAATTCTAGTGTTGGAGAAAACATATAAAGCACCAATGTAGTGTATCTAGGGGTTCTTAATTAGCTGAATATGCACATTTGGATTAAGAAAAGAATAAATCATAACTTTTAGAGAACTGAAAATTAACATTTTATTTAGACTAAATGCAGACCATAAGCTACAGTAGAATTAGTAGTACCTGGGACTTCTTCATCAATAGAAATTGTAAATATTGTGATCTCACATTACAGTTGATACAGCTGTATAGAAACATTGTTTAGTTCATGTCTTCTTTAAATTAAGATAGTTATTAACTATCCCTAGATCTTGTTATTTAATGAGTTGGCAAAGGAGCACAATGACTACTGCTTCACAAATTGACTTTTTAAAATAGTTTGATAACTCTATTCTGTTTTCTTCTCTTTGTAATCACAAAACATTATTCTCAAAAGGGTTCATAAATTTTACCAGATTGTCATGTCTCTGTCCAAGAACCCCTGGTCTAAGGTGACAATATAATTTATCATGCAAACTAAGACACTTTTGAAAATGAAAGGAAACACCCTTAATAATTATAGAATACACAATATTATTAAAAATATGTTTTGGAGTTTACCTATCTTAGCTCCAAATTAAAATTATAATTGAGATAAAAGACATTATTACCTATGAATAAACATAAACAATCAGAAACAGTGATAATGTGAGGATTGAAGGAGACCACTGTGTTCTCTCTGCACTCAGACTGCCATGTGCCCCTTCTTTCAGTATCAGACAGGTTGCATCAATGTGTTCATACTGAATCTTTAATGATAGAAAAGACTTACACTGTCACAATGCACTGCAAACTTGAGCAAACTACCTTTCAGTTATTACATTGACGCAGTTTTAAAAAAAGGACTATCATATATAAATGTATTTTGGTATTCTCTTATTTTGATTTTTTTAGGTATATTTTTAGTACAAACATCTTTCATTATATATAGCAAACAACCTAGTAAACTTCACAATTTCTGAATTCTAGTAATATAAGGTCTCACATAATTTTTAATTGATAGATAAATATATTGTAGAATCTTCACATTAACTTAGTTAAAAAAATTCTGTTGGCCGGGTGCAGTGGCTCATGCCTGTAATCCTAGCACTTTGGGAGGTTGAGGTGGGCAGATCACCTGAGGTCGTTAGTTCGAGACCTGCCTGACCAACATGGAGAAACACCGTCTCTACTAAAAATACAAAATTAGCCAGGCATGGTGACACATGCCTGTAATCCCAGCTACTCGGGAGACTGAGGCAGGAGAATCACTTTAACCCAGGAGGCAGAGGTTGTGGTGAGCCAAGACTGTGCCATTGCACTCCAGCCTGGGCAACAAGAGCAAAACTCCACCTCGAAAAAAATAAATTATAAAAAAAAATCTGTCAAGATGCCAAACAACAAACAATCAGTTTCATAGAGAAGGAAAATATCATGAATTTTAGAGTAGATGGGTCTGGAGGTCAAATGAAGCCACATATTAGCAATAAAGTCTTGGGAAAATGATGTAATATATTTGAACCTGATTCCTGCCTTGCCTCCCAGGTTAAAAATGGAGGAAGAGTTGGAAGGATTGAATGACATACTATAGAAAAATTCCTTAGAAATGGGTACATCTTTTATGAGATTGATACCCTATAACAAAGGTCTGTAATATTTAATTTTAATTTTTCAAATACTTTTTAAAATACCGCCATCGTTTCTGAGATCTTCATACTGAAAACCTTAAAGACACCTTCAGTTTTTAAGTTTCCGCTGCCAAATTTGACAAGTATTTTTACCTCTTTCTTGACAAAGCTTACATATTCTTCCCTTTCTTTGCATTTTCTCAACAATTACTGAAATACCAGTGCTCATACCTTATAAATTATTGCAAACAATTCCTAATTTATCTTCTCCCATAACAACATAACCAATATAGCTATATGGTCACATTTTTATGTCCTCATTCTATCATGCTAAAAAATGTTTTACCCTTACAGTGCTGTTTAGTCTGAACTTCAAATCTCAACACAAACACTGCCTATTTTTATTTAGCCAAATGTACACATTTTAATATTGACCAACTCCATTGTCAAAGTATACACAGGACTTTTAGTTCCTAAACTCTATTATTTGTAAACTATACTATCTGTAATCAAATTCAACTTAAACATATTGTTTTCCTCTCAATTTTTTTCAATTGTTTTCCTCTCAAGCCTAATTTTGATTTTGCTATCAAAACTCAATTAAAATGTTTTTCAATTAGCCTTATTTAAATAACTTTCATGTAGAAATCATCCATTTTGTGAAAATGTGTTTACAATATATAACTCTATTATATATTGTATAGTAGGTGTGTGGTTGCTGATGTTTCATAATAATTCATTACATCAAGAAAATGGGTTGAATGGGCCAAATAATCCCCTTTGGGTTTCCTACTGGCACTGAGTATTTGCAATTCAAGGACACTGCCACTAGATGGTAATCACAGACCACACTGATTTCACAAGTACATTACCTAGATACTTATTTTGGGGATAATGCCCCACATGAAGCTATTTTTTAATCTTTCTACCCAATATAATTATCTATATATCCATCTCATCTACCTATATGTAAGTATGTATGTCAATATTTGTGTTTCTATATACACACATATTTGATCGTATATGAAATAATTATTTCAACACTAATATTACACTATCCAAAAACTTAAGGAATAATAAACATATTGAGATATTCCTATTTTTCATTCTTTTATTTATTTATTTACTTACCCAATACAAAATTTAATTTTAAAGACATTACTGCTCATCACACTAGTTTCAGCTTTTTCTATTAGAAAGCATCATTTGCCTTAATCTCAGGTTACAGTTTCAAATTACTGTGCTCATCATACCTAGAGACTCAGCAAAGTCCATGCAATTACAAAGAAACTGGCAAATTTTAAACCACCAGTCTCGTTACAATTATGCTTTGAGGAACTGTGAGTATAGGAAGCACAACCTCTTTAAGTAAGTAAGCAAGATATCTACATTTACATGAGATGATATTTTTCACTAATGCCTCACTCTTTTCCCTCATGGTTTGAACTAAATTAAGGTGTTCTTCCATATGATGGTTAACGTGCTTTTGAATTCTGGAAAGGGTGGCAAGGCATCAAGAAGCAGAGCTAGTCTCATCACTTCTGCAACTATTTCCCCGCCCATTTCTTGGTGTCATTTCTAGCCTAGGTTGAATTGGCATCAAGTGAGAACCTACCATACCCCTCTGTTTCTGCAGGAGAGTGCTGGCTGACAGAATGCCAGTTGGACATTGTGGCTGATTATCATTGCCTTTTGATAATTACCAGCACAATTAAGGCACTTAATGTCATAGTTTTCTTTTGCTGTAATTGCCATTTTATGTGCACTATTTTATTGCCTCAACTAGTTTGCAAATTCCACAACAAATATTCTATCTTTCAGCTCCTATAGCAACTAGGGAAGTACTACAAAAATATTTTAACAAATCTTAAAATTAAACAGTTTATCTGTGTTTCGTTTAATAACAACAATACCAATAGAGACCTTTACGAGTGCCAACCAACTATTCTTATTAAAAACAAAAACAAAAAACAAAAAAAAAAAACTAGTCCCGGTGCCGTGGCTCATGCCTGTAATCCCAGCACTTTGGAAGGCTGAGGTGGGCAGATCATGAGGTCAGGAGATCAAGACCATCCTGGCCAACATGATGAAACCCCATCTCTACTAAAATACAAAAAATTAGCCAGGCGTGGTGGCGTGCACCTGTAGTCCCAGCAACTTGGGAGGCCGAGGCAGGGGAATTGCTTGAATCCCAGAGGCGGAGGTTGCAGTGAGCCAAGATCGTGCCACTGAACTCCAGCCTGGGGACAGAGCAAGACCCCGTCTCAAAACAACAAAACAAAACAAACAATAACAAACAAACCAAAAAAAAAAACAACTCCCAACTAAAGCATTAGGGAACAATTCTGTCCACTTAATTTCATAAAACTTGTTTTGGTTCCAGTTGTTTCAGTGTTTAACAAAGAGTTTTTTCCTTATGTATCGTTTTTAAGGGAAATAATGTATTGAGATAAAGTGAGCACTTTTCAGCTTCTCTTTCATAGAGCATACTATTTACTAACAATAATAAAGCTTGCTTTCCATTGGTAAATTTTGTTAAATTATCAGTTCATGAGTAAGTACCCAGCATTGCATTAAGCTCTTTTTAAAGTGATAGTTTATTTTTGCAACACTTTGGAGTCTGTGTTATAATTACCAAATTATCTGATTAAGAATGTATTTTGCAAAGCATAACTCACCCTGTAACAATTCACGTGTTACTACTTATGTTATTCTCCTCTAACCAAAAAACAAAAGTTAAGGACAATCACTTACTGCCTATGGTTCACTGGCTAAACAAAAACATAAATAAGGTAGATGTTGTCACACATTTACTAATGTGCTTGTTTATTCAGATATAGTATTCAGAAATAAAATGAAGCAAAATAAAATTATATTATCTACTACATAAAGTCTAAATTCTATCTTGCCATCTGCATCAGTGCACGGTTTCAAATGGCATTTGGTTATAAAGAACACAATGGATTATGCAGGCAATATTTTCTGGTGCCACTTGTTTGTTTCATTCCACAACTTGCTTTTCATATTGCTGACGTTTGTATTCATGGAAATAATTAGTCCCAAACATCAGAAAAGCACCGTTCGTGATTTACAAATATATATAAATGATTCAAGGTAATCGAATTTCCTTAATGCAGGTAAAATCAATGTCTAGCCATGAGCAGCAGTCCTAAAACTCCAACTTTAAATTAAACATAATTAAACTGGAGTATTTTAACAAGGGAAAAATTTCAAGTTTGAGGGTGAATTTGTTATGTCCATTGGAACACTTATTAGTGAAACATCAATAAAATGGGATATAATTCAAGCAGACTTTCCATTAAACCTATACTGCATCTAGAATACATTGAACTGACAGTTTCATCTAAATTACTGATGATTTTGAGGACATTAACTATTGGGATAAATAGCTAGTGATTGCATTTCCCCAGATTTTTTATTGCCAATTAGAATTTCAAAGTTACTTAGCTTCTCTATATGTGTAATTCCTCATTTCTAAAATTAAAGAATTTGGAATGATGTTTTTTAAGGGCTCTTAGATTCCTCCAAATCTACTGTCATCTGAATTATTTGGAAATAATAATTCAAATGAGGTATATGGCTAGTTGCCTGCATTAGAAATTGAAGGAAAAGTCTTTCTAGAGTATGTCAACAATCTAAAATACTATTTTACTTTTGAATGCCTTAGGACTTTCCCACTATTTAAAACAAGCAAGCAAGCAAACAAACAAACAACAACAACAACAAAAAATCTTTCAAAGTAAATATGATCTATTTACCAGGAGTTTAAAAAAAGTCATTGTCAACTTTATCTTGCAATGAGGAACCCCACAATTCTATGTCTTCAGTCTTCAATTTTCTTTAAACATAAGATATTCCACTGATGTTTGATTCAATGCCTGTGTTGTGTCTGTCACTGGAAATCCACAGTGAATGAGATGAGAGTCTGTTATCAAAGAACTCAAAACTTACTGGGAAAGACAGATTATTTTACACTAATTACAAGTCAAATGGTGAGAGAATTATCTAAAACAGAAGCACAAAATTTGTGAGATAAAATAGATCTGACTGAAAATGATCACGAAAATAATTTGCAAAAATATCATGTTATATATTTGATCTAAGCACGAGGAATAATAACTGCTAAAATTTACTGAGATGGTCTTTTTGTCAGATAATCACTAAGCATTTTTTGTATATTGTACTAAAAAAATTCCACAAAAATCCTATTAAATAGGCACAATTCTTATTTTACCCATTTAATAATGAAGAACACAAAGAGAAGTGACAAGAAGAAAATAGATTTGTTTATTTGCTCAACAAACACTGATGAAATGCTTACTCTATGGGACCTCTTTTTTCAGGAGTGGAGGATAAAACGGTGGCTACCACAGTCTGCTCTCAAGGAATCCAACAGGGGTCACAGGTGGTAACATGCATAGAAACAAACTTTGGTTACAGCACAGTGTAGTCAGTGTACTAAAGGGTAGAATGCCAACAGTAGTAAAAGCAGGGGTTTCCTGGAGGAAGTGATATCTAAGGAACTGAAAGATGATTAGGAGTTGGCTATCATTAGAGAGAAGTGAAGTACTAAATAGCCAAAATTTAAAAAAAAATACATTTTGGGAATTATAGTAGTACATTATGGCTGGCTAGTACATGCACTACGTTAGTAAATTAGCACATTGTGGTTTGGGTTTGATGCTGGGAGAGGCAAGTAGGCACTGGATTTTAAAGCATCTCTAAGAAGAAGGATTATATGTTGTCTTGGTTGACCAGAACAGTCCTATCATAATTATTGATAGCACCTCTTGTCCCCAGATAATTACTTACTGGCAACACTTTTAACTCTCAAAATTTTCCTGCTAAGTGATAAAGTATATGTTTAGGTTGTTTGACCTTTTTGTGAGGGCACTGGAAACCACTGGTGGTATCTCATTTTGGTTTTGATTTGCATTTCTTTAATCATCAGGGATCTTGAGCTTTTTTTCATGTTTGTTGGCCACATAAATGTCTTCTTTTGAGAAGTTTCTGTTCATACCTTTTGCCCACTTTTTAATGGGGTCTTTTTTTTTTCTTGTAAATTTGTTTAATTTCCTTGAAGATTCAGGACATTAGACCTTTGTCAGATAAATAGATTGCAAAATTTTCTCCCATTATGTAGGTTTTCTGTTTGCGCTGATGATAGGATTTTTGTTTTATTTTTTTTTTTGATGTGCAGATCTTTAGTTTAATTAGATCCCATTTGTCAATTTTTGCTTTTGCTGCAATTGCTTTTGACATTTTCATGACAAAATCTTTACCTGTGCCTATATCCTGAATGGCGTTGCCTAAATTTTCTAAGGATTTTATAGTTTTGGGGGTTTTGTTTGTTTGTTTTTTTGACAGAGTCTCACTCTGTTGCTCAGGCTGGAGTGCAGTGGCACAATCTTGGCTCACTGCAAGCTCCACCTCCTGGGTTCACGCCATTCTCCTGCCTCAGCCTCCCGAGTAGCTGGGACTACAGGCGCCCACAACCATGCCTAGCTAATTTTTTTTGTATTTTTAGTAGAGACGGGGTTTCACCGTGTTAGCCAGGATGGTCTCGATCTCTTAACCTCGTGATCTGCCCGCTCTGGCCTTCCAAAGTGCTGGGATTACAGGTGTGAGCCACCGCGTCCGGCCTAGTTTTGGGTTTTATATTTGAGTCTTTAATTCATCTTGAGTTAATTTTTTTATAAGGTGTAAGGAAGGCTTTCAGTTTCAATTTTCTACATATGGCTAACCAGTTCTCCCAAAACCATTTAATAAATAGAGAAACTTTTCCTCATTGCTTGTTTTTGTCAGGTTTGTAGAAGATTAGATGTGTGTAGATGTGCAATCTTATTTCTGACTGCTCTATTCTGTTCCACTGGTCTATGTGTCTATTTTTGTACCAGTACCATGCTGTTTTGGTTACTAGCTTTGTAGTATAGTTTGAAGTTAGGTAGCATGAGGCCTCCACTTTTGTTCTTTTTGCTTAGGATTTTCTGGCTATATGGATTCTTTTTTGGTTTGATATGAATTTTAAAATAGGTTTTTCTAATTCTGTGAAGAATGTCAATGGTAGTTTAATGGGAATAGCATTGAATCTATGAATTACTTTGGGCAGTATGGTCATTTTCATGGTATTGATCCTTCTTATCCATGGAAGCATGGAATACCTTTCCATTTGTTTTTGTCTTCTCTGATTTCTTTGAGCAGTCGTTTGTAGTTCTTCTTGAAGAGGTATTTCACTTCCCTTGTTAGATGCATTCTTAGGTATTTTATTCTTTTTGTAGCAATTGTACATGAAAGTTCATTCATGATTTGGGTCTCTGCTTGTTGGTTCTGGGTGTATAGGAATGCTTGTGAGTTTTGCACATTGATTTTGTATCCTAAGACTTTGATGAAGTTGCTTATCAGCTTAAGAAGCTTTTGGGCTGAGATGATGGGATTTTCTAGATATAGAATCATGTCATATGCAAACAAAGACAATTTGCTTACAGTCTTCCTATATGAATGCCTTTTACTTCTTTCTCTTGCCTGATTCCCCTGGCGGGAAGTTCCAATACTATGTTGAATAGGAGTGGTGAGAGAGGGCATTCTGAAATCTGCCAGTTTTCAAAGGGAATGCTTCCAGCTTTTGTTCATTCAGTATATTGGCTGTGGTTTTGTCATAAATGGCTCTTATTATTTTGAGGTATGTTCCTTCAATACCTAGTTTATTGAGAATTTTTAATATAAAGAGATGGTGAATTTTATTGAAGGCTTTTTCTGCATCTATTGAGATAATGATGTGGTTTTGTCTTTCGTTCTGTTTGTGTGATAACTTACATTTATTGATTTGTATAAGTTGAACCAGCCTTGCATTGAGGATGAAGCTGACTTGATCGTGGTGGATAAGCTTTTTAATGTGCTACTGGATTCAGTTTGACAGTACTTTATTAAGGATTTTTGCATCAATGTTCAGCAGGGATATTGGCCTGAAGTTTTCTTTTTTTGTTGTATCTCTGCCAGGTTTTGGTAGCAGGATGAATTTGGCCCCATAAAATGAATTAGGGAGGAGTCCCTCCTAATCAATTATTTGCAATAGCTTCAGAAGAAATGGTACCAGCTCTTCTTTGTACCTCTGGTAGAATTCAGCTGTAAATCCATCTGGTCCTGGGATTTTTTTGGTTGGTGGCTATTTGTTACAGCCTCAATTTCAGAATTCATTATTGGTCTATTCACGGATTCACCTTCTTCGTATTTCAGTCTTGGGAGGATGTATGTGTTCAGGAATTTAACCATTTCTTCCAGATTTTGTAGTTTATTTGCATAGTGGTGTTTATAGTATTCTCTGTATGTTGTTTGTATTTCTGTGGGGTCAGTGGTGATATCCCCTTTATCACATTTTATTGTGTCTATTCAGTTATTCTCTCTTTTTTTTTTCTTTACTAGTCTAGCTAGTGGTCTATTTTATTAATTTAAAAAAAAAAAAAAAAACCCAGCTCCTGGATTCATTTATTTTTTTGAAAGGTTTTTTGTGTCTCTGTTTCCTTCAGTTCTGCTCTGATCTTAGTTATTTCTTGTCTTCTGCTAGTTTTGGGGTTGGTTTGCTCTTGGTTCTCTAGCTCTTTCAGTTGTCATGTTACAATATCAATTTGAGATCTTTCTAGATTTTTGATGTGGGTATTTAGTGCTATAAATTTTCCTCTTAACACTGCTTTAGCTGCATCTCAGAGATTCTGGTATGTTGTTTCTTTGTTCTAATTAGTTTCAAATAACTTCTTGATTTCTGCCTTAATTTCATTATTCACCCAAGAGTCATTCAGGAGCAGGTTGCTCAGTTTCCATGTAGTTGGGTGGTTCTCAGTGAGTTTCTTAATCTTGAGTTTTAATTTGATTGTGCTTTGTTCTGCTTGACTGCTTGTCATGCTTTCAGTTCTTTTGCATTTGCTAAGGAGGAGTGTTTTACTTCCAGTTATGTGGCCAATTTTAGAATAAATGCCAAGTGGTACCAAGAAGAATTTATATTCTGCTGTTTTTGGGTGGAGAGTTCTGTAGATATCTATCAGGTCTATTTGATCCAGAGCTGAGTTCAAGTCCTGAATATATTTGTTGATATTCTGTCTCAGTGATCTAATATTGACAGTAGGGTGTTAAAATATCCCACTATTATCCTGTGGGAGTCTAAGTCTCTTTGTAGGTCTCTAAGAATTTGTTTTATGAATCTGGGTGCTCCTGTATTGGGTGCATGTATATTTAGTATAGTTCTTTTTGTTGAATTGAACCATTTACTATTATGTAATGCCTTTGTCTTTTTTTCATCTTTGTTAATTTAAGGCTGTTTTGTCAGTAATTAGGATTGCAGCCCATGCTTTTTTGGCTTTCCATTTGCTTGGTAAATTTTCCTCCCTCCTTTAATTTTGAGCTTATGTATGTCTTGGCACGTGAGATGGGTCTCTTAACTACAGCATGCCAATGGGTCTTGACTCTTTATCCAGCTTGCCATTCTGTGTCTTTTTAATTGGGGTATTTAGTGCATTTTCATTTAAGGTTAATATTATTATGCATAAATTTGATCCTGTCATCATGATACTAGCTGGCTATTTTGCAGACTTATTAATGTAGTTGCTTCATAGTGTCATTGGTGTGTGTACTTCAGTGTCTTTTTGTAGTGGCTAGTAACAGTTTTTCCTTTCCATATTCAGTGCTTCCTTCAGGAGCTCTTGAAAGGCAGGCCTGGCAGTGACTAATTCCTTCAGCATTTGCTTGTCTGAAAAGGGTTTTATTTCTGTTTCACTTATGAAGCTTAGTTTGGCCAGATATGAAATTCTGGGCTGGAAAATCTTTTCTTTAAGAATGTTGAATGTTAGTTCCCCAATCTCTTCTGGCTTCTAGGGTCCTACTGAGATGTCCACTGTTAGTCTGATGGGCTTCGCTTTATAGGCGACCTCACCTTTCTCTCTGGTTACCCTTAACATTTTTTTTCCTTCATTTCAACCTTGGAGTTTATGTGCCTTGTGGTTGATCTTCTTATGGATTATCCTACTGAGCTTCTCTGGACTTCCTGAATTTGAATGTTGTCCTGTTATGCTAGGTGAGGGAATTCGCCTGGATGGTATCGTGAAGTTTGTTTTCCAACTTGGTTCTGTTCTACCCGTCTCTTTCAAGTTCTCCAATTTGTTGTTGGTTCAGTCTTTTTATATAATCCATGGTTCTCACCGATTTTGTCTGCTAGTCTTATTTCAGCAAGATAGTCTTCAAGCTCTGAGATTCTTTCCTACATTTGGTCTATTCAGCTATTGATACTTGTGGTTGCACTGTGAAGTTCTCATGTCGTGTTTTTCAGCTCCATCAGGTCATTTATGTTCCTCTCTAAACTGGTTATTCTGGTTAACAGCTCCTGTAATGTTTTATCATGGTTCTTAGCTTCTTTGCTTTGGGTCAGAACATACTCCTGTAGCTCAAAGAAGTTTGTTACTACCCACCTTCTGAAGCCTACTTCTGTCAATTCATCCATCTCAGCTTCTGTCCAGTTTTGTGCCCTTGGTGGACAGGTATTGCGATCATTTGGAGAAGAGGCACTCTGGCTTTTTGAGTTTTTGGCATTTTTTTGTTGATTATTTCTCTTTTCTTTTCTTTTTTTGAGATGGAGTTTGCTCTGTCACCCAGGCTGGAGTGAGTGGCCCGATCTCAGCTCACTGCAAGTTCCGCCTCCCGGGTTCACGCCATTCTCCTGCCTCAGCCTCCCAAGTAGCTGGGACTACAGGCACCTGCCACCACGCCCAGCTAATTTTTTTGTATTTTTAGTAGAGACGGGGTTTCACCATGTTAGCCAGGATGGTCTAGATCTCCTGACCTCATGATCCACCCGCCTCGGCCTCCCAAAGTGCTGGGATTACAGGCATGAGCCACCACGCCCGGCCAATTATTTCTCATATTCACCACTTATCTACCTTCAATCTTTGAGGCTGCTGACCTTTGGGTGGGTTTTTGTGGGGTATTTTTTGTTGATGTTGTTGTTGTTGTTGTTGCTTTTGGTTTGTTTTTCTTTTAACAGTAAGGCCCTTCTTTGCCAGGCTGCTGTGGTTTGCTGGGGTTCCACTCCAGACCCCATTCTCCTGGGTTCCTCCTGCACCTGGAGGCATCACCAGTGAATGCTGAAAAACAGCAAAGATAGCTGCCTGCTACTTCTTCTGGGAGCTCCATCCCAGAGGGGCACCGACCTGATGCTGGCAGGAATGCTCCTGTATAGGGTGCCTAGTGACCCCTGTCGGTGGGGGGTCTCACCCAGTCAGGAGGCAAGGGATCAGGGACTCACTTAATGAAGCACTCTGGCTGCCCATTGGCAGAGAGGATGCACTGTGCTGGGGGTAGTCCCTCTCATCTGGACTGCCTGGACTTTTCAGAGCCAGCATGCAAGAAAGACTAATTTGGCTGAACTGCAGAGACTGCCACTGCCCCTCCACCCAGGTGCTTCATTCCAGGGAGATCAGAGTTCTATCCATAAACCCCTGGCTGGAGTTTCTGAAATTCCCACAGGGAAGCCCTACCTGCTGAGGAGAAATGGATCAGGGTCCCACCTAAAGAAGCAGGCTGGCCACTATCTGCCACAGCCACTGTACTGTGCATATCCTGGGCACCAGCAAGGGAAAATGGCAGACTGGAGCCACAGTGGTTGCAGGCACCCCTTCCCCCCAACTTGTTCATCTTAAGCAGTGTCCAGCCTGCTGCCGCTGGTTGCAACCTGAGCAGCCACCAAGCATCTGCACAGCTCTGTGCTTGGAACCCAAGGCCCTGGTGGCATGAGCTCACAAATGGATCTCCTGATGGGCGAGTTGCACAGATCCATGAAAACAGTATGGTTTCCTAGGTGGGGTAGCACAATCACTCACTACCTCCCTTGGCTGGGGGTGGCAGCTCCCTTTGCCCCGTGCAGCTCCAAGGTGGGCTGTTGCTCTACCCTGCTTTTCCTTGCTCTCTGTGGGTCACTCCGACTGCCTAGTCAGTCCCCATGAGAGAACCTGGATATCTCAGCTGAAGGTGCAGGATTCACTTGCCGTTTTCGTTCTTCTCAGTGGGAGCCACTGACTGATGCTGCTTCTAGTTGGCAATCTGGGTCCCTCCTGAATTTCTTCTTAAAACTTTTATAATTTGAAGTTGGTAATTGACTTCAGGCCTTTAAAATTTTTTTACATTGTCTGTCAAAGTCTTTGCATATCGAAACCATTGGATACAGTTTTTCTGAGTTTAATTCTTGAAACTCTTTTATCACTTCATTAAGAAGTTATGATAACTCAGAGGAATTATAAGTTTATAAAATAAGTTATTTATAGATGACATAAATAACATTTACCATAGCTTCTTTAGTAATTACAATTAATATTATTACACCACTTTCAAATTTGCAAATATTTTCAATTTAATAAGCATTTTATGAACTCTTATTAATTGTTCAGCTCTATACTTAGAAATAATAAACAAACATTTAAAATTATATTAATAATACATTTTTAAAAATCAGAAATAGGTAACATCAATTATTTATTATGCATGTAAATATTTCATGCATACCTGTATGTGCTAGGTATTTGTGAAAAGCAGAAGTGATAAAATGCTGAATAATATAGACAGTCTCAATAGTCTATGGCTTATGACCTCTGACTTCACTTAAATATAAGTGAAAAAATGAATTCCATGCTGAGGCAAATCGCAATTTCAAGCATTAGGAAAACCTAATTTCTGGGGGCAGAAGTGGGAATGAAATCTATATAGAATCCTGAAAATTGAGTTTAGCCCTCTCAAGAGGGAAGTTTTAGAAGAGTGTAATAAACAATGAGAATAGTCTGTACCAAAATTTGAAAGTCTGTGTGAAGATTTGAAAGAGTACCATATATTTGGGGACATTAAGTCATGCATTTCAGTCCGACTGAAGTGAATCCAAAGTGTAGATTTCAGGTGGCAAGAAATATGAGAGAAGAGGTCATGAGGATCCTTAAGAGTAGCTGAGGGGTTTGGGCTTTATGACAAGGGAAGTTGTCTAATGCTTTACCCAGCAAAGAGCTAATGACCACCTTGTTCTACATAGATCCCTATGGCTACCATTTGCAGAACAGTTTCCAGGGAGGGCAGTTGTAGAGAATAGGATATATTTAATTATGTGAACAGAAAGGTGATGATAAACCAAAACAGTTACCTATGGAGACCAAGGGCAGCAACGGACTTTGAGAGAGAATTACGGTCAGAAATGGATGACATAGGTGTTTGATTCAGTAAGTGAGACCATAGTGGTTTCAAGAATAACCCTAGTTTATGTGAACAAAGAAGTCATTCATAGGTAAACAAAGCTGAAAGAGCATTGAAATTAAAGGGCAATCACACAGTTCAGTTTTGAACATACTGCATTTGAAGTGCCTGGAGAAGACATCTCTTCTGAGTTGCATATTTCAAAGTCATCAACACATAGGGTGGGAGGGAGAGATGAAGCCACCAGGTAAGTGAAATCTTTGAGAGGGTGGCTAATATGACAATGGAAGCAGACCTAGGAAAAAATCACGAGGAAGACAAATGTGTTCCAGTAAGATTGAGAATAAAATCTTTCCTTTGGGTTTAGTTGGTAAAGAGAAGTAGTCAACTCCCTAGACAAGAACAGTTGCAGTACAGTGACAGGCTCTGCAGCCCTGCACTGCAAATTTTCCTTCGTCACAGTGTGGACAAAGTTACTGCTTCAAAATGCAAATCTGATCATGCTCTCCACTTCCTTAAAACTAAATAAACATGGCTTTTTGTTGCTTTGGGGAATAAAACAAAACTTATTAACCTGGCCTTTGAGGCCCATATGGCCTGGTTCTAATATCCTTCTATAGACCTCTCTCCCTCCATGCCTCTCAGGCTTAGCTATTCCCATTTTTTCCTGTGTACTCTCTCGGTTTACTTCTGCCATTGGTCTCTTTTTAAAATGCACCTTCCTCTTCTCTCTGCTGGGTTAACTTACACACTTTTTTTTCTCAGTGTACCTCTTCATCGATGACATCTTAAACTCCTCATAATTCAAATCCCTCTACTATAGTTGAAAACATACACACTCTCCCTTGTAATGCACATTTGGTATCCACTGACCCAAGTAGATGGAGTTTCATGGCAACAAGTACAATATATGACTTGACTTGCCATTCAATCTTCAGCACACCATAAATTACAGGGTTTCAGTTAATATTTTTTAAATAAATTAATAGATGAGCTTCAATAGGTCCTAAAAGAATAAGATGTGAGGAAGTAAATATTCCTTTTTAATCTGTTTTTGTTTTATTTTTTAAAGAAATGTGGCTATAATGGGGAAGACAAAGAAAGAGAGATAGCAGGGAGGGAAATGTTTTCAAACATAATCTTCAAGCCTCCCTTTTCTTACTTGTATTCTTTTAAAAATACTAGATTTATTTTAACATTGTTGAATTGACTATAAATTGTCCCAAACTCTACATGCATAACATCTATTTACTGTGCTGTCTTTTGCAACTTTTCAGTATAATGGTTTGTTGCTCTTGAGATAATAGTTTGAAAAATCGTACAAGCTGCTGGAATATTTGCATAGTGATTATACGCTGAATAGCAGCTTGGATTTTCTATTTCCATCTGCCTCAAGTTAGTACATCTAAGAGGTATTATTATTATTATTATCATCATTATTATTATCATTGTAATAGTCTGAATTTCAAATTAGGAAACAGACAAACTGCATAGAATCTTAAGATGGATAAAAATAATTTTGCAGAAAGCAAATTTTTGTTTTATATAAGAAAGTCCTTTGAATTTAATTCCCTTCTCAATTTTAAAAGGGCAGGTTTATTCAAGTGTAAATAATATGCTCATGTCTGTGACTAATGAAAGAATTTAAAAATAATAAATTAGTCTGCAAAGCTTTCAGCAGGTATTCTTTTTAACATTTTACCCTTCAGTCTCCTTGAACAATGAAGGTAACCCCATCACTGTTTGTAATCACCACTTATTTCTAAGAATAGAAATACTCCCCCAAACTGAAAGTCTTCATTTTGTTACAGAACTACAAACCAGGAGTAGCCAGGGTTTCTGAGAATACAAAAGGGACTTAACAAAATACAAGGAATTGGCCTTATAGATTCACAGTGTTTTTTAGTTTTCCATGGGGTCTATGTAATATTAAATTATTACTTTGTAGAATTAGTGCTTATTATTCATTCTATTTCAGTAGAACTATACAGATATTTTAGGTAATTATTGGTTGATCTCTGACTTAAATTTAATTCAGGAATATCTGTGGAGTGCTGCCTCCCTTATCTCTAAGGCATTCATAAAAGGTTAGATTTTATCATATTATAGCCTTTCATATGGTGAAGTGTATACATTTTTTTCCCAAAATGGATAATATTATGAAGTATTTTTAAATGAGGAAACCCTCAGCCATCCTGAAAACACAGTTAACAAGAAGGATGTTGATGTGTGCTTTTGGTGATAATACTGCTAACTGGAATATGTGCATGTATGCCAATCTTTCGCTGAGATTTAAGGATATAGCCATAAATATTAAAATGCACTTTTCAGAGGCCTGGTACTTTCTAACTTGCTCAGTTCCTTGCACCACTTGTACACTGTCCTGTGTTGCTCACTACACTCTAGCAAAGTTGCTTTCTGTCATTTCCTCAGGAGGATCTCTGAGTCCCTACACTCTTCCCTCAGCAGAGCTTCCTGCTGCTGCTCCTCACACTGCCTATGGGAAATGCTCCACCCACCACCCTTCACCCAGGAGAGTCCTCTTTACCCTTTGGCGACTGCCTCACTATCATTTGCTCAGAGATGGCTTCCCAGATAGTGTAATCTAAATTAGATCTCCTAAAACACTGCCTTAGCACACCCTGTAATTTGCCTTCAGACCATTTCAAGCATTTTATATTTATTTATGTTTTCTGTTAGCAATATTCGGTGCAGTTGGCGTCCCCATGACTCTCTCCTCATTTCACCTGAACATCCAAGAGAGCAGACACCGTGTCACTTTTGTTCTCCACTGTGTCCCCACTGTTTAGTACTGTGCCTGTGGCCTGGTAGTTGCTCAACATATACTCACTGAACAAATAAATGCTCAAATATGTGTACGGAAGCTTTTCATGGTGGGAATTTCTGTACAGATGTACAAATATTAGTGAACCTGCCTTTTGCAAATATTTTCCCTTTTGTATTTCATTTTGGACAACATTAGGGAACTTGAGAACTTTCTTCTTCTCTTGGAGAGCATGAAACAATTTGTGAACATTAGACTTTATGTTGAATAGAATTTGTATGCGTTATGGTCAAACCTGTTCTTTATATCATCAATTTCTGACACATAATAGGCATATACAACTACTTCCCCAACGAATGATCAATGATTTAAGATACCATCAGCCTCAGCAGTCACTACTTATCTCAATGATTATGTAGAAAAAACAGCTTTATTTTCTGAATGATGAACTGGCCTAAGCCACCAGCCCACCTCTGTAATGACTTTGTATATGAGGAAGAAAATACAGAATCAGATAATATGTTCTAACAAATAGCAGTGAAGGAAAAGTACTTGACATTGTGTCTTGGTGGTAATAAAGAATGAGTTTTACATTGAAAACATTCCACTAATGTAAGTAACCCAAACAGGACAAACATAACCTTCAACACTCAGAAGAGTACTTGGAAGTGATATTTGTCTCCTAAATTTTAAGAAACAGCATAATAGTTTTAAATAATTCATTATCCCTATTAAGGCCACATAACCATAATTATCAAAGGCCAACAGAGATATCCATTATCCTTAGTGAATGAATATGTCAAAAATGAACTTTTAGCCCCTAAAAATGTGCCTGAATAAGACAGATAGAGGTTATTTTCTTCATTTGAAATTGTCACTGCAAAGGTTAAGGGGGACAAACACTGCAAACTTTTGATAGCAACTCTGAATGTCCTTAAGTCAAAAAATGAAGTCTTTTGAAATATAGTTGGCATGTATTTAAAAAAACTGTAATGAACACTAATGAATTTGAGCTATTTTGATTGTCTCGAGAGGGTAGTTAGATAATTAAATATTTAATTTTTACGGAAAGCTGGCTTTAAGCAATAGCTCTTCAGTTGAATAGACTAGGTGGTCCTGGAGAATGAGGTTTTAATGTATTTGAAAACATATGTCCAATCATTTAAAAATAGACTCCCAAAGCATCTTTACTAACAAATAAACATTTACCCTGATAGATGCTGAAGTCTTATGTTCCACACTGGATTTTTTTAAAATTTCATTACCATGATAGAAAAATAGAAATATATAAATATCATGAAACTGTTATGTTTTGCTTAATATAAAAGGTTGTAAATTAAAAATTAAACTTTACAATTTTGTAATCAGCAACTAGGCATTTTACATGATAAAATTATGATATTCATCTATATATGACTTGTGACTAATATTTAGGTTAAAATAAACTTTAAGTTACATGCATATTCTAGTGAATATTCTACTTAGTGGGCAATGTACCAATTTTAAAAAAACAAATATCGAACTTTATTTATTTTTGATTGAGGCAAAATTCATGTAACGTAACCATTTTAAAGTAAGGAACTCAGTGGCTTTTAGTGTATTTTCAATGTTGTACAATCATCATCTCTATTTCCAAAACATTTTCTTCACCCCAAAAGGAAACGTATACACATTAATCAGTTACTCCATATTCTTTTAACCCCCTAGCCACCGGCAGCCACCTACCTTTATTCTGTGTCTGTGGATCTACCTATTGTTCATATTTCATATAAATGAAATGATATAGTATATGACCTTTTGTGTTTAGTTTCTATGACCTAGCAAAATGTCCTCGAGGTTCATCCTCCAGGATGATACATACACATTGTAGCATGTATCTGTACTTCATTTCTTTCTATGGTTGAATAATATACCATTGTCTGTATATATCACAATTTGTTTATCCATTTATCTGATGGTAGACATTGAGCTGCTTCCACTCTTTGACTATTGTGATTAGTGCAGGTGCACAAATAGTTGTTTGATTTCCAATTTTTTATTCTTTCTAGTATACTTTAAAGGGAAATTCCTGGGCCATATGGTAATTCTGTGTTTACCATCTTGGAGAACTGCTAAACTTTTCTCTACAGTGGCTGAAACATTTCACAGCCCCAACAGCGATTTCTCCACATTCCTGACAACACTTGTTTCCTACATTTAAAAATTATATTCATGCTAGGGGCTGTCAAGTAGTATATCATCATGATTTTGACTCATATTTCTTTAAGGACCAATATGTTGAGCATCTTTTCACAATCTTGTTGGTCATACATGTATCTTCTCTGGAGAAGTGTACCAATTTTCAGTAGTCACAAAATTTTTCAATAAATTCTACTCTTGCCTTTGTATCACACAGTAATTTTAATTCTCTAATAGGCTTTCACTTAAAACATCTTATGCCATTCAAAAAAGAAGACAATATTAACAAATTGATAGTTTTATATCTTCATTTCATCCTTTAAAGATTCATAAAAAGTATTTTATTCCTTCCTTCTGAGAAATTGCAATTTTTGTTGCGCCTATTTTGCATTAGCATAGTTGAGATATTTCTGTAATTCTGTGACCAACATGTTAACCGCTTTTTACAATGCTATATTACTTTACTGAAATACTAAATTTATATGTCAAGTGTCACATTAATTCTCAACATTCTCAAGAAAATCCTCTGGTGTTAAACTAAAGTCAGTTGTTAGTGAAAAACAGAAATGGAGGGTATGACTTAGAAATTAGCTAACATACTAAAATTGTGAAATTCACTTTTTGTACACATTTTTAATATTTACTAAAAAGGCACAAAAACTGATCATCTCAAATTATACTTAAGAATTACTACAAATCCAGTTATAAAGATGATTTATCAAAAAAGATGATTTATCTGCCTCTTTTCAATTCTAATAATTGAAGAGAACTTTTATTGTTTCTTCTGTCAGTGGACAAATTATAAAAATAAATTAGGAATTACCTGAAAGAAGATATACAAACAACCTGTGATGTATGTGTTGCAGATCTTATGCTACCAAGATTGAGAGTTGTGGTGTAACGATCATTTAGCGTATTTCCTTAAAACAGGTGCTGCTGACTTTGGCTAAAATACATAAGGAAATAATATCCTTTTTGGAGTTTGGCCCCACCATCTATATCACTGTCATAGTAAAAAAGCTTTAACCTCTATGTTTTTCATGTACAAAAGTCTTTCTAGATGCCATCATTATTTGGGTATAGAATTTTTGCCTGATATTTTATTTGAGTCTCCAAATTTAATTCCACTCTTCCTCTATATAACGAGTAATAGCACTGTAGTCTAAGAATTGGCCTCAGCTCAAGGCACAGGGCTGCCTCTTCTAACTATGGTTGATTCTTATTGCTGACTTAACTGCTATGGTTTAGGAAAAACATGGAACTCACCTGCTATGGTTTGAATGTGTCTGCCCAACTGTATGTATTGGAAACTTAATTCCCAATGCAACAGTGTTGGGAAGTGAAGTCAAATATGAGGTGATTAGGCCACAAGGGTGGAATGAATGGATTAATGCCATTATCGCAGGACTCGCTTCACTTTAAAAGGGGCAGTTCGGCTCCCTTTAAAACACACTCTCTCTCTCACCCCAGCCCCCTTGTCCTTCTACCTTTTGCCATTCTTCAACAATGCCAATCCCTCGATCTTGAATTGTGAGGAAATGAATTTCTGTTTTTTATAAATTATCCACTCTACAGCACTCTGTTATAGCAGCACAAAATGGGCTAAGACACCAATGTTGACTAATTTCATGGGAAAAGAGACTTACTAGAAATGTTTTTAGAAACTGATAAGAACTGTGGAAAGTCATGTCTTGTATAAGTAGATATTTTTAATATTTACTAAAAAGGCTCAGAAACTGATCATTTCAAATTACACTTAAGCATTACTATTAATCCAGTTATAAATATATTTATCAAAAAGGATGATTTTACTCTACTTTCAAAATAAAAGCCTCTTTATTTATTTTTTCTGCCAGAAGACATAGAGACCCCTGGTTCAGAGACAAAAGAATTCATTACTCACAACACTCACAATACATCAGAGGGCATGAGCTTCACACCAGTTTCCCCCTATCCCAAATTGCACAGGGTGATGTGGGATTGGGCTAAGGTGAATGCCACATACACAGCAGGTCTGTGTCACAGCAGAGAAATGCTGAACTTAGGAAATACCCACTCCTAGAGGGGGACCACTACCAATGTCTGCAATGGGAGACATCATCTTTGTTGCCCTTGTCAGAAAACATATCAGCCCTTTTCTCAGAGAGGGGCAGAATCTCCATCCTTCAAGAATGTCTGCTATACAAACAGCATTAAAAAATAGTCTGCGGCCGGATGCGGTGGCTCATGCCTGTAATCCCACACTTTGGGAGGCCGAGGTGGGTGGATCACAAGGTCAGGAGATCGAGACCATCCTGGCCAACATGGTGAAACCCCGTCTCTACTAAAAATACAAAAATTAGCCGGGTGTGGTGGTGCATGCCTGTAGTTCCAGCTATTCAGGAGGCTGAGGCAGGAGAATCACTTGAACCTGGGAGGTGGAGGTTGCAGTGAGCTGAGATCGCACCACTGCACTCCAGCCTGGCAACAGAGAGAGACTCCGTCTCAAAAAAAAAAAAAAAAAGTCTTCAACAGTAATAGCAAAACTGTTAACGTCTTTGCTCAGAAGATATACAAAAACACAAGGGGCTCATGGAAAATTTTCTCTCAACAAATGTTTATTCCTTGTAAGAGGAATAGGCAGTCTCACACTACCATGGGATTTAATCAAAGGCTAGGATAGCTCTAAAGTGTATTTGAAGTCATCTTATGGCAATAAGAGAAGCCAAAATGAAGTTGACACTGTAGATCACAGAACACAGAGATTGAAATGGTCTAAGTCCTTGCCTACATTGTTGAATCAATGAAACTACCAACACTGAAGCCCACCTTTCATGTGGACTCTTGCTACACAAATAATAAATTACATATTATTCAAGCCAGTTTGAATTTGTCATTTCAGAAAACACCTTCATAGATCGATTCTGACAGCTAAGTTCACTCTCTTTCCTCTAAGCTTCTTTCTCTAAGGATATCCCTATACCCACAACTAATACCTTAGAGATAGCTTTAAAAAAGATGGAGATATAATGGAACGGTAATGTTATTCATCGTTTTTTATGCATTCTGTTGCCTTTTAAACTTTGGAATAAAAGTTTGGTAAAACAGATATGTTCAAAACTTTCTAAAGCAATCCTAGTTTTATTTGATAATATTCACAGATTGAATAAAATAATTTTTAGAATATTCTTATATAGACATATTGGTTGTCACAAAGCAAAGCAAATATGTACTAAATATGTCCCAACATGGGACTCAAAGAATTAGGTTGTACAGCAAATCAGGTTTTCATCTATCAGCAAGAATCAATAAAATGGACCAGTCTTCTAGTGTGAATTCTTGGAAAGCTAGATATCAACTTCCCAAAGGCCTTGAGCGAATGCGTTCTTTGAATTATATAATACCCTACCTAATCTATTACAAAACACAATATTAAAGGCATGAAAAGAGGCCTAATGATATGATTGCTTTTATAAAATATTGAGTATATTTTATAAATATCAATGAGTATATTTTTTGTGAAAATCTGATGTATGAATTTACGGTTTGTCATAATAAATTTTTTTATATTTAAAATAAATGCACATTTAAAAAATGTATTTACACAAACCAACAGGTATTAAATTTTGTGGCACTTCCTTTGGCTTAATTTTTACTCCCCCCTAGAAATGATTGCTTTGGTCTACTTGATGGATATTCCCTCAGGGGAGTGGAATATCCTGTCTATGCAGCCAGCCCTGTTTATCACTTTTTTTTTTTTTTTTTGGTATTTTTCATTGGGAATTATTTAAATTATGTATTTTAAATATAAAATATTTATTTAAATATATCCCATCTCAAAAAAAAAGAAGATATCTGAGTCTTAGTCTCTGTCTGAAATGTACCAAATTACAAGATTCCCATGTGGCTTAAGTTGAAGCAGCTTACAAACCTCTTTACCAAATTGTTCTGTACCTCATAGTTTCTAAAACCCTCCCAGCTCAAGAAATTCTGAATCTATGTGATACAGTCGTTCCCAAGACACATCTAATGAAAACAGAACTCCATTTGTTTGTGTCCTCTCTGATTTCCTTGAGCAGTGGTTTGTAGTTCTCCATGAAGAGGTCTTTCACATCCCTCATAAGTTGGATTCCCAGATATTTTATTCCCTTTGTAGAAATTGTGAATGGGAGTTCACTCATGATTTGGCTCTTTGTTTGTCTATTACTGGTGTATAGAAATGCTTGTGATTTTTGCACATTGATTTTGTATCCTGAGACTTTGCTGAAGTTGCTTATCAGCTTATGAAGATTTGGGGCTGAAGGCCGGGCGCGGTGGCTCACTCCTGTAATCCCAGCACTTTGGGAGGCCGAGTCAGGCGGATCATGAGGTCAGGAGATAGAGACCATCCTGGCTAACACAGTGAAACCCTGTCTCTACTAAAAATACAAAAAAAATTAGCCGGGCGTGGTGGTGGGTGCCTGTAGTCCCAGCTACTCAGGAGGCTGAGGCAGGAGAATGGCATGAACCCAGGAGTGGAGGCTGCAGTGAGCCGAGATCGCGCCACTGCACTCCAGCCTTGGTTACAGAGCAAGACTCCAACTCAAAAAAAAAAAAAAAAAGAAGATTTGGGGCTGAGATGATGGCATTTTCTAAATATACAATCATGTCATCTGAAAACTGAGGCAATTTGACTTCCTCTTTCCTATTTGAATGCCCTTTCTTTCTCTTGCCTGATTGCCCTGGCCAGAACTTCCAATACTACGTTGAATAGGTGTGGTGAGAGAGGGCATCCTTGTCTTGTGCCGGTTTTCAAAGGGAATGCTTCCAGCTTTTGCCCCTTCAGTATGATATTGGCTGTGGGTTTGTCATAAATAGCTCTTACTATTTTGAGATATGTTATTGAGAGTTTTTAGCATGAAGGGATGTTGAATTTTGTCGAAGGCATTTTCTGCATCTGAGATAATCATGTGACTTTTTCATTGGTTCTGTTTATGTGATGGATTACATTTATTGATTTGAGTATGTTGAACCAACCTTGCATCCCAGGGATGAAGCCGACTTGATCGTGCTGGATATACTTTTTGATGTGCTGCTGGATTCAGTTTACCAGTATTTTATTGAGGATGTTTGCATTGATGTTCATCAGGGATATTGGCCTGAAATTTTCTTTCTTTATTGTGTCTCTGCCAGGTTTTGGTATCAAGATGATGCTGGCCTCATAAAATGATTTAGGGAGGAGTCCTTCTCATGGATAGGAAGAAACAATATGACGAAAATGGTCATACTGCCCAAAGTAATTTATAGATTCAGTGCTATACCCATCAAGCTACCATTGACTTTCTTCACAGAATTGGAAAAAAACTACTTTAAATTTCTAACGGAACCAAAAGAGAAGAAAAGAACAGCCCGTATAGCCAGACAATCCTAAGCAAAAAGAACAAAGCTTGAGGCATCACACTATCTGACTTCAAACTATGCTATAAGGCTACAGTAACCAAAACAGCATGGTACTGGTACCAAAACAGATATATAGATCAATGGAACAGAACAGAGGCCTCAGAAGTAATGTCACACATCTACAACCATCTGATCTTTGACAAACCTGACAAAAACAAGCAATGGGGAAAGGGTTCCCTATTGAATAAATGGTGTTGGGAAAACTGGCTAGCCATATGCAGAAAACTGAAACTGGACCGCTTCCTTACACTTTCTACAAAAATTAACTCAAGATCAATTAAAGACTTACACGTGAAGCCTAAAACCATAAAAACCCTAGAAGAAAACCTAGGCAATACCATACAGGACATAGGCATGGGCAAAGACTTCATGACTAACACACCAAAAGCAATGGCAACAAAAGCCAAAATTGACAAATGGGATCGAATTAAAATAAAGAGCTTCTGCACAGCAAAAAAAAAACTATCACCAGAATGAACAGGAAACCTACAGAATGGCAGAAAATTTTTGCAATCTATCCATCTGAGAAAGGGCTAATATCCAGAATCTAGAAGGAACTTAAACAAATTTACAAGATAAAAACAAACAACCCCATCAAAACATGGGCAAAGGATATGAACAGACACTGTTCAAAAGAAAACATTAATGTGGCCAACAAATGTATGAAAAAAAGCTCATCATCATTGGTCATTAGAGAAATGCAAATAAAAGCCACAATGAGATACCATCTCACGCCAGTTAGAATGGCAATCATTAAAAAGTCAGGAAACAACAGATGCTGGAGAGGATGTGGAGAAACAGGAACACTTTTACACTGTTGGTGCGAGTGTAAATTAGTTCAACCATTGTGGAAGACAGTGTGGCGATTCCTCAAGGATCTAGAACTAGAAATACCATTTGACCTAGCAATCACATTACTGGATGTATACACAAAGGATTATAAATCATTCTACTATGAAGACACATGCACATGTATGTTTATTGCAGCACTGTTCACAATAGCAAAGACTTGGAACCAACCCAAATGCCTATCAGTGATAGACTGGATAAAGAAAATGTGTCACATGGATTAAAGATTTAAATGTTAGACCTAAAACCATAAAAACCCTAGAAGAAAACCTAGGCATGACCATTCAGGACATAGGCATGGGCAAGGACTTCATGTCCAAAACACCAAAAGCAATGGCAACAAAAGCCAAAATTGACAAATGGGATCTAATTAAACTAAAGAGCTTCTGCACAGCAAAAGAAACTACCATCAGAGTGAACAGCCAACCTACAAAATGGGAGAAAATTTTTGCAACCTACTCATCTGACAAAGGGCTAATATCCAGAATCTACAATGAACTCCAACAAATTTACAAGAAAAAAACAAACAACCCCATCAAAAAGTGGGTGAAGGACATGAACAGACACTTCTCAAAAGAAGACATTTATGCAGCCAAAAAACACATGAAAAAATGCTCATCATCACTGGCCATCAGAGAAATGCAAATCAAAACCACAATGAGATACCATCTCACACCAGTTAGAATGGCAATCATTAAAAAGTCAGGAAACAACAGGTGCTGGAGAGGATGTGGAGAAATAGGAATACTTTTACACTGTTGGTGGGACTGCAAACTAGTTCATCCATTGTGGAAGTCAGTGTGGCGATTCCTCAGGGATCTAGAACTAGAAATACCATTTGACCCAGCCATCCCATTACTGGGTATATACCCAAATGACTATAAATCATGCTGCTATAAAGACACATGCACACGTATGTTTATTGCAGCATAATTCACAATAGCAAAGACTTGGAACCAACCCAAATGTCCAACAATGATAGACTGGATTAAGAAAATGTGGCACATATACACCATGGAATACTATGCAGCCATAAAAAATGATGAGTTCATGTCCTTTGTAGGGACATGGATGAAATTGGAAATCATCATTCTCAGTAAACTATCGCAAGAACAAAAAACCAAACACCGCATATTCTCACTCATAGGTGGGAATTGAACAATGAGATCACATGGACACAGGAAGGGGAATATCACACTCTGGGGACTGTTGTGGGGTGGGGGGAGGGGGGAGGGATAGCATTGGGAGATATACCTAATGCTAGATGACGAGTTAGTGGGTGCAGCGCACCAGCATGGCACATGTATACATATGTAACTAACCTGCACAATGTGCACATGTACCCTAAAACTTAAAGTATAATAAAAAAAAAAAAAAAGAAAATGTGTCACATATACACCATGGAATACTATGCAGCCATAAAAAAGGATGAGTTCATGTCCTTTGCAGGGTCTTGGATGAACCTGGAAACCATCATTCTCAGCAAACAAACACAGGAACAGAAAACCAAACACTACATATTCTTACTCATAAGTAGGAGTTGAACAATGAGAACACATGCACACAGGGAGGGGAACATCACACACTGCAGCCTGTTGGGGGTTGAGGGGCTAGCGGAGGAACAGCATTAGAAGAAAAGCCTAATGCAGATTACAGGTTGATGGGTGCAGCAAACCACCATGTAACATACTTGCATGTTCTGCACATGTATCCCAGAACTTAAAGTATAATAATAATTTTTTAAAAAAAGAAAATAGAACTCAAATAGCAAGTTGTTTAATGCTTATGATATATTTGTCAGGCGCTGTTCAAACAGTTATTATCTCTAATTCTTATAACAATTTTATAAGTTAGGTCCTGCTTTTCTCATTAGCAGATGAGAAAACCAAGGCTTGGAACCAAATGCCACAGTGCTAATAAGTTACAGTGCCAGTTTAAGTCTTTTTGCTCCAAAGCCCATTCACTTTACATTACACCATGTGACATCTCAATAGAAATCAATTTTTTAAAAAATCAGCCTCAAGTTATTTTTAGTACTAATGTAGTCATTGATATCATTGAATGACATATTCACGATGGCTTCAAAGGGCAACCTTGAAGAACACACAAATAAACTATGAAAGTCATATCATAGAAGTAACATTTCTTCACGATTAGCATGCCTTAGTATGTGTGTATATATATACACATATATATGTGTGTGTATATATACACACACATATATGTGTGTGTATATATATACACATGTGTATATATGTGTACATATATATACACACATATATATACACATGTGTATATATATATACACACATACTAAGTAAACATATATATTACTATTAGTTCAGTGTTACATGAATATAAAAATATTTATGTATGGTTGAGAATATAAAATGATATCTATTTGTACCCTTTCTTTGCTCAATGGAGCTGGTAGACAAGATAAGTGAACAGTAATCAAATGTGTCATTCAACTAAGAAAGACAAGTAAATATTCTCATTCTGTTCAAATAATGTGCTATCACTGTGAAAGAAGAGACAGAAACAGCTGTGAGTTTGGGGGGATAAAATAATTTTGTAAAATATCTAGATAAACTCTGATAATGTTTCTCCAAAATGGGTTAAATCATTTCTTCTATCTGGAGGTAATACCTATTCATTATCCAAGGAAAATCTTAAAGATGCTCCAATATGATTTTCTTTCTTTTATCATTACTCAATTACTTCACGTATGTCACTACACATCTCAGTAAATGAATTTTTATTAAATGTTCATTTCAAAGTGGCATATTTGCTTAAGAATTACCAAAACAATATAAATAAAGTTATATCCTATTAGACAAAAAGCAAACTTCTCAGACCATGTGTGTATTGTGATTTTCATTTTTACTAATTCTCCTCCTATATGCTGACTACTTCCTTCTTGTTGCCTTAGGAACTACTCCCAAACAACAGAGGTGGGAAAATAAAAACTGAATTCTAACCTGGGGTGTCTGGATCATATAATGACTCTATAAGTTGCTAAATAATTGCACAAAAGATTTTACCCAGAACTTTCAGATTGAGATAAGAAATAGAAATATATCATCAACTCATCAGTAGGGTATTAAAATACATAAGAAAATATATAATTAATAAGCTGTTTAGAGATTACTAAAACAGGAGCAGACAGTAAAAGAAAGAAGAGCTCTAACTAGGTTTCATAACAACATGAAAATGGCTACTTTTTTATTTCTATTTTTCTAGAGATAGGGTCTTGCTTTGTTGCCCAGGCCAGAGCGCCACGGTACAATCCTAGCTCACTGTAACCTCCAACTCCTGAGCTCCAGCGATCCTCCTCCCTCAGCCTGCACAGTAGCTAGAACTACAGGCATGCACCACCATGCCCATCTAATTTTTAATTTTTTGTTGAGGCAGAGTCTCACTATGTTGTCCAGGCTGGTCTCAAACTCCTTACCTCAAGCAATTCTCCTGCCTTGGCCTCTAAAACCACTGAGATTAGAGGCAGGAAGCATCATGGTTCCTTACTGTCCCCAAATGGCTACATTCTATTATCTGCTTTCCTTTTACAGTATTTAAAGTCTTCACTTATTTTTCAAATAATCCATTTACTAAGTACACTGGCTATAAACGTTATTTTCATTTCTAATTACTCAATAAATATGCTGAATACACTCTTTTTTTTTTTTTTTTTTTGAGACGGAGTCTCGCTGTCGCCCAGGTTGGAGTGCAGTGGCGCGATCTCGGCTCACTGCAGGCTCCGCCTCGCAGGTTCACGCCATTCTCCTGCCTCAGCCTTTTGAGTAGCTGGGACTACAGGTGCCCGCCACCTCGCCCGGCTAATTTTTTGTATTTTTTAGTAGAGATGGGGTTTCACCGTGTTAGCCAGGATGGTCTCGATCTCCTGACCTTGTGATCCGCCCACCTCGGCCTCCCAAAGTGCTGGGATTACAGGCGTGAGCCACCGCGCCCAGCCTGAATACACTCTTATTTGTCCTTTGGAGTAGGCTGTGCACTCTATTAATTGATTTGAGTTTCATAGTTGCTATTTTTAAAAGTCAATCCATCATTTATTCATATTGATTTTTATATCATCTGTAATTATTCAACTATATTGATTTTTATAACACCTGTAATTTTTTAATCCTAAAGTGTATGTGGGAAAGAAACACACACAGAGGGAAAGAAAGTGAGACAAGCAAAGGAGCACATAAAGTAAAAAGAGAATAAATTATAAGATTATGGTTAAAGCAATAGAAAATTGCAGGATAGAAAACATATAAAAGGTAGAAAACAAAAAGTACCTATTTAAAATGTATAACCACTGAAAAATATTTTGAAAAATGTTTGAAATGCTTAAGAATCTTCAATGAGTTTGTTGCACGTAGCATAATGCCAAAATTCTTAGCATTGTTAATATCCTTCATGCCTAGCCACACATTCTTCCCCAAAATCACTTATGGTTCAGCCAAACTAGGATACTTGTAATCTGGACATAAAATTCATTTTTTAAAATTTTGACTCATCATTTGTTTTGTTCCTTTTGCCTCTCTTTTCTCTTATTTCCATCTCACAATCACACAAATCCCTTACGTGCTTCCTCAAATGCTAACCTCTCTATTCAAACATCTAGTTTGGGCCAGGTACTGTGGCTCATACCTATAATTACAGCACTTTGGGAGACTCACGCCTATAATCACAGCATTTTGGGAGGCCAAGGTGGGTGGATCACCTGAGTTCAGGAGTTTGAGACTAGTCTGGTCAACATGGTGAAACCCCATACAAAAAAATTAGCCAGGTATGGTGGTGCATGCCTGTAGTCTCAGCTACTTGGGAGGCTGAGGCAGGAGAATCACTTGAACCCCAGAGGTGGAGAGTGCAGTGAGCTGAGATCATGCCACTGTACTCCAGCCTGAGTGACAGAGTGAGACTCCGTCTCAAAAAAAAAAAAAAATTCTTGTTTGTCTCTTTCTCTATTACTTTGCACATCAATGCCAGTTTGCACTCTCTTAGGGTATATGCAGTGCATGTTAAGTATATGCAAATATCTGCAGTGCGTGTTAAGTATTAACAAAATATATGCAGTATCTGTGTATGTACCAACTATTGAATCTAAATATACAGAATATTTATGTATGTGTCATCTAAATGTATATGCAATATTTGTGTACCTATCATATATATGCACAATATATAATACTGCATAAATTGTGCATATTGATTATTTTGTGTACATATCATCTTTCTCGAGGTATGCTTCCCGGTGTGCAAGAACTCTGTCTCCTTAGTTTAAGCCTTCCTTAGAATATGAAGGGATCCACACATGTTTAGGAAACTTAGTTGCTTTATGATTATGCAATGTATCTATGTAAACTCCATCCAATAAAATAGGAAGTAGTAGTGCTTTGAGTAATGTCTTATCTTTCTTTTTATCAATAGTCATTAAATTGACAGGACTACTCGACCAATAAATTTATTTTCATATTTTTCTATAGTTAATATATAGGATATATGTTATTCTAAATTTCACATAAAGTAATTTTGGAAAGTGGAGGGAGAACAAAGCACAGTGTGCCCAGTGAAGCCAGAATCATGCAGTGCACATCAAGGATTTTCATAACTTCTAAAACAACAACAACAAAAAAAGGGAAAAATGAAAAGAAAAAGATCTATACTTCACTAAGGCAGGCCCATTTCAGTAAATGACACCGCTATACATAGACCGTTCAAAGAAGGAAATTGAGAATAAACACTTCTTTTTTTCACCTCACATTTTCTTCATAGCATGGTACCTTCTGATTATTCTAAATCCAAAGATGTCTCTGATCCGTCCACTTTTCTCCATCTCTACTGCTGCGATCAGAGTTCAAGCTACCATTCTTTCTCAGTGGATAACTTAGCAGTCTCTTAGCTGATCTCAAGTGTCAACTCTAAAAACTTTCAATCCATTTTCTATGTTTCAGCTAGAATGATCTTTTTAAAGCAAGAGGAAAAAAACAACCAAGTTATTTTCCTGCTTAAAATCCTTCAATGACTTGCACTTGAAATAAAATCCAAATACAAGTCCCTGACTATCTTTTCACCTCCTCTCCACTGGCACCCCTCTTCTCCACCACAGTCTGCACCCCCTCCCTGGCTCTGTACCCTGCTTACTGTGTTTTAGCCACACGGGCCATTTTCCATTGCTGGGGTGATCAAGCTTTGCTTTTCACGTTGCTTCTTCTGACTCAAATACCCTATGATGTCTTTTCCCTATCATCCCTGAAAAAGACATACTATCAAATGGCTAAATTCTAATATTTACTTTTTTAAACTATTTAAATTCTTTACTTCTTCCAATAATCACCCAGTTCACTGGTTATAAATAGCTCCGTTTCCAATTAGCCAACAAATACAGCAAATGACTCTCTTGTTCATTTTCTTTCCAGTATGTTACACTTCCTATTAATTCATTTCAGAGAGATTCATAGCTACTATTTTTAAAGCTCAGATGTCTCTTATGTGACAGGGGAGGTTGGCCCACGCAGAAGGTTGCTCAGCTGAGTGGCCATGGGGTGCAGAAATGCACCCTGTGCACTGTGTGCCTCGACAAGCTGCACCCTCTGGTCTAGGGCTGCATTTTCCCAGAGGAATCCACAGCCTCATGCAAATTCACAGGAAGGCTCTTGATGGACCAATAGCAGAGCCCTCCTCCCCCAGTTCCCTGCCAGGACAGAGTTTATTCCCATGACTGGATATATGCCGTCATTTAAGACTCACTTTAAAAGTCAGCTCTTCAGAGAGTTCTTCCCGGGAGGACTCTGAGGAAAATAACTGAAACATGTTGCCCCGATAATGTGCTGTAGCAGTCACAGGTTTTGGAAAGTTTCAGTTTTGGAAATCTCTTTTAATTTACTAAAATTGTAATATCTTCTACCTTAAGAATAGTGTCTTACAGAGAACAAATGACATCAAATGGCCAAAATCTTGCCCATCTCTCCTCTCACCTCAGCCCATCATAAAAGAAGCTGCTATGATGTGGGCAAAGGATATACTAAAGCCTTTCCCCAGCTGGATGAGAACTTGACCTCCCGTTAACACTTCACCTCATTCTCCCAGAAACCAGACACAAATTGCACTGTTACATACGTCAGTGTTCAACATTGCTTATTAAAAACAATATTTACAAAGACTGCGGATTAGTAAATTGCATTTAGATTCAGGAGGATCTGTAAATGGGTACTCAGACAGGGTAGTCAGTCAAATGGGTAGGGCCTGCCTGAGGCTGGCGGCTTTTGTAACTCTGCATATCCTTTGTGGAGATGTTGACTCCAAGATGTGTTAGTTTGCTTGCTGTGCTGTAAGAAAGTACTATAATTTATTTTCTCACAGCTCTGGAGGCCAGAAGTCTAAGATCATGATGTTGAAAAGGTTATTTCTTCTGAAGCCTCTGTCCTTGGCATCTAGATAGCTGTCTTCTCCTCCTTGTGTTTTTACATGATCTTTGTGTGTTTGTGTGTGTGTGTGTCCTAATCTCTTCTTTAAAAATGCTAGTCATAGCTGGGTGTTGTGGCTCACGCCTATAATCCCGGCACTTTGGGAGGCCAAGGCAGGCAGATCACCTGAGGTCTGGAGTTCGAGACAAGATTGGCCAACATAGTGAAACCTCATCTCTACTAAAAATACAAAATTAGCCGGGCATGGTGGCGAGTGCCTGTAGTCCCAGCTACCTGAGAGGCTGAGGCAGGAGAATCACTGGAACCCAGGAGGCAGAGGTTGCAGTGAGCCGAGATCGCACCACTGTGCTCCAGCCCAGGCGACAGAGTGAGACTCTGTCTCAAAAACAAAACAAACAAAAAACACAAAAAAGCAAACAAAAAACAATGCTAGTTATATTGAATTAGGGTCCATCCACATGACCTCACCCTACCTTAATTATTCTTTAAAGGCCCTATCTACAAATACAGTCACATTCTGAGGTACTGGGGATTCTGAGGTCTTTACCATACAAGTTTTGGGGATACAGCTCTGCCCATAAAACTAGACCTACAGACATACTGGCTGCTTTGAGATGTGATGCTTCTAAGCCAGAATATCTGATACCACCCAATGGAGTGTTGCTTCTGAGCTGGGCTACATGGATGGCTACAAAACTTTTGGGGCTGAGCAGGAACTTCCAATACTGCCCTGTTCAGAAGCTTTGTTTCCTGTCCTACATCTTTTTTGCTTTGAGAAAGTATCTCACTTTGACAGCCAGGCTGGAGTGCATTGGTGTAACCTCGGCTCACTGCAACGTGTGCCTTCCAGGCTCAAGCAATCCTCCCACATAGCTGGGACCACAGACACGTGCCACCACCCGGCTAATTTTTTTTTTTTTTTTGTATTTTTGATAGAGACGAAGTTTCACCATGTTGCCTGGGCTGCTCTCGAACTCCTGAGCTCAACCGATCCCCCTGCCTCAGCCTCCCAAAGTGCTGGGATTATAGGCATAAGCCACCGCACCTAGCCTCCTGCCCTACATCTTTTGAGTTGACTGGTGCCTAGCAGTGTTGTTCATGAAATACCTTCCATTAGAACTGTTATGTTCTTCAAGTCATTAAGAGGAACTGAATAACCTGTATGTACTCATACATTACCCTTCCTGAAAACATTCTCCCTCCCAGTTTATGTCACGTGAAATTATATTTTTATGATACTATTTAATTCCTGCAATAGTCACTAAAAAGTGGGCTACCATTTTATATAATGTATATTCTTTTTAGGATATTATAGGTCCTTAAAGCAGAATGAAAAAAAAATCACTCATGTGAATATTCAGCCATAACCTTCACTTTGAAAATCTGAGGTTATGCTTCTTCCGTGAGGTTATAACTCTGAAAAATCTGAAGTCCAAACACTGACTTTGATCTTTACGGCAACAGCATGCTTTGGCTATGAGTTGTTGTTGTGGTTGTCGTTTCCTTTAATTAATTCACCTTTACCACATAAACACCAAGTTAATTGTTTATGTCTTAATAAATGATGAGAGATAAACTGGGGCAAGGCCTGGTACTAATGTGTGTTATTGCTTTTCATTATTTGACGATAAGAAAAAGGAAAAGAATCTGAAGAATAAAGGAATAGAAAAGTTATTTAATAATCACCATGCACATATGTAAAATATAGTTTAACTGGTAGGCAGAAATGCCTCATTTTCAGTGCATGTAGTAGTCCATTTTCATACTGCTATAAACAATTTCCCAGCAGGGCGTGGTGTCTCATGCCTGTAATCCCAGCAATTTGGAAGACCAAGGTGGACAGATCCTGACTTGAGGTCAGGAGTTCAAAACCAGCCTGGCCAACATGGTGCAAGCCCCTCTGTACAAAAAATAGAAAAATTAGCCGGGTTTGGTGGAATGCCGGTAGTCCCAGCTATTCTGGAGGTTGAGGCACCAGAATAACTTGAACTCGGAAAGCGGAGGAGGTTGCAGTGAGCACAGATCACACCACTACACTCTAGACTGGGTGACAGAGCGAGACTCTGTCTCAAAAAAAAAAAAAAAAAAACCACCAAAGAAACTTCCAGGGACTGGGTAATTTATAAAGGGAAGAGGTTTAACTGACTCACAGTTCCATATGGCTGGGGAAGACTCAGGAAACTTACAATCATGGCGAAAGGTGAAGGGGAGACAGGCAACACCTTCACAAGGTGGCAGGAGAGAGAATGACCGAAGGAGGCATTGTTAAAAACTTATAAAGCCATCAGATCTCATGATAACTCACTCACTATCATGAGAACAGCATGGGGAAACTGCCCCCATGATCCAGTTACCTCCATCTGATCTCTCCCTTGACACGTGGGGATTATTACAATTCAAGATGAGATTTTGGGTGGAGACACAGCCAAACCATATCAGTGCAGTTATATCAGGAAGACAGAGTAACTAGAGGTATGAATGCAGGCATGGGAGCTGCCAACTTAGATTGTGGAATGTGGGGGAAGAGGTGCAGATGATGGAGGCTGACTTCCTGCATTCCAAGTCCTGCTTTGTCATTCACAGTAATGTGATATTGGTTGAGGTACTTATCAACTCCAACTCTCAGTTTTCCTTTCTGTCAAATGAAGACAATAGAATAAAGAGTTGTTGTGATGACCAAATAATATAATGCCTGCAAAGCTGTTCCTCAGACTCCTTAAATATAGTCATTATTCTTACCACGACTTCTGAAATTAAACCTCTGAAAAGCTTGTGATTATTATCAGAGAGGGTGTTGTAGCACAAAACTACACATTCTGTGTTTTAGTATCTCCTAAATTAATGGACATTTCTCTTTCACAAATCAATTGCCCTTTCTAGCCCCAACATTTAGTTACATCACAATAACTAAAATCTTAGTTGGATTTTGGTGATGAGATTGCCATATGAGTTGTGTATGTATTAGTCAAAATGACTAATATCTGCTTAGGTATCTTTCTATCCTGAAATATTATCAAGGCCTTTAAAAAAAACCCAAAAGTGAAACTTAAAGCTCTGTTCTATCTTCCAACATCAAACACAAAGTATTAAAAAAAGAGAAGTCAGAGTTATTGCAATATATCAAAGAAAGTGTCAAACTACATCACTATGACATTTATTTTTATATAGTTGAAGCATCTTACCCAAAAGATTAGGCTTCTATCATTAACCACAGATTATAGAAATGAAAGAGACCTTAGAAGTTGTCTAAAATAACTTTCAGCTGTGGCAGGAATCTCTTTAAACATCACAATAGGTGAAGCCTCTGGTTGAATATCTCTGGTAACAGTCCTCTTCTTCCTCCAGCTAACGTTAGACTGGGGCTCTCAGACTGGGAGACTGTTCTCTCTTAGGGCAAATCCCAGCTACTTGGGTCTTTAGAATCCAATCTCATTGTTTACTTCTTCAGTCCTACACGACAAGTCAACTACTTCTTCCCATTTACTTATCCTCCAAGTATTAGGTTCAAGCTGGGGCTAGGAATAACATACCAAGAAAACACTGATGCAATTCCCAAACATAAACTAACTTAAGAGAGGAACATTTTCACTGATTTCTGAAGTTTATACATGCCATTCTGTTTGCTAAATTGTTATCCTCAAAGAATATTTCAAGAGATTTCATCAGTTCATGATGTTTGGGGTATGATATACTATCATATCCTTAGTACAAAAGTGTAGTTTTACACATGTTTAAAAACATCACAAAAATTACATGACATCGAAAATATTTGTAGGCATAACTAGGTTTACTATTGATGCAGCTGATATGTCTCTTTATGTTTTGGCCTGTAATTGACAAGGTAAAAGATAAGAGGCATCCTCATCTTCTTGACCGTCACCATCACCATTACCATCATCACCATCATCATTATTATGTCACCATCACCATTACCATCATCACCATCACCAGCTTCATCAACATCACCATCACCAGCATCGCCATTGTTACCACCACCACCACCACCTCCACCATCATTACCATATCACCATCACCATCATCACCATCACCATCTTGATCAACATTACCAACACTAGCATCACCATTGTTACCACCACCAGCACCATCATCATCATCATCCGCACTGGATAGTCTCAAGTGTCTATATGCCAATCTATGTATAAAGGAAACAGTTAAATAAATTTTAAAAACTTTAGGCTGAGGCAGGAGAATCTCTTGAACTTGGGAGATGGAGATTACAGTGAGCAGAGATTTTGCCACTGCACTCCAGCCTGGCAACAGAGCAAGACTCCTTCTCAAAAAACAAAACAAAACAAAACAAAACAAACAAAAAACTTTAGCAAGACCATCTTGATATTTGGAGCTTTTAGTCTTTTTAATACATCTTCAAATGGTACCTGGAAACTTTTCGTGGATTTCACCAAATTAAAAATAAGGCTCAAAGGCTTAAAACTAATTAGGGTTGGCTTGTATATGGCAGACACTTTCCAGACCGTTGCTAATAGAGTTCTCACCAAATGTGAAAAAAATATATTTCAGAAAGTATAAGGAGGTATTTACTTAAAAAGCACCAATAAAACAGAATCATTGGATTTGGCCTCAGAAATGTTTCTTTTTTTTTTTTTTTTTTTTGAGACGGAGTCTCGCTCTGTTGCCCAGGCCGGACTGCGGACTGCAGTGGCGCAATCTCGGCTCACTGCAAGCTCCGCTTCCCGGGTTCACGCCATTCTCCTGCCTCAGCCTCCCGAGTAGCTGGGACTACAGGCGCCCGCCACCGCGCCCGGCTAATTTTTTTGTATTTTTAGTAGAGACGGGGTTTCACCTTGTTAGCCAGGATGGTCTCGATCTCCTGACCTCATGATCCACCCGCCTCGGCCTCCCAAAGTGCTGGGATTACAGGCGTGAGCCACCGCGCCCGGCCAGAAATGTTTCTTATTTCATATTTTATGTCACAACAGCAACTTGAAAACCTTACTAAAAATAAATATAATTTTTGCTCCATTTACAGGCCACATATGGTCATATATAGTTATTTCTACATTTGATAATAATTTTATTACCAAACTGAATTCTTCATATTTACATGGATTTTATCATAGATTTTATAATGACTCATTACAATTACTTCTTTGCTCTAAGCAGGTAAGCAACAACTTTCGCTGAATTTTGTTTTAACAAGACTTCTTTTGGTTGGAGTGTGCTATACATGACACAACATTTTTGCCCATATGCATACCATCTTCTAAATTATTATACATGCCTTTGGTACTCAGAAGTCTTGTGGGCCTGGTTAAACCTCATTCAAGACAACCAACAGCTAATGGGTCCCCGTACCTAAAAATAGTCTTTCTTAATGAATTCTGCATATAGAATCAACTAAGAAGATCTTTACAAATATCATTGCACTACTCCCCCAAATTCTGATTTAATATATTTGAAATGGGGACTATGTACCAGGAGGTTTTAAAAGTTTGTCAGGTAATTATACAGCCAGAATTGAGAACAACTTATGTAATCCTTTGAAGATTAACTTTAGAGACAAGAAAAATGAGGTACAACGAGATAGAATATCTTTCCCTGGGACACAAACTATTGGTAGAGCCATGTCTGGAACCCAGGAGTTCTGATTCCTACTCCAATGCTCTGTTCAGAATGGCTTGTCCCCTTCTCTAACATGGGGAAGTAAATACAGAGACCCAGTGTACTACAATCAAACATCTAACAAACCATGATAGAGGCATGAATTGCATAAATTGAGGTAATTCACCTTATTTCTATTCAAATGTAAAAAATTAATGTAGATTATGTACAAATTCAACAAATGTGAACATGTTTGAAATAACGCACCATCTTGGAGGCAAAGAAAGATATAAACAAGCAATTGGTTTGTAAAAGCTCAGATTTTAAGGAAGATCAACATCAATACTTGCTTTGTAGGACACAATAAAAACACTGGTAGGAAGGTGAATCTGATTATATCAAAATAGATGTATATTGATAATACGAATTATTTACTATGACCTTTATTTCAGATCAGATGATTTGGCTTATTCTTCTTATGTGTTTGTTTACCAAGCTTTAATTGCTAGGAGAATATTATTTATTGATGGGAGAATATATTTAATAACATCATATACAATTTTTTTTTTTTTGAGACAGAGTCTTGCTCTGTCACCCAGGCTGGAGTGCAGCAATGTGATCTCGGCTCACTGCAACCTCCGCCTCCTGGGTTCAAGCGATTCTCCTGCCTCAGCCTCCAGAGTATCTGGGATTACAGGCATGCGCCACCACGCCTGGCTACTTATTGTATTTTTTTAGTAGAGACGGGGTTTCACCATGTCTCAAACTCCTCACCTCGTGATCCACCTGCCTCAGCCTCCCAAAGTGCTGGGATTACAGGCGTGAGCCTCCATGCCCGGACAAAAATGTCATATATAATTTTTAAAGGTAATTTTCACCTTTTACCATAATCCTCTATTTTCATGCTCAAGCCATATTACGAACACATAATATTTGCATTTATAAGGAAAATGTATTTTGGGTCTTTTATGATGACATGAGACTGTTTATTTAATTTTGTTTATCTTATTCTAGTTTGTGAATTTTTAACAGAATTTATTTTTTTAATGCAGTGGATTCTTGTTTGTATACATGCTATTTTTTTTCTCCTTCTCTGAAGCTTTATGTTATTCTTGCATCCCACTGATCTACCTGCAGTTGCATGTAACACACTGATCACTCCTATGAAGCAGCATGTGCTCATTAGCAATAAGAAAACTAGTGGAATATATCTGTGTTGGCAACATTTTTCTTGACAATGATTTATTTTCATAAGAGATTCAAAAAATGAGTATCACTAGAAGATGATGTTTAAGTATGTGTGCCCATGGGTATTTGAATTTTTTTCTTTTATACATTAGTATCACAATTAATACCCTTGATATACTTTCAGGCACCAGGATTCCAATTCCCATTCATAATATACATCTCATAAAATAGTAAAACAGTGCTACCATTCTATACTTAAATTATGTTTGTAAAGGAAATATATTTGCATTTTTAACTTGCCACATGGGTCATTCTCTCAATCACAAAATTACATAGTAAGTCATTGAATGTGTTTCTCTCCCAAAGACACTGATAAGTCTTTTGAGAACAGCTATGATGTGGTGGGAAAAGAAGAGGAGTTGGAATTAAAATAAAATAGTGGTTTCTGCTTCTAGTGTACTTCTTATTAACTGTGTGGCAACGGACAATTAACTTTCTACTTCTCTGAGTTTCAGTTTCCACTTTAATAAAGTTGTAAGAGCTATTCCTTGATGATAGATTTATCTATCATCTCATAATATCGTAATTGGTTGCTGGGGGAATTAACTGAGAGAAAGTATATAAAATATACAGTGGCCAGTAAAATCCAGTACAAATTAAGCATAAAATAAAGATGGCACAATCAATGAAGAGATAATCAAAGGTTACAGAAAACTTAGAAACACAAATCATTAATGCCTTAAAATGTTAAAGTTGTTTGGAATTGTATTTTGAAAAACTCTGAAGACATATAGTCCAGATTTTCCTTAACCTCTTTGGAATCCTCTTTGGCAGCAAAAGCTAGACTGCACAGGTTGATAAGGCGAGCACCTGAATATTAATTAATCCTCTACATGAAGCTCAATATAAGTCATGTTCCTTGATGACCTATCAATATAAACTAGAGCATATGTATTTCATCTTTTCCTGGAAGATGAATTCTGGAAGAGCCTAACTAATAATATAGCAAACATTTACATAACACTCTACGGTTTACAGAACAACTACACAGTAATTATGAGAAGATTGAAAACTCAATCATTTGGAAACCTATAAATATTCCTAGCCATTTCTCCAAGTACTTGAACAAAATTTGATTGTTGGGACATTAACTGAAAATAGAAATACCTAGCTCATCTATTTTGCAGGGGACTGAGGATCAAACGAGAAAAAATCTATTATTAGTATAGTAATAAGGGTAAGGTAATGCTCCATATTTGTATTGAGTTCTAGCTTTTGATAGTAAACTTGAAAAGTAGTAAACTTGAAAAGGTGACTAATAAAGTATATTAAAATCTTTAATTAAAAACCATAATTTTCAATTTCAGATGGTTTTTACTTTCTGGATTATGAACACTTTTTTTAAAAAATCCATAAAATACATCCTAATGAAAATTTACAGTTATTTCTATTTATCTTAAGTATGACTATATCTGAGATTTAGTCCTATAAATATTTTGATTAAATGTATAAGCAAATAATTTTAGAGATGGGAACATCTAAATAGTGGATTACCCCACTAACTTTATTTTTACCATTCATCGTATCTCATAGCTCCAGGTGGTCTGTTTTTTGTTTGAAACAGAAATTCAAAAGCAATGAACACGAGTAAAAATACTTTTATACTTCTCAAGAGTAAGTCAGTCCCATGTCAAAAGTTATTCATTGGCCATATGCTCATCATCTTGTTTTATGCTCCAGATAATCAACTCCCTGTTGATCCTTCACTATCACTAGATCCTCTCGTAAACTTCCATTCCCTGAAGTTCCTTATGCTGCATAAAGTTAAATTCTGTACTCAATTTCAGTGAGTGAAATTCTGTCTAATAATTAATATGAGTAGATCAGGCATATATATGTGATTTTTGTAACTGAAAAAAATTACTCCTATATTTTCTAATTTATACCCTATGTTTTTTAAATAGACACGTGTACCTGTGTCTGTTTGTTTTTGTGTGTGTGCCTGTATGTTGTTTGCCTTTAACGAACCATCTTTGGAATTTTTTAAAATAAGCAATTTCCATTGAGGCTTACATTTCTGAATTTATACCTACAGATGGCTCTCAACAGATGCTTGTTAACCTGGAAGATTTTGCTTGATTGGTTTTCAAAGTTTAACGTAAAGAAACCTTTCCTTTCTATGATCTGTACATAATAAATACATGAGTATACTTCCTAGAAATATACAAGCAACTAATATGCAAAGTGTTGAAGACTTGTAGGGAAATAAGAAACTTTAGGTTACTTTGAAGAAATCGTTTCTGAGAAAAGGAACTATAATTCAAGCTTTGTTAAATACCATTTGCTTGTTTCTTTAGAACCTTATCTAACATAGATTACTTTTATTTACCTACTATCTACACAGTAGGATGAAGGTAAACTTTGATTTACAGAGTTATCTATGTTTGTACAGTATATCATAAAAATAATGGAAAGAATCACAGGATAAAGTAATAAACCATAGTTGCTATGTATATCTAAAAATGAGGCATTTGGAATATAAAAATATGGTAAATGTTAATTGACTTTGTTGCACGTAAGGCTAGAGAGGACAGAGTAATGTCTAAAAAGTTAAGAAATTTTGAGAAACATTTCTTATAATTATATAAAATTATAAATGCATTTGAATAGATCCAAATAAATAATCCTGAAATGTATATGAAATCTACAATGTTAGTAAAGTCAGACTGTGCAGATAGTTCACCAGGGCAAGGTGGGAAATGTACATAAAACTTTCACCAGGACATTTTCACTAGAAGTGATTTATCTGGCTCTGTGCTGCCAGACATGTCTTCTAAATGGCATGACTACTTTATTCTCCATGGTCACCTATTGCAGTATTGCACAAAATAGGGTGTTCAACATTGATTATCTTTAATTTGTTCCTGGATATAGAGTTTTGTCTAAAGCCAGCAGAATTTAAACATGGTCGTGCTTAATTACTCAGCATAGCTTAAAAACTCATTCTTGACATCTCAATATTTACTAATTCCTTTTGCAGGATTATGTCAGAAGTCTGAAAAGCTGATGTACTTGATTACTTGTTAGCCACTGCTTTTAAACATCTTAAATGAAAAGAAAAACAGCCAGAAAATATATTCAAATGAGAATGCAAAATTATCTATAGCCACAAGATCTTTTTAAATTAATCTTTCTGCCTTGTGATCTTGTTTGAAACTTGACATTTTTCTCTCTCTCTGCAGCTATTTTTCTCTTTTTCCTAGTGAATGACCATGTTTGGAGGTTTCCTCGTGACCCCCTTAGACTACTGACATTACTTTATTTTATAAATGAGTGAATAAATAAATAAATGTCCCCTCTTTTATTCTTTATTTAATAGTTTTTTCAGAGATGTACCAGGAAGCAATGATACTGTAATATCCTCCTTACATTAATGCTCTAGAAGTTTCTGGCATCCTATGAAGGTCCATAGTTCTACTGTCATCCCATTACTGCTAATTTCACAGATAATATTGATTTCCCTTTAAGCAATCAGTCTAACCACTTGGCTCTTCAGTTTTGTCATCTTATCTCAAGCAATCCTCTCCCACTGTGTCCCTTCCTTCCATACCCAGAGTGGCATGCTAGATATTGTCTCCATGGAAAGCGTCACAAATTCTAACACCACTCTCTGATCATAGTATAATACATTTTACTACAAAGTTTTATTTTAAAATTATTAAGTAGAGTTACAAATATGTTCGTATTTTCTCCCAACTATGGTATATCTTCTTGTTACATTGTACGACTTCGTTGATGCTCTTATCCCTAGTGCCCATGAACAAACTTAATCAAGTTCTGCTGTGCCCTGTTTTCCCACTTCACTTTTACCACTTATCTATTATTTTAACTCCTTGAATTAGTCATGAGTTTTCTTGTATTCACAGATATTTACATACTATTTCTTTTTTCTAGAACATCTTTGCCTCAATCTTTACTGACTTGTCGTTACAAGTGCTACACAAAGTCAAGCATAGCACTCTGATCATATTCTGGTATCCTTCCAACTCACTTGCTAAGCAATCACATTTATCTATTATTTAAACTGATGATTACCAGCTTCTATGGGGCATCCTACATTACCCGTCAGTGTTACCTACTTTTACCAGTTAACATGTGCTCTTAGTTTCCCTTAATACCTATTATAAACTTTTCTTGACTCTTCTAAGATCTTGGATCTAACCTTCCTATTATATACTTTTCTTGACTCTTCTAAGATCTTGGATCTAATCTCCCTACCCTTATTCTCATTGAATGATGTTGCTTCATTCCATCAGCAAAATGGTTTCTCTGTACTGCCAATGAGTATTCACCACCAACCACACTGCTTATAATTGCCCTCTCTTTCTTTCCTCCACTAAAACAAAGCCTACATTTCTTCTGTATTATTTTTCCAAAATATATTCTAATTTTGGAAAAACCATGCTGAAGTTTCAGAGATGAAGGGTCATGATTCCTGTAACTTATTTCCAAGTGGATTAAGAAAAAATATACACATATACATAAAGGTATTCATATACATGCACATCTATATAAATCAAATGTGGCAAAATGCAACCAATTAGTGAATATCTATGGTGGTTACATAAGAGACCACTGCTCTATGTTTTCATCTATTCTCAATTTGAAAAATTTCAAACTAAAATTAAAAATAGAAAAAAACAGCAGAAGCATCCCTCTTTGTGACAAAAGCCTGGCTTTCCATATTGTCTCTAAATCTTCCTTTATCAAAGATTCAAGGATGTCCCTCCATTGATTATTACATCTTTCACCTGCATTTAAACATACCTCTCAATACTAGATCCTTCCCCTTAATGTTCAAACGTGCATTAAGGCATTATATATATACATGTGTATGTGTGTGAGTGTGTGTGTGTGTATGTGTGTGTGTGTGTGTGTCTATATATATATATAATCTCCAATACTTTGAACAAGCTCTAAAGCTTTTAAAAATACCACTCCCCAGCCTATGTGCCCTCTGTTTCTTTATATATATGTATATATATGCATACCTATTTATGACTATACATGTATTTATAGTATATAAATTTATATATCCCTATAATAGGTATATACACATATATATGAAGTTTGTATTAGTGTTTCTAATCCTCTTCGGGACCACATTTCTCTTAGCTGAAGCAGTTGCTAATGCCACCCATTTTCTTTTCCATTCTCTTAGTTTTTTCGAATGAAACAAAACTTTTCTTGCTACATGGGCTGTCAAAGTTACCTACATTTACCAGTTAACATGTGCTCTTAGTTTCCTTCAATAACTATTATACACATTTCTTCACTATTCTAAGATCTTCTAAGGCCCACAGTTGGCAAATCCAATGGACTTTTATGTGACTCCACAGCTGCATTCAAATTAACAGATGTGTTGAAGCCTGTTTATGCTCCTGGGCCCTATGCTATCGCTCTCTGCTATTTTTTTTTTTCTTTCAGTCCTCTCAGATTATGACTTTTCAGCAATTTTCTTGATTTTCTTTTGGCTTACTACTATATGATAGGTATATTCATCCATGTCCATAACTTGGAATTTCATGCAGGAGTTAACAACATTCACTCTAATATACCTAGTAACAGCCCTCTCCCAAAGGCCACACACGCACACGCACACACACTTATATTTATACACACACACACAACTGCCTATTGATGTATCTTTCAGCACATCTCACAAATATCTCCATGAAGAGAACATCTGTTATCCAAGCCTTCCCCTCCTCCAGTAAATCATTTCTCCCTCAGTGGTATCTTTACTCATCCAGCTGCTAATAACTCACATTGTGGCATCTACTGTGACAACTCCAGTCCATCACAAAGGTCAATGGAGTTCATTTCTAACCTCTACCCATCACTTCTGCCAGCTTCTTAGACCAATCACCATCATTTCTCACCTGTATTACTGCAAATCTCTTCACTGTCTCCTTGCATGTTGTCTTTCCTTCCTCCAATCTACTTTGCACACAAAAGCTAGGGAGATTTTATTTCAACGCATGTATGATTATATTACTTCCTCCCTACCACCCTTCAGCATCTGGCCTTTGACTTTAGGTTAAAATCTAAAGTTCTTAACACATACTACATGATCTGGAGTGATTTTGACCTCACTTAACAAAACTCCAGCCTTGTTCATTATGCTCCAGGCACTGAAACTTCCTTTAAGTTCCTTCAATATGGGAAAGTTTTCAACCCAAAGGTCATAACATGCTGTTCCCACTTTTTAGAAGATTCTCCTCTCTACACTTGACTCCTACTCATGTTTGAAATGTCAGCTTAAGCATCACATCCTCAGAGAAGACTACCTTGATCTTTCATCATGAATGAAACTTTTCTAGTATTATTCTCTGAGTATCTATTCTTTCAAAACATCTAATACATCTTTGTAATTGTGTGTTTATTTGTACGATTATTTCTTTAATGTGTGCCTTTTTACATATCTGCATGTCCTCAAAGGGCTTGGACAATAACCGATTTGCTCACCATTAACCTTCCAGTGCCTAGATACAGTAGGTGCCAGGGATCATCTCATACATTGTACCAGTTGTTCAGTGAAAAGAGTATCTCTTCAAGAGGGTGAATGATGGTTGAATTCCAGTATATGCTCTGTTTGCAGGCACTGTTCCCTGCTGCAAACTGTGTCTTCCTGGAGTTGCGCCTTAATCTAGCTTCCACAAAGTTACCACCTGGACAAAAGCTGGCCCTGATAGGTACTCAACAAATGGTGGCTAAATAAAAAATGAACTTCTATGGCAATTTCCAAAAATAACTGCTTTCTAACCTAAATTGGGTTTTAAGAATCTTTTTTTGTTTTAAAACAACTACTTGAATAGTTTACTGAAGGTGATCAAATAATTTCAGTTGCATTCACATGGTCATTCATATTCCTGTACATTTTTTCTTATTTGTAGAATTTTTAATAGCATATAAAGCTAAATTCTTTGTCTGATTTAGAAATAATTCTATGTTTCATAGCTTTTGCACAGAAAAAAACTTCCATTGAAAAAAATTGCTCATAAAATAGTTAATTGCCCATTTGACACATTACCCCATCTAATCAAGTTATCTACTTGGCACAAATTAGACTTCATAAATTCTATTATATAAATGGACCCTGTTTAACTTTGCCACTTGGTCTGGGCATCTGTCTCATAAAATTCTGTTCATGATCATGAGAATAAGAGAAAGTCTCTGTTGGATCAGTGACTGTCAATTAAAAATACAGCTCATAATATATCCCTCACTACCAGATTGGCAGCACTATTATATTTAAATAAAAGTACAGTAATACATCATCACTTAACATAGCATAAAACTACAGTTTGATATGGAAAAGTCAGGGAAAAGTTTGCTAGCTGTTTTTTTTTTTAATGAGAATAAAATCTGAGTAACCAGGGGAAAATTATGTACTGCGGGAAAGTAGTTCAGCACAAAGGGAAGGGGACTGCATTTGCTTCACTTATATTCCAAAACCCAGATTTTTATCTTTGTTAGAAATTTCTTGAAAAAAATTTCATGACACATAAATTGAGGGGAAGTGCTGCCACGTAAAGATATCAAATATTTGATAGTTATATATCCTAGCAACAGATTTTTAATTGCCTAGGAAAGTGAGCCTAGAGAGGGCCATCTGCTGGTGCTGATTACTTTCTCAGTAGAACCATGCACCTGAGGTGAATCAAATCTGGCCAACAGCATATTGAGGTCAATTTTAAATGAACTTCAGTTTTTCCTAGATGAACCTGAGGTTGCCACAAATGGCCAAGATCATTCCTCCATCTGTTTCTGGTGAAAGTTTGCTGTTCACTGTGGTTGGGACGCAACATGAATCATTTACTAGCAAAACATCATGCTGCAGAGGCCACAATATGCTCAATTAATTTAATGTACCTGAGGAGAAGAACTAGCAAACATAGCTTAGGATCTGATAGCATGTTGATGCAACAATCTAATCATAAAAAACATTTAAAATCTTGTGAGATGCTTTTGGGACAATGAAACTAGATTTAGAAAATTTTTAGAAGATACCTTTTTAAAAGATGAAATGTAGGTTCTTCGTACTAAAAATCAAACCCATCTTTAAAATATCGTTCCTAGTAATAAAAGTATTTTGAATACAAATCAGCTTTATGATAATGGCACTTAAGAGTGAGTCTATGAGAATGGACATACTCTCTGCAATTGATTACAGGGAAACAAGTATCTTGAGGTAAATTGACTTGTCTTCTAACCTTGTATTCATAAATAAATTACTATAACTTTAAAATGCTACTCTTCAGCACACCATGACATTTACTAACAAATATTTAACCATTGGTGTAGGCTGCCTCCCAGAATGAAGAAACAGATTTAGGAAATCAAAAGGAAGATAGAGTGCAGGAAAGAAAAAGTGTGGAGAAAATAATTAGAAAGAGGTAGGACTCACAGTTTGAAATGCATTCTATTTCATAATGCCAGTAATAAAAACAAATCCTAGTCACCACTGAATCATTTGTAGGCTGCATTGCTCCTTCTTCTGAGACTCGATATAGTTTTCTATCTTGCTGTAGGCACATTACCTACAGATAAGCAGTGAGGGTAACTATTGTCTTTCTACTCTTTCAAATTAAAGTTTAGCTGTGATAATTTTCAATTGCTGGAATATGCAATGTTGGGAAGAAATAGAAGATATGTAGGCTGGGGAGTTAGTTATAATAGGAAAGTTATAATAACTAACTAAAAATCAAACCCATCTTATAAATATTGTTCCTAGTAATTAAAAGTGTTTTGAACACAAAGCAGCTTTATGATAATGGCACTTAACAGTGAGTCTATGGGAATGGACATACTCTCTCCAGCTGATTACAGGAAAACAAGTATATAATAAGCATATATATAACAAGTATATAATGGTTAGTTGTAATAGGAAACTTCAGAGCTTGTCCAATTCCAGATCATGATCTTTAAAGCTACCTAGAAAAGCTTCCATCCTTCCCAATGAGATCAACTGAGGCTTCCCCCGCACCCCATGGCACACACTTCCTAAAGTGTCCTTTCTTTTTTATGTGTATCAGTCATGACATTTAAGGGTCATGGCTCCCCAACTTGATTGTGTTTTCCTAGAAGATACAAATAATTGCCTATCTCTCATTTCCATGTCGTTTCACAGTTAATAAACTACAGAGTGGAGTTATGGAAAGATAAAGAGAAGTACAATATACTATATATATATAGTATGTATATATATATATATATATATATATATTATATATATATGTATATTTAAAGTCAAATATCTGCCTAGGTGGAAAAAGCATTTGATCTAAACGCTCTACAGTTTCCTGTAGAAAACATTTTCAGTGTGGAATCAAATCAAAATCACGCAGAAAATGTTTAAATCCATAAAATTTTAAAAAGATAGTTTTTTCCTCAGGCATTTCAAAGGTGAAAGATTCTCCCCCGGGGCCTGAAAGCTTAAGGGAATGGATATCTCCTCCCTCCTCAGGCCCAGCCCCAAGGCTCAAGGCCACTTGCCCCAGGAAGATAGCAGAAACAGGAAGAAAGCTGGCCGAGAGACACATACCCGCTGAAGATCGAAAAGGAAGCTGTCAAGGTACTACGTAGCAGTCACTTCAGACTCGGACACTTCCTGTTTACAGAGGACTATAAAACCCCTGCCCCGTCCTCACTTGACGCTGACGCCATTTTAGGCCTCAGCCCATCTGCACCCAGGCGCTCGTTAAAACAGCCTGTAGCTCCACACCGCCTCCTGTTGTCTGTTGGCACGTTCTCGGGGTTCCAACCGATACAAGAGCCTTGCAAAAGGTAAAAATTATCTTTTGAAGTATGTAAATATTAATTTGGTAAACTTATATGATCACATGTCTGGTTGGGGCTTGCTATTTCATTTAAAAAGCTTACTACTAGATAAGAGCAAAAGGAGAATGGAAAGTAAGAAAGGTTAGAAAATGGAGTAGTGTGGTCAGAATTCTATTTACATTTTATAGTACAGAATTCAAAAAATAAGCGAAGAGTAAAATATCTCAGTAATCTAAACTCTGATCTAATGAGTAATATTAATTTACTTGTCAGAATTACATAATAGGTAAAGATGATTATTAAATACTGCTTGAACATTAAAATATACTTAAACATTCATTCCATAAATAGTAACTAATATTGGCCAACATTTCATAATGCTAGTTTGCATTTTTAAGCTAGTGGCATTAAAATCTGGTAGAAAATATGCTGTAGATATAGATGATTATGTATTGTCTTAAGGTCTTTTCAAGTTACTATAACAAAATGCCATAAACTCAGTAGCTTGTAAACAACAAAATGTTTTTTTCACAGTCAGTTCTGAAGGCTGAACCCCAAATTAAGCTGCTGTGTGATCTGATGTCTGGTGAGGGCTTCTTCTTTCGTTCACGGACCTCACCTTCTCACTGTATCCTCACTTGGTGGAAGCAATGAACAAGCTCCCCGGGCCTATTTTAAAAGGGTACGATGGCCGGGCGCGGTGGCTCACGCCTGTAATGCCAGCACTTTGGAAGCCTGAGGCGGGTGGATCACTTGAAGTCTGGAGTTCAAGACCAGGCTGGCCAACATGGTGAAACCCAGTCTCTACTAAAAATACAAAACTTAGCTGGGCGTGGTGGCAGGCTCCTGTAATCCCAACTACTCAGGAGCCTGAGACAGCAGAATCGCTTGAACCTAGGAGGCGGAGGTTGCAGTGAGCCAAGATTGTGCCACTGCACTCCAGCCTGGACAACAGAGCGAGACTACGTCTCAAAAAAAAAAAAAAGGATACGATTTCCTTATTAATTTAATGACCTAATTACTTTCCCAAAGGCCCTACCTCCTGATATCATCACCATGGGTGTTAGGATTTTGACATATTAATTTTAGGGGCACATAAACTTTCAGACTACAGCCATGCACTCAGAATTATATCAAACATTTACTGACTTAGAGAGAGAAATAATTTTCAAAAAATGTTTCTTCCTCAAGATTCCAGCTTTCCACCAGATCTTTCACAGCTGTATGATATTTCATGTTGTATGTGCCTGGAGAATGGTACTTGCAGTCTCCTTGCTTGGTATTACCGAAGTATGCCTGCCAGTTTTCAGTACTGACTACGTGAGAGGAAGCATATTCATGTACCATGGCTTTGAGACCCAGCAAAAAGAAAATTTCCTTTTGAGAAGCAAAACACCTCACAAATGAGCAAGTCATCATTCAAAAGATAGTATAAAAAATAGTTTTAAAACGAAGAGCCTGGCACAGTAGCTCAAGCCTGTAATCCCAGCACTTTGGGAGGCTGAGGCAGACGGATCACCTGAGGTCAGGAGTTTGAGACCAATCTGACCAACATGGAGAAGCCCCGTCTCTACTACAAATACAAAATTAGCCGGGCGTGGTGGAGCATGCCTGTAGTCCCAGCTACTTGGGAGGCTGAGGCAGGAGAATCGCTTGAACCCAGGAGGCAGAGGTTGTGGTGAGCGGAGATCGCGCCATTGCACACCAGCCTGGGCAACAAGAGCAAAACTCCATCTCAAACAAACAAACAAACAAACAAAAAACAAAGTCAGGGTTTACTCCCTTTACAGGGTTTCATTTTAGTTATGGAAAACGAAAAAAAAAAAAAACTCATGTGATTTTTTATGTAAAATGAGCATGATTTTTATTTAACACACAAGAAGCAGTGAGTAGTAATTTCCTAATTGTAATAAAGTACTCTGAAAATGAAAAAAAAAAAGAAGAAAAACCTCAAAAACCACAACACAATTGCTTTGTGCCAGATAATAAAGAGATAATCTCCTAACATTAGGTTCAATCTTCTTCAAAATCTTCATTTAAATGTTCCCGGGCAGCCTCAGCCGCCTTTTGGCAACGCCTCCTTGAAAGGTCAAGAGGCCTGGTGGCAGAGTATTGTACTTTGATGAGTCTGCAAGCATTGTTTGATGATTAGGTTTAATTCCTAGGTCATGAAAGATCCTCAGGAGCTTTTTGTCAGCATTTGCTACATCTGAATTCAGTTACTGTGAATGTGTGACCATACGTTTTGTATTGTACAAGATGATTAAATTCACAAATGTATCAGCCTGTATGGTCTGTGAGAACAATATCTAGTAGACAAACGATCAAAGCACCGTGACAAACCAGCGTGGCAATTTATGCAAAATTCAGAGTAAACACATCATTCTAAATTAGATCTTAATAATAGTTTTTATGTAAAATGATTTTAAACGTGGCATTTTAGTAATGCTTGCTCTTCAGTGAGTTAACATTGACTTCATCTTTTTTTGTAACTAAATGAAAACAAAACAGAAGTTGCAAATATTTACTGAATATCTTAAAAACATTAAAAAGATATCTGCATGTTAATTCAAATTAAAATCCCTAATACTTAGGCCCTTGGTTTAGGAATATGATCGACTCCAATTTTTGGTTTGTGACTCCAATTTTGATTCATTTCCAATCATTTTCTTTGAGCACAGAGATGCAATATCATAGTTCGTGTAAAGACTTGTAAGAGGCCTTCTTAAAAGCAATGAGGTAAAACAGTAAGCCCTTTTACTACGAGTTTCCGCTCTTCTTTCCAAAATCTCTTCAGATGTCAAAGCTGTATATTAAAGTTTTAGAATAAAGTCTCCACACAACGATGGAAATGGTCAGCACGTTGTTTAGGGGTTGGTGTCAATAAGCGGATGTGAACTCTAGCTATAACTTGAAGGCAATTTTTATGTATAACTTTAGGAATCCATTTCTGTGTGAACAAATTATAGTGATTTAAAACATCCTTTCACTCATTATAATGTTGTAATTCTTTTATCCTTGCTCCAAGTAATCATTTGACTGCTTCCCCAAGACACTTTATAAAGAGTTGCATTTCCGGTCTGGCACGGTGGCTCACGCCTGTAATCCCAGCACTTTGGGAGGCTGATGCGGGCAGACTGCATGAGGCCAAGAGTTCGAGACCAAACTGGGCAGCATGGCAAAACCCCGCCTCTACAAAAAAATACTAAAGCTAGCTTGTCGTCGTGGTGGGTGCCTGTAATCCCAGCTACTTGGGAGGCTGAGCTGGGAGGAGCACTCCAGCCCAAGAGGCAGAGGTTGCAGTGAGCTGACATCTCACTACTGTACTCCAGCCTCAGCGTCAGAGCTCAACCCTGTCTTAGAAAAAAGAAAGAAAAAATTGCATTTCTGAAACTTCTGAGCTATCTTTTCTTCGTTACTCATTCTTACATAAATGAAAGTAAACTCAAATGATGAAACATCAGTAAGGCAAATGGCTTCTCATTCATGAATGCAGTTGTCTCCAGGGAGAAGCTCACATGTGAGTGTGGGCATGACAGCTATGCAATCACCACAGACAACACCTGGAGAAAGCTCAGTCTACATTTACAAACTCCATGGCAATGGTTTTATTATTTTAAAGCTAAACAACGTCTTTGACTCATATTCCCCTGTCTGACAAACATAACACTTCAGTTATGATCTTCAATTAAAAAATATAGGAAATGGTCCGAGTGCAGTGTGGCTCATACCTCTAATCCCAGCACTTTGGGAGGCTGAGGTGGGTGGATCATTTGAGGTCAGGAGTTTGAGACCAGCCTGACCAACAGGGTGAAACCCCGTCTCTACTAAAAATACAAAAATTTAGCCAGGGCTGGTGGTGCCCAACTGTGATCCCAGCTACTCAGGAGGCTGAGGCAGGAGAATCGCTTGAACCCGGGAGGTGGGGGTTGCAGTAAGCTGAGATTTCACCACTGCACTCCAGCCTGGATGACAGAGAGAGACGCAGTTTAAAAACATAGATAGATAGATAGATAGATAGATAGATAGATAGATAGATAGATAGATATAAATTTATATTATAGATTATAGATATATATTTTTATATATACAGATATAAATGTATAAAATATATATATATGGAAAAGGCATGTAGGCATAAGAGGTAGTGTCACAGCCGTCCCCCATGAAGTGTGCTACCCAAGTGTAGGGAGAACAGCAGCAGCATCACGTGGGAGCTTGTTAGAGACTCTCAGACTCTGCCCAGACCTATTGAATCAGAATCCACCTTTTAACAAGATCCCAAGGTGATTCCTAGGCATGTTCACGTTTCACAAACACTGCCCTGGATTTTTCAAAATCTTCTTTCAACAACTCTTGAATTGTTTCAAGTCCCTATCTGCTCCACTTTTCCTTTCTTCTGAAACTGTTTATAAATGTCCAAAACACTCCTCCTGACGTTGATAGCTAATCCTAAGGGACCTACAATACTGAAAGTCTTCATGTGTAAATCTCTGCGTTCATTTTGTTTTTATCTTGCATAAATAATGTTGGAAAATATATTTTATGGTTCTTGCCATATATTGTGAGCTAGCTGTCTAAAAATGGTTTAGCAAATTACAATTCATCAGGATACGAGTATTCCTCTATTCCTGCCATCACGGAAAAAAATCTTTTTAAAACTTGTTTTTTAAAACAAACTTTATCTCGTGGTTTTATTTTGCTTTTCTTTACTGATGAGTTGGAGCTATTTGAAACAAGCTTAGAATATATATTTTCTTTTTCATGACTTTATTTCTCTTAGCCATTTCCTTCTAAGATCTTACTTTTTTATTATTTTGCATTATCAATCTATGTCATCTATATAGATAGAATGGTAACCAGATGTCAAACTCTTTTTGGCATAGTCACCTAAAATTCATGCTCATGTGAAAGAATTGTCTCTAATATCACTGGATGTGTTCTTTAGGTAGTTTCCAAAGTTAAATAATGGGTCCAGTAAACAAATATTTTAATGTCATATGCCAAATAGTAGATTGAGAAGGACCTAATGCATTTATGGAATCAGAACTTTATTTATTTTATAACATAGCTTAAGTATACACAACTGCAACTTCTTTTCTTAACTCTCTCTTCCACAGTTAAAATACAACATGTTTTTACATTGTACTATAAGACATTATTAATATTTTAAAATTATTAGGTGAGTATGCTTAAAAATATATCTCTATTTTCTTCCCTTTACAATGTATCTTTTATTATGTCGTATACCTCCACTGATCCTCTTCTCCCTACTGCCCAGGGACCAACTTCATCCTGTTCCATTGTGACCTGTTACTCAATTTATTTTAGCCACTTATCTATTATTTTAATTCCTTGAATCCACCAAGGGTTGTTTTACATCCACAAATATTCACATACTATTTCCTTTCTATGCAACATCATTGCTGCACTCTTTACTGACTAAAGGGGACTTGGCTAAAAGAACACTTTCTCAAAAAGATTTTTCTGTCCCTGCCCCAAATCTAAAGTAGCCCCTTCACTACCATTCTACTCATGTAACTCATTTCTCTTCTCTCTTAGCATTTATTAGAATTTGTTTCTAAAATCTTTTCATCCCACAGTGGTAATATTTATAGGTCATCCTCTGGTTTATTCAGTTTGAAAAACCCATCTCTTAGAAACTACATGTTCCTCTTAGAAACTACATGTTAACCACACATAACTACAATAATTATAAACTTATAAAATAATTATATTTATAGCAGACATTGAGTATGCAAGGCTGGCACTATGTCTCTTCAAAAATCAGTTTCCACTGAATTATATGGGGACTGAGGAAAAACCTTAAAGAAAGATTCCAAGAGAGCTGACTATTTGGAGTTGACAGAAATGAGGAGATGCTTAGTGGGCTTGTATTGGTGGTGGGCCCAGTAAAGGTATGGGGGTGAGTTCTTCAGGATTTCTGTATGAAAATTCCTAGGGAGAAAAGACTCTGGCATAAGAAATTAGCTAGTCACAGGACCAGGTTCTGAGAGCCTTATTCAACAAATAGCTCTGTGCAGTTTGTGGCAGTTACTTGCTTTGTTCTGCCCCAACCATTCTCACAGTATGTGTATGTTAAGGAAAAGAGGAATTGTGTGTGTTTTAAATCTCAATGGTGTGATATTTTGTGGTCCATGAGAAGGGTATGGACAGTGGTATTCTGTCAGATAATGAAGTGAGCAACAAGTGTTTGCTGGTGATCTGTGGCAAGCAGCATCCTGTGGAATGATGCAGAGGTGATTTCATGAGCAGTTTTAAGAGGAAGATCTCAGATTTCTGGAATAAAACTCCAGCAGTAAAATTATAATTAGAAATGGTGATTGGAAGCATCCCCCGGTGACTTGGGCGAAAACCAGGGCTCGGCGGTGGCAGCAGCTTTAAGATGACACAAAACAGAGGCCCAGAGATAAGCAGGAGCAGTGTAAAAGAGCAGCTTGAAATGGCATACTGGAGTGGATTGTGAGTGCAATGACACACCTCTAGGAGCCTCAGGAAACCAGAGGAGAAAAGGGACCTAGAGAGAGAGAGAGAAGATATGTCCCATAGGTCATGGCTGCAAGATATGTCCCATAGGTCATGGCTTCAATATGTCCTACAGGTCAAAGCAGCGCATACAATGTAACACTCTCATTGAACTTATTTTTAACCAGACCCAGACTGAGGAGTCCAGTGTGTAGGTGTATTACATGAACATGAATTAGAAAATAATATTTAAGGAGAAAAGAACTGGTCTGTTATATAGATATACTGAAAATGGATATTATATGTATATGTGTGTATGTATTTTTCTTATGTTTGAAATTATGAACTTCTTACAATAAACAGTTTCTATTTGAATCTGATGCAGTTTAAAAATGCAGAATAATATAAACTGATGCTTTCTGCTATCTAACAAATAAGCTTTACAGCATATGTGGGAGCTGGGGTGAAGGGTAAACTTGATACATGAGCTGTTGACTATTGATAGACAAGCCTTAGCTATGGAGACCTCACTGTGTAAATTAGCAATCATACTGTGGCCACAGAAGCAAAAAATTTATATAGAAAACATCTACTATAACAACCTCCTGCAGGGCTGTTTTATGTCCATCTAGACAGTTACTATGTAAAGTAATTCTAAATTATAAGAAAGAATCAGAAATACATCTTGATTGGATAGCATAATCAAGATAAGTCAGAATAAGCATTATGCTCACATTTCTATTAGCTAATACTGGTGTGAAATGTAAGAGCACTTCGAGCTGGCAGCTAAGGTCTTCAAATGATTGATAATTCATAGTTTCAGACACTTAGGATTGGTGAGAAGGGCAAGGATGTGTTGTTTAAGGCAGGTGAGATATAACATGCATAGGAAATTTGTAAAAGAAACATATAAATAGTTGACATACTAGGTTATAAGGCTTGTAAAATTCTTAGGATCCAAGATTTTGCTGGGAGGATCAGTGCCTTATGTTCTCTTTTATTCAGTACCATTTTTGGATGGCCAGATAACTTTCCTTACTAAATTGAGGCTGCTAAATTCTGGCTAACAATACGTTTTTGGTTGCTATTAATTTCCTAATCTGATTTCTAAGTCATAGTTTAAGAGTCTGTCAAATTGAGTGATGTTTTGAAAACAGATGGAGCAAAGACTTAATGGATCTCTAGTGTGTAATACCACAACTGCGTATGAAAACAATCAAGTAGAGATTATCTTTCTACATATCAGCAAATTTAAAAATTTCTCAATAGCCAAATGAAATATATTATATTTTAAGAAATACTCAGAATTGTACTTAATCATGATAATAATAAAATTAATGGCTTTCAAAAAATATAAATTGTTGGCTTAATTTATACTGTAATGTAATAATACTGTTTTCAAAATTTTTTGTGATTCTTTGAGTCATACCATGTTATGATTTAAAGAGAGTAAGTTATTCCTTTAGTTGATCATACATTCATCATGAAAAAAGTATGCCTACAGACATACAAATAAATACGTTTCTTATAAGTAATAAAGATCAAAATTTGACCTTCAGCCAGTAGATGGAGAAGTTTATTCACAATGCTATTAAAAGTCTCTGTTATTTGCAGAAGCATGGAGTAAAATTGCTGCTGATTCAGGTATTCGAGGATTGTTTTCATGGTTATTTTCTGGCTGCTCTGCAAAAAACAGCTCTTAGAGTTACTCTCTGGCATCACCCAAGGGATCAGTATTATTTCTTAGAGATCTCCCCTGCAATGCTTATATGCTTTGTTGATAGGCATACTTTTATTTTTTTACTGTCTATTCTATTTTTCCAGCAAGCTGGGAATGTTTCTTTTCGTCATAAATTATTGCTTAGGGTTTGTGTAGTATAACTTTTCTAGAAACCACAAAATGTTTAAAGACACTGAATGATAGAATTGGCACCTCTCAGGGAAAGATGAAAACAAAAATTCCTCATAGGCTAACTGATTTTCTAAAAAATGTAACACACGTTATGTACTTCACATATGCTTTCAGAATTTATGTGCACCCGCACACATCGAGGATGAACTCATAAATAAGAAGTCAATTGAACAAATTGCCTTTAACAAATTTCATGGCCAAACCCATGGTCATTTGTTTAGCATATTGACATTTTATTCTGTACCTTAAGCGATAATGAGAATCCTCAACATTTTGCATAATGGGGTATTGTTCCTTTATGCTGGAATTTTGCTTGCAAAAATATTCATGTTTAGAAACCAAAATTTGCATAATGAAGCAAATACATTAAAATGCAAGAAAACTACATGGGATTATAGCTAAGCTTTATATTCAGAAAGGTAGGCTAACATCTTAATAAAGTTGACAGTAACAAATATATATTAATGATCAAAACTGGAAATACAGGACATGGGAACTTAATGAAATTTATTTTCAATAAAGCAAGTGACAATATGAAAACACATGTCCTCTATTATGAACTGTTATCTGTAACTGTGTTTTGACAGTCTACTTCAACAATCCCGGTGCCTAAAAATACATACTTAATTTTTCTATTAATATATTTAAATGTCTTAACAAAATTCTATATCAGCAAAACTACAGTTTTTCTTGTGGGGGATTGTAGCTAATATGTGCTTATTGATTAATAACATAGATCCCCTTTTACTTCACACAACTTGGTTGAATCCCAAATTATCTTAATATGTCAGTCATGTTATTTAATTAAACAAATATTTATTGAGAGCCCACAGTTTGCCAGCAGTGACTCTGCACTGGGTCCCTGCCCTGACAGAACTTACATTTTAGCAGGTGAGACAGACAATAGACAAAGCATAATAAACCATACCGATCATTATAGATTTTAATAGGAGATACTGTCATAATGCAGAAGTGGGAAACAGTCTCAGGCTATTATTAAAATAAAAGAGCAGCTTCTGAATAATACATTTACCATGCTGCCATTTAACAAATAATTATGCAGAAAACTAGTAGATGTGTAAAGCCCATATGCAAATTCACAGACATGTATAGCCTTTGTACTAATAAAAAATTAATACAGAGGCAACCAGAGTGAATGTAGTGATCCTGGACATAAAGTTTACAGGTGATTTTTTTGTTTTTGCCTTTTATATTTCTTTTCTTTTGCCTTTCTATAGTTCACACTTCCAAAACTGACACGTATTTAAATATTTATGTTGAAAAAGTCAAATCCTTATTGTCATAAAGAACGCAAAAGAATTGATTGACCTGGAGTAGGTGAAAGGATACTACTGAAGGGCGGCAGAATGTGCCCTCTAAAATATGCCATTTTGGAGTAAGGATTATTTTGAGCTAGACACTTGATAAACAGCAGATGTAATAAGGGAATTCTATTCTTCCTTTTTCTTCCTGAAAACAGGAGATTAAAAACTCCTATGAGAAAGATGTTCTTCTTGTTTTAGGGATAGAAATATTCTTTGACCTGGAGTCATAGCCAAGAGCATTGTGTACAAAGAGACCTTGTTTAAAATGATTCTTATTTTCCTTTAGCCTCCCCACATAATTTAGTTCCTTGTCCAAAATTGCCTCTCTTTGTTCAACCTAATATAAAACATTTGTATTTTATTTATTCAATGGGTGTTCATGTCATTATGGGGACTTCTATGTCACATAAAACTTCTATTAATTTTGTGTGTTTTTCTTCTGTTAATTGACTATCATATGCCAATTTAAGTTTTAGGCCAAGTCAAGACCCTAAAAATGAAAAGAGATAGAGTTTTCCTGACCTATAGTATGATTACCTGTAGCCACGTGAATATAGTTAATTATTAAGATCTGAGAAGTAAAATGTTTTAGCAGAAAAGACAGTAATAAAAATGTTTTTATTTTTCTTTGTGATTTTAGATGGATACTAGTAAAACAGATAACCTTTTAAAGAATGGTTGAGACTGAGATATGAGAAGATAGAGAAGCTAAATCCAGAAATACTCATGCCATATATATGCTTGTAACCCCAGAATTTTGGGAGGCCGAGGTGAATGGATTGCTTGAGTCCAGGAGTTTGAGACCAGCCTGGACAACGTGGTCTCTAAAAAAATAATAATACACGCCTATAATCCCAGCACTTTGGGAGGCCAAGGCGGGCGGATCACGAGGTCAGGAGATCGAGACCCTTCTGGCTAACACGGTGAAACCACATCTCTACTAAAAATACAAAAAAATTAGCTGGGCGTAGTGGCGGGCGCCTGTAGTCCCAGCTACCTGGGAGGCTGAGGCAGGAGAATGGCGTGAACCCAGGAGGTGGAGCTTGCAGTGAGCAGAGATCTCGCCACTGCACTCCAGCATGGGTGACTGAGCAAGACTCCATCTCAAAAATAATAATAATGATAATAATAATAATAAATTAACTGGGTGTGGTGGCTCCCAGCTGTGGTCCCAGCTATTCAGGAGGCTGAGGTGGGAGGATCACCTAAGGCTGGGAGGTTGAGACTGCAGTGAGCCATGATCACACCAGTGTACTCCAGCCTGGGTGACAGAGAAAGATCCTGTCTCAAAAAAAAATGTTGTATTTCCATAAGACTTAAATCCACTAAAGAAATGCCATATAGAATACTAGAGTTTCATTTAACACAAAATGAAAATTGTGTACTTAATTCTTACAGGGAATTGGAATTTTACTGCATGTAATTTGCATAGTAGGTACCTATAAGCATGTATGCATTTGCAAAACAAGGGGTTAGCTCTGCAGGGACAAATAATGCTCAATGAAGGTTTGACATTATAATTTTGTACACATTATGATGAATTGCTTTTAAGATGGGAAACAACAGTACAGAGGAAAGACTACCATACTAAGATTTAGAAAAGATAAAATGATAGTCCTCACTTTTTCACTAACATTTGAGCAGATCCTTCAGCTTCATAGAACTTCACAATATTCACCTAGTAAATGAAAGACTATCATAAGATGACTTCTAGCTCCCTCTCATATAAAACTCTGTGACAATATGATTTTATCATGTAACTATATCAGACTGGGGAAAATTTCTCCATTTTTTCCTGATTTTTTGGATACAATTTTTATTTCCTAGAAATGGTGCTCAGAAACATTGAGTAACTCAATCAAGTTTTCAGAGTTACATAGTAGTAGAAATGAAACTGGAACCTGGATTTAGTAAATTATCAGCTGGTAAATTCGGTACAATTCTACTTATAGGGATAACTAAAACCAGATGCCATTATTTAATTATTTTATTTCTATTTACATCAAACTTTAAGACAGAATACTTCCAGCCACCAATTTACTTCAGAAACCTGATAATGCAAGTAATATTCAACAACAACACGCTTCTCCTAATCACTGTGAGAGTAGTGGAGCTCCTGATAATTGGAAGGGGAGCCCTTTATCTACTGGCTTGTATTCCCCTGAAGTCATGGAGAAATAACAGCCATCCCAGAGTCATAAGGAACAATGTGTATAGAGAGATAGTACTAAACTAATAGTGCAGAGTTGCAGGTCAGAGTTGTTCTGGTTATTGCCATAATATAGGACTCTTGAGAAAATTAACAAACAAATTTATTTATAACAGATAAAATCCAGGTCCTCCAGAAAGGGCAAATTATAAACTACTATAGGGATAAATTCCCAACCTTAGACCTATGGAAGCCCCAAGGGAAAAAAAGAAGATAAGATAACAAAAATGATGCTCCACTTGAAGATATGAACTACTGTGAGGAAAACGTTCTATCTAAGTAAGTATTGACTATAAAAATAAGATGACTCATGGTAACCAGAAACAAAAAAGGAACTAAAACACAAGATAAGACTTCATGAATGGGGGGCAGGCAGTAAATTACGATAGTCAATGTGGCTGTAAATTTTAAATTTGGGGAAGGCAGATAACAATATTTATTACTTTAGATGTTTTAGATACATATTCTAAAAATACAAGAGTAAGCATTGCAATAAAAATAGAAATTCAACTTCAAAGTTAGTATGGTGCAAAAAAGGTAAAACAAAAAACAAAACAAAACAAAAATCCTCAAACCTACCAAACACACAGATGGCAAAAAAGAAACAAGGAAGGAAATCTACTAGGGAAAATAATGAAGATGAATCAAAGACAAAGAAATCAAATAAAAAGTTTAAAATATAATTTAAAAATTCAAATGTTTAAACATAATAAAAGTTAAAATAGAATTTTATTTAAAAGTAATAGACAAATCAAAAGATAGATTTCCTATATAAACATAAAACCCATATAGCTTATAAGAGATAAACTTAAGTTGAAATTACTTAGGAAAAATAAAAGAAAAAGAAAGAAAAGCAAATATACCAGCCACATAGTAACAACAGTCACTAACCAACCACCTAAGTAGATTTGGACACCCTCATAAAGCACCCTAAATACAGGGACTTGATTGATTTTCTTGCTATTTCTCCAGTATCCAACATGCAATAGGCAGCCAGTAAATGCTTGTTAAATGAATTGACATTATCTATCTATCTGTCTATCTATCTATCTATCCATACATACATACATTAAATATGAGAATATCTGAATTGGATATGTTCATAACCAATTTATAAAAACAGTTGTCTCTAAAAATGTAGAATAGGGCAACAGGAGAAAAAGAAAACTCTCCATAGTATTCAATGTATTTTCTGTTAATGTATACAAAAATCCACTCCCCCTGGTTAACCATTTCTTGTCTATTCAAATAATTATTTTTGAGAGTAATAAAGAATATGAACTCATTGTAACCTTTATTTTGTTCTCTAATGCCTTAGAATTTCTAGAATTCTAGAAATTCTAAGACAGGCAGAATTACTTTTTCAAAAGTATTACTCATTGGTATGAGTAATGCAAGAAATGTTTGGAAAATCACGTTCCTGAAAATAGTTCATCAGACAAGTTATCTTCAAGGGAGTTTTAATTCTGGTATAGTTTAGCATCAACTGTGTAATTCAGATTCCAATTGAACATAAAAGGAGTTAAAATTTATGTTCAATGGGCCAGTGACCACAGATGCAGCACAGAGCTATGCTAGAAAAGCTGATGAAACATTTGACGTTTTATAATTAGACTGTGGCTGTAACATGCTGATTGCAATCAAGTGCAATATGGTGGAGGAAGCAGTGACTTTTATGTTTATTAAATTCTTCATATACTATGATATGCATGTAGACCTTTGCAAGATCAGAAAGTCTGAATGTTTAAGGACTGCACAAAACTTCAAATTATAACAGCATGACGTGTACTCAAAGATGTTATGTGCTTCAGTTGTTTCTAGTCATGTAAGTGGCTTTGCATTTGGTATCTATATATTTTTTAAAATAAACCATGCTTTTTATAAGCCATGTAGATAAATTATTTCATATTACAATATTTATTTCTATAATTTAGAATATAAACAAAATAACGGTGTACCAGAGACCATAAGAAAATCCATCTTTCTAGTTTTTTCTGAAGAATAAATCTAGGAAGTGTGCCACTAGAACTAAAAACAAATTTTTGTGTGTGTACACTGATTCTTTCAGCAAATCTATGACATGTTATTTTTCTCAGTTTTGCTTTGTTTATCCTATCTTTATTTCAGGAATGAGTGTGGGGGGTGTGTGTGTGTGTGTGTGTGTGTGTGTGTTTGTGTGTGTTCTTGTCATTAGTCCTATCAGTCATAGCTTATTATCAGCTATCAGATAGAAGTGTTAAATAGCAAGTTAGTACTTCTTTGCTGGGAACTCCCAATGTCTCTAGTCACACATTTTGGCTTCACTTGGCTTTGTCATCTTTTTCATTTTTAATTTTTTTCTTCAATTTCAACTGACACCTGATTAGCTCTAGAACTTCAATTCTGCCATCCTCTTTTGTTGTCCTTTTATACTGGCAGAATTTTTTTTTAGCTAAGCAATTTTCTTTTAATTGACGAGTTTAAAATATTAAAATAAGGAGTATTCTTAGTTACTTAGTTCAACAGCAAGTTGCTTATTTTTACCTTGAGTTGACTTAAACTAATTACTCATTATATGCTTAAAATAATCAATGTTGTTAAAATAAAATATGAATCAAACTAAACTTTTGTCTGAATTTGTACTCGTACCATCTGACAAATGACGGATTGGGCACAGAATGTATATCACATTGTATTGTAAATGTTATTTCTGTATTTTGCCTGCCTTCCTCAACAGATTGAGAGATTCTTGAAAGAAACAGGTTGTGTTTAATTTATTTCTGTTTCCCAGCAACTAATAGAGTGCTTGCTTCGAATTGATGGAAAAATCTAAGAACAGGATGTGTGTTTTTGCTGACACTTAAACACTTACTATCCAGCACACTGAAAAAGCTTTTCTGCTCTCTCTCTAGGATTTCCATCCATACCTTGTCTCAGCTGTAAGGCATCAAAGTAACACTACATAAAATTATTTTTCTTTGGTTCCCTAAAGCTAATTTAATTTACATAAAGGGCAAAGATTAATCAAATTAAAATTATGAATAGGTTTGTAATAAATGGTACATAATTGACACAGAAGCCAGAAGGACTTGCTACACCTTTATCCTTTCATACCATTAACAGGAGGTTGCTAGGTTTCTTTTATATTTTTGGTAATGACATAGAATATTCATACATTACTTTTTACTATTAGCCCTTTCCTCCTTTTAATCCTGAGTGCCAATGATACTTGATAGAAAACAAACAAATTTCCCTTGCCAAGTAAACTCCTGTCAGTTCAGGCTTTAACCTCTTATGGTCTTTGCTCTCGATTCAATTTCTTCTTCTTATGTATTAAATATTCAATCTAGTGAATACATACAAAATTTGAAGGCAGGCTTTTCTTGATGCAGATTTAGAGTTAGTGAGACTAACATAACAGTTGAGAACATTTCTGGAGACAGCGTTCCTGTCCTTAAATCCTATACTGTATATTTACTAGTTGTGACCTTGAGAAAATTTCATCTCTTCAGTTCAATGTTCTTGTGTGGAAAATGGAGAAAATAGTGATACCTATGTCAGAAGGTATATGAGGATTAAATGCGCTGATATTTATTAAGCCCTTAGAACAATGACTGGCACAAAGTAAATGCTATATAGATGTTTGTTAAATAAAAACAAGACTTTTGTAGACTATTAGAATTTCTGATATTATCTGTGAGAGGAATTTAATAGTATACTAAATTTCTGGATGTCTTACAAAATACCATATATCTGTTCTCCTGAGTACTATATTTTATAAATTCATTTTCTTGCTGAATGTAGCCTAAAGGTAAAACATGACCTTGTGCATGACACCTTTTTCTGCAACATGTAGCTGCAAAAAGGCTAGGTAATTTTAAGTATGGAAATATTTGGGCATAAAGAAATGTAACGAATTTTCTGATATCAGTTGTGATACAACAAATTGGTATGAGGTTTGTTGGGATTATGAGAGCAGAAATTTGTGCTAAACACCCTCAGAGTACATACAATAGAACTAATGGTCTGTTTTCAGAGTTCACAATTTGGAAAGTGCATGTAATAAAAAAAAAAAGACTATTTAAACAATGTTAATAAGTACTTGTTGAACACCTAATATATATGGAGTACAATATACACATTTTAAGAAAACTTGATAGGAAAGTTTTTTTGGTATTAACACAGTAAAGAAATGCAATATTTCTGAGTAATCAGAATGACAACAAAGTGGCTTTAAAAATTAGGTCTTGGAAATGTTTTTAAAAAAATAAGTGAAAATATATTTGTGTAAAGAACAGGGTAGTTGCTTCCCGTGAGGGGGACATGATCTATTTCTAAAAGGGCAGAATTCAATCCTTTGAAGAAATATACTTACTAAAATTTTCAAATTTGCCTGGAAGGCACAAGTATGTTGGAAGAAAGTACTACAGACGGCCCAACTCTCAGCAAAAACATTCATCAATTTCACACCTGAACAACTATATTCTAGAATATAAAGGATTTCATCCTGGAATTGGGATTATATTAATTACATCTATCAGGAACTAAGGTTACATTAATACCCCAGTTTAGGGCTCAGTATTTAACACTCTTGGCTGTGAGATATAATTCTCTCCCTAACTGACTTAAGCCTTGGGTTTTTCAACAGTTCTGTTAAAATTCTAGAATTGTGTAAACATCTAGGTGTTTGTCAAATTATTCTAAAATATTTAAAAACCTATGCATTTGTCTGAAATTTTATTTTTGATCAATCAATTTTTAAAAAGTATATTCAATGTACTTTTCCTCTTTAAAGGAAGCACTTTAACATTTTTAAGGGCATAAACAGTGAGCAATCACCAAACTAAGAATAAAACTCAAATTACCATGACCTATAAGATCCTATAGGTCCAGTATGATTTTCCAAACTTATATACTTTTCTCCACTTGCTCAATAAGGTCTAGCACAGTGGCCTTATAAAATTCCTGGAACACATCAAGCTAGTTCCCACTAAGTAACAGTTAATTTTTCTGTTCCTTTTGTCTGCCACCTTTCCCTTCCAAATCATTGCTGATCGATTGATCTATCTCTTCGGTTATATACAAGATAGATTTACTTTTAAAAGTATATGTTAGAGGAAATATTGGTTCTGAGAATTTCATACAATCACTTTAGTAGAGGAAGAAATAATTTATAAACTTTTCTTATTACAAAAAAATGAGAGACAACTTAGAAATTAAGTATAAAATAACACAGGGTAGCCAGGAATAAAGATAACAATTATTTAGCCTGTAATCCCAGCACTTTGGGAGGCCGAGGCGGGCAGATCATGAGGTCAGGAGATCGAAACCATCCTGGCTAACAGGGTGAAACCCCATCTCTACTAAAAATACAAAAAATTAGCCGGGCGTGGTGGCAGGCACCTGTAGTCGCAGCTACTCGGGAGGCTGAGGCAGGAGAATGGCGTGAACCCGGGAGGTGGAGCTGGCAGTGAGCCGAGATCGCGCCACTGCACTCTAGCCTGAGCGACAGAGCGAGATTGCGTCTCAAAAAAAAAAAAAAAAAAAAAAAAAAAAAAAAAATATATATATATATATATATATATATATATATATATAGGCAGTCCAAGTAAATTAATATAATTAGACATCAAATTTGACTCTGAGATAGTTGGCAAAAAAAAAGGAAAATGAAGGAAAGCAATAGACTAATGAACCTCGATAAAACGAAATGCAAAGGACAAAAATGCAAAAAGGAGTAATATAATAACATGTAACACCTAAAATATCAAGTATGATAAAATCATTGAGAGACAGGATTTGAATATTCCTGTGGGTCTGCGTAATTCATAATAATCTGTATAGTCTATCATTTAGCTTCATTTTACAAATAAAATATAAAGAGAACTGAGCTGAACAAGTTATAAGTTTTTTCAACCAATCATAATTCCGTTCATTTGGGAGGTTTTAGAATGGTTTGTGCTGCTAAAGCTGATATTTTCAAATGCTTTTAGAACCTATTTCATCAATATTATATTGCAAAATATGTAATCAACTTTATCAGGACTCCGCAGCAGCTCATCTGCTCATGGCAACACCACCAAATCACTGTAGGTTGGTGTTTTCTCAGTTGCCAAAGCTTTCGGCAATCACTACTCTGTACCAAATGCAGCTGGCTTACTATTTGGTAGCCTAAAGAAAGACAATTCAAGCCTTTGTAAAATCACTGGATTTCCTATTCTATGGCATAGTGATTTCAAAGACCAGATTCTTTCATAACTTGCACCTGCCTCTCTGTTCTTGCAGTTGCTCAAAGTTGTAATCAATTTGAATGAGTAGATTCTCATCCAACTAGGGAGAAAATTCAGGGAAAGAGCTCAAATATCACAGAACACATTGAATCCATTGTGGTTTCTTACCTACCCTTCATCTGTCTGCCTGTAGTTTTTTGGCTTTTTTTCTTGTTTTGTTTTCTAAAGTCTGTTGGCAAATCTTTTACTAACATGTTCACTATGTCCCTTTCATTCTGTGGCTTCTCTCCATTCAGGTCATGGATTTTACTCTTCTGATTTCTTCTCTAAATAGACGTCATTTGTTTGGCTCAGGCAAAATGTCTGCAAATAAACTTTCAGTCAATTTATCTGTTAACTGAAGAAGAAACTATTACCATATTCCAATCTTGTACACCTTTGTGAGATTAAATTTATATACAATGTTTTTGATAATATTCTTAAATAGCATTTCCCCTGCATTTATGTAGAGTGTAAAGTGTATATATAGCTTCAAAATATAATTGAAAATACCAAAACTACTTTCCTTCTCTCAGAGTCAGTATCCTCCTTTTACAAAGTTAAAAAGAAGAAAATACAAAAGCAATCATAGGTGTATTAAATTTATATAAGTATTAATTGTTCCTAATGTATCAATAACAAAAAACAGTCAATAATGACATATAAGAATTATTACTCCCAAATTCATTTATTCTAGTCTCTAAGACTAAATGCTCTCTATGAATGAGAAATCTAAATGGATCATATAAAGACTTCTGTTAACACATTCATAATAAAATTTTGTGTCCATTAAAAAGGGGTATATGGGAGTTAGTTAATATAGAAAGAAAATAAAGGTAATTCCATGGCTAATAGGAAAGGTAAGAATAAGCAGGCTTTGTTTTTCGGGGACTAATTATTTACTTTTAATTGCTATGGGGTCTTTGTTTTACATAATAAAAATCGTAGCTTGACTCTTTCTTTGCATGGTTGGTATTTTTTAGTAAATATTTTATTGAGTGAAAATGACTAAAACTAGCATGAAAATGATCTTACTCATTCTATAGTCAGTTACCTTGTACAATCTATGTATATGGAGCTGTGCATAATTATATGCAAGTATTCTATATGATCATAATTTTTCTCAATTATAAAATAATTTAATATATAAAATAAACTAAATTAACATTTTCAAAATTTAAATAGGCATATCACCACAAAATCTGATGCCATCAAGCTGCAACGTGGGGAAACAAACACATTTTAAACATTTTCTGATCTTTAGATCGCTTTCAAGGTCATGGAGAAAAATAAATATTAAATTATGAATCTGTGGGATTAAAGGGGATCATTGAGACTAAATAGGCCAGACTATACATTCTTTTACATATGAGGAGACTAATGCCCAGGTATGTTTTTAAAAAATTGAACAGAGTTTTATAATCAATAAATAAGTTACACATAAAAAATAAAAGATGAAAAAAGATAAATCACTTAAGGTTTTTCTTTTTTTTGATAGAAGGCATTTTTCAATGTGATCTAGATTTAATCCAATTTTACAAAGTCCCATATCCAGTCTGAAATATCAAATAGTTTCAGATTTTCAAGGTAAAGGTAATATAGAGTCTACTGACTTCAATAATGTGAGGCTTGTTTGAATTATAAAAGTATGAAGCTAAACTATGAAATTTATCTCTCATTCACAGTGTTCAATGAAATATCATTTTATTGAAACTTTTGTATGAGTCTGGCTATAGAACGCACAGCTAAGCATTAGAAACTGAAATTATTTCCTAACTAAAAACAAGAAGTGGACTTTGATAGGTCCTCAAAGCATTTGAGGTTACTTCATTATTTTTAAAATAGAAATTGGTATCTCTGTCTTTTAAAAATTTTTAAAGAGAAACAGAATTAATGACTTTTAACTTATGCAATTAAAACTAGTGTTTCAACTTCCAAATGCATGTACTCAGTGTGAGAGGAATGTGATATTTAGGGTGCTTGATCAAGAAGTTTGCATATCATTAACAAATATCATTAAATTTTTCTCATATATTGATTATTATTGTATTTTTACTATTTTGTAATGTATCTCCCCTCAAAATGAAACTGTGATTTAAATTTTCTCAGTGATTTGAAAAATCTTATGTATGTAACCTCACTGCCAGAGAATACCTTGATATTTGCAAAATCTATGTCGGAAAGCATTAACGTATGTTAAATGGTAAAATTATTGCAATAGCCAATTGAAGCCCTGAAGGACGCTAACTATGAACTGGTAGAAGTTTGCTTCTCAATTCTCAATTGAGAATTCTACTAATTCTCAATTAGTAGAGGAGAATTTGTTATTGCTTTTATTTAAGCTTAAGAGCAAAGGTTATGTGGCAACTCTCTCTCTTTCTCTCTCTCTCTCTCTCTCTTTTTCCTAAGTACAGAGTTCCTTTTATGGGTCCTGGATGTGTCATCAGTGTCTTGAAGATGAATCCAGTACAGCATCCAGGGCTGGGGATTCCATGGATTTTAAAGAACTTCAGTGTTCTGCAGAATTAATTTATTTAATTTTCAAGAATACATAATTTTCTGGAAAATTTCACTAATCTGAAAATTGAGTTGTTTAAAAATAAAAACTAATATATCAAAATTATAAGTATAGCTTATAATATTTAAGTTATAATTATTGTTATAAAAGCTCCCCAATATCCACGTTTTTCTCTTTAGAAAAGCTGGCACTTAGATGACTGCTAAGAAGCAATGGATGGTAAATTTGAAAGAGTCAAATGAGGTCTCATCATAAATGATCTCACTGTTTAGTAAAAAAGTAGGCATGCACCTAGACTACATTGTCCAGCCCTCTTTGTAGTTAGGTGCGGCTGGGGCACTGGATTCTGAACATGGAATGTGAGTGAATGTGATCTACCAACATGCCATTTGTGACATTTTTCTTCATTTACACGCCAAAGACCAAGACTCAGAGGAGGGACAAGCCACATGATGGAAGAAATCTTTGTTTATTTAATGCTTTGGGTAGGACCATCTCTGCTCTGCTATTGTATCAGCAGGAAATAAACTTTACTGTGTTACATGACTCAAATATGGTAGCTATTTGTTACAACCGTTAGTCTCTCTTGACTAATACAGTTGATGAATATCTGACTAATCACTCTGACTCCATACTCCAGATTTCAACTTTTCTTAATTATGTCATATATTTCATCTGCAGCATGTCCAAAATTTAATTTATCATTGTCTCCAGTCTCCCTTCCAATCATGTTTCTCATGTTATAAAATACCCTCTTCTACCCAGTTGTTTAATATAAAGGTTGAAACCATTCTACATTCCTATTTTTCTTATATCTTTATCCAGTAGGTCATTAAGATGAATAAACCATGTTTTCCTAATCCAGTTCATTTTCTCATGTCCACTGTTACTACCTTTTTTTTTTTTAGAGGAGTCTCGCTCTGTTGCCCAGGCTGGAGTGCAGTGGAGTGATCTCGGCTCACTGCAAACTCCGCCTCCCAGGTTCATGCCATTCTCCTGCCTCAGCCTCCCGAGTAGCTGGGACTACAGGCGCCCGCCACCATGCCCAGCTAATTTTTTGTATTGTTTTAGTAGAGATGGGGTTTCACCGAGTTAGCCAGGATGGTCTCGACCTCCTGACCTCGTGATCTGCCCGCCTCGGCCTCCCAAAGTGCTGGGATTACAGGTGTGAGCCATTGCGCCCGGCCACTGTTACTATCTTAATCCATACCCTCATAATTGCTTAAACAAGCTTACCATAGAAAGTTTCCTAATGTGATCTCATTCTTCAGTCAACTAATTTTCTGAGGACTTGTCAGAATTTTTTTCATACAAACAAAACACTCAATATGTGACTACCTTCTTTAACATTGCTCATTTTCTTCTACATTTTCTTCAAGAAAAATCTGCATCTGCTAGTAGAGAATCAGATAATTTATCATGTGATCTTTGAGACTTTGTCCAAATACATTGCTCTCTACTTCTCAGCAGTCACCTGTGTATGGCCATTTTATAGCTTTTATTATATGCCATGCCTTTCCATGCTTCTGCAGCTTTGAACATAGTAAGTGCATGTACTAGAATCCTGGTTCTCTATCCATGATACTGACTAAAGAAGCCCTGGTTATCCAAACCTCAGTTCAGTTGGTCACCCGTGCTGTACACTTTCCACTGCTTATCTCAACCCCATACAAATCAGGCTGCAGCACAGGAGATGCTTTTGCATTCATTGATATCCACCATAGTTTCAACACAAACCCAAGAGTGTTTCATAGTATTTGTTTACCTGTCTTTTTGTTTTTCACTACACAATAGAATATTTGAGAGCCAGCTATGCTTTAAACCAATTTTCCTCACTCAGTTTAGATGCTCAATAAATATGTTGAAATGAATCAACAATGAATAATCTATTTATTACTTCCAAATCCCAATAATCTAATTTCTACATAGATGGAACAACTTGAAATGTGCAACTATGTAGATTGGTTTATACTAATGTACGCAGAACCAGTTCTATGGATTCTCTATTCATAGTTCCTGGATCATGACCTCATTATCTTACCCAACTAGCAAGTTAGCCACATACTTAAGGGAGAAAAACTGGAGTTCAGGCTAATTTATATTTGTATGTGTTGCTGTGCTTAACTAACGATCTAATGGACAGCCCAGAATTGCTGAAGATTTGAGAATAAGCACATTGATGTTCTTTCTGCTATTTGTTTGCTTGGTTCATTAGTCACTTGAAAGTGCATTTCTCAGTTAAGTCATTCATTTGTAATTTTCAGTGGAAAATCCTGTAAGTAGTTTCTATCATGCACACACAAAATTAGATGAATTAAAGCAAACACTAAGTAGACACTGACATATAAATATTTATAAATGAAGGCAGAAAATGTCCCAGTTTCTATATTTTAGAGGTGACAACATGACTTTTGAAATTTGATTAGGGGAAAAAAGATACTTAAAGGATCAGATGGCAATATTATGAGAGATAGATTCATAAGAGTAAGATTTTTTTCTTCAAATCTCAAAGAGGAACATTTTTAGATAGATGTTTAGCTGTTTTAAACACTGCATTCATAAAAACACTGAAAGGTTCCAATATGATTCATCTAAAGAATATGGCTTATATCTAGTAAAAACACAAATAGAGTTTTTTGGCTTTGTTTATAAGACAAATTCAACATGAAGTAATAACATATATTTAAGTAATGGACATGGGAGAATAGAAAAACACACATGCAGGCACAGGTACATGCACACGTGCACACTCATACATACCACAATATTTAAGGTCCCTGAAATTAATAAAGTAACCCTATTGAGGAAAATGACAAAGAGCCAAAATTGACAATGTTGAGGCTTAAAGTATTTCCAATCTCAGAGTTGAACTGCTGTTGGAAAAGATGATTTTTTGGTGATAGAAACAAAATGTCATCTAAATCACATTGGAAATACAAAATTCATGTGTTCAAAAAATAAAAATATATGACAAAGATATTATTAAATTGGGTGTTTTCAAATACTACACCACTGATATAAAGAAAATTTAATCACAGTCAAGGAAATGAGATATCAACATTTGGCACTGCACAGACTGTTAGAGATAAAGCAAATCCTGGATAGCTCAAAATTTCAAACTTAATGAAGAAACTGTTTGTGTTTTTGTATAACCAGATGGGCTGAGTTAATCTTGTATGCATTAGGATCAAAATAAAATATCTCTTCCAAGATTTTTGAGTTATTCTCTTAAAATCATCTTTTGTTTTCTTTTTTCTATCCATTTCAAACAAAAAATTTTAAGTGCTCAATAAATACTCTGAAGAATAATATATACTATTTTATAAGAGCTTTGCTCTACAAAACAGGAGAGCTGTCTCATTGATTCTCTGCCATGAGAAGAACAGTACTTATCCATCAGTCATAATATCTGATGTCAATTTTACATGGTTGACCAGTGTTAAAGTAAACATAAATCTATGCATCTAGTGTGTGCAATGAACAGTGTAGTAAGTCAGTGCCCTGGAGAAGCATCAAAAACTCAAACAATCTCTACTCCCAAGGAATTTATCATCTACTCTGTAAGAAAACACACCCAAAGAATCTACAGCTAAATATAAATTACATGCTACCTAGATGAAATCTGAGATTCTGTGGTAAAAATGAAGCAGATTTTGCATTCTGAGAGTCAGGAAAACACTGACAAAAGAGCACAGGAAAGAAGCAGACAGCATGAATTCCAACATGAATAAAAGCATACACACACAAACACATATGTGTGTGTGTGTATATATATGCACACATATATAAAATATATATGTATATATATACATGTATACATATGTAATATATATAAAATATATATGCGTGTGTGTGTGTGTATATATATATATATATATATATTTTAAAGGCATGGTGAAACATGGAAGATGAAAGTGTTTTAAACAAAATGAACCATAAGTAAATACTGTTTTTTCATTTTAAATATGATCCTCATATTTTCTTTCAGTCAGTTGAATTAATCTTTTACTAGTTATAATTATTTACAAAAAGGAAGAGATTTCGTATTTGTTTTAAATGATGCCCCAGTACTTACTTATAATTATTTACACAAAGGAAGAGATTTCTTGTTTGTTTTAAATGATGCCCCAGTACTTACATATATTTTCTTTAAAATTAAATCTTCTTTGACAAAAGCCCAAAGGTTGTAAAAATATGTTTGTTTTTCTAGTGTAATAGAACACTTTTAGGATTGGCTAAATATAACAAATAAAAAAGTTTACTCATCTTCAAGATCTCCAGATAAAATAAGCAATGTTGTTTCAACTTAAAATATTACATGAGGTATACTCATGAAAGGAGTAGATAGAGGGTGCATAGAAATACAGGGATAGTGGCCAAAAACTCACATAGGCTACAAGGATGCCCAATGTGTAATGAAATATCTCTTTATGGAGTTCAATTCCCTCCATTTTTAAAAATTTAATTATATTATATTTCTATTTGAGAATGATTTGTTTTAGACAAAAAGAACCAAATGCATTCATTTCATATTTTCAATTTCTGTTCTATAAAACTGCGGTAATTTTCATGTTAAAAATCATGTGATTAAATTTATTTTAAAACCTAACAGTTTCTAACAACAAATGGCACAATTTACACCTATATTGTCAGTTCATGGGCTGAAAAAACAGATTGTTAATATTATATGTTAACTTTACAAATATTTTCTGTTAAGTTTGTTTTAATTACTTTGAAACCTCACAGTAGAAAGAAAATATTTTACAATTAGAAACAAATATATCATAAATCTTGCTTCTATATATAATTTTTTTGTATACTTAGCACTTACAATTTTTTTCAGTGATCAATTTTATAGATGAGACCAGTATGAACAAAAATATAGGCACTTTTAATTATCTTTTTACAGATTACCTGGAAAATTAAGAAATGATTCTTGGCCTGAATCCTGGAATAAAGTAATTATATTAAACTTAAATTATAAAGGATTCCGTATTTATAAGCCATATTTGAATGCTATGTTACATCAATATTACAAAAGCCTGGAAACCACAACCTTGGACAAAGGCCATCACAATCTTATGCTAAAAAAAAAAAAAAAAAAAAATTCTGTAATGAGATCTACCCAACAACTGCCTGTCCAACCTGACTGGCACCCACCTTGCTATTGATCCTTGTAACCAAGAATAATTACCTCAAAACAATGATGTAATTCTCATTGTTTTCCTTTAAAATCCTCTGTGTTCCCTTACTTTCCTGAACACACACATAGTTTACTTTGCCGTGTGTATTCCCATTGCAGTGCCTATCCTTGAATAAATATAATTTTCTCTTAGAATGTCTTCCTCTTTGTTATTTAGGTTGGGATCATGGTGCCAGAGGCAGGACCAAAATGAGATCCCCTCAGACAAATTGGCAACCCCTGGAATGGAGTGTGGTATCAACTGAGCCCACTGTGTATCTCCTCTTGGATTCTAGGACTCTTACTTTGGCAAGTTCTTTTTTTACTTTATTTGAGACTAAAGACAAATGTTCTTGTGGTTTGAGTATTTTGGATCCTACAGAATCTACATTCTCTCTGTGAGGCATGTCTCTTCTGTCAAATTTACTTTTGGGTCTCCACACATGTTTAATATTTTGTTCGATCTGTATGCCTGGGTTAACATTTTTGTGAGCACTCTGATTTTATTTTGGTTTGGATGCGTGCATCTGTAAATGATTTGGCTGTTTTTTATCTTGCTTGTTTCTGATCATGTTCTGAAAGGAATAAACGCCCAACATTTTAAATGGTGGGCATGATCTTGAGAGATAAATTAAAAAATGAAATAGGATTCTCAAACTTTAAGGCATGCCAAGCTGTTTGGGACTCTAGCCACCAATGTGGAGTTTCCTCATGCATGTTTTAAAATCAATGCCATCATGGGGTTCGTTTGCACTCCCCAAGTTGTTTTTCTCTTAGAACTGAATTAGAAAGTGCAACCAACTATACAGTTAACATGTAGAGCTGTCTAAGTTTTCTGCCTGTATATTTTTTTCTACTTACTCTGAATCTGTTGACGTTTTTATTTGTATTAAGATAATGTAATGCTGCTAATTTCAAAAGCCACTTAGAAGTTTTTCTTAGGGCATTTCAAACCAAAATAAGAGATAAGAGTCTTAAAGGGCTTTCAAATTAATGACTTTACAAATTACAACAGCTCCTTAGCAACCAACAATCTAGACACCTTTGGAAATGTGAACTTAAATTAAGCTAGACTAACAATTGCTTAGCATGATGAAACAATTAATCAAAGGATTAATTCTAAAAGGAAATAACTAGATAAAAGTTTATAAAGGTTAGGCCTTCAAATCAAACAGGCCAAAATCTTGAGCTCAGAGCCATAACATAAGGTATTACTGTTGGGCATAAAGATTACTTTCCCTGCCACATAGGAGAGGGGGAAAAAAGCCTGCAAATATTTTTCTTAAAAGCATCCTGCCCTGCATTGACACTAGTCAAACAACCAGACTGGCAAACAACAAACAAAAAGATTGGTTATTAAAAATCCAAGGCCGCTTGGATGTTTTGTTTTTCTTATAACAAAAGAAAAATAGCCAGTCCTAACTAAAGTGTAAATATTTAGAAATTTAACACTGAAACTCATTAAAAACTCAAAACAGAGGAAAAAAGATAAAATAATTGTTTTAAACCAAATTACTTTACTCAAAATTATGGTCCACAACCTTCATTACATTACCTATCAGGGCAAAATTTTAGCCACGTAAACAGTTCCTGTATTATCAGAAATATAATTCAGCTCTAATTGTCTGTTATAAACTGAAGAGTTTATATTATTATGTTTTACTGTCTCATGATTAAAATTCTAAAAGGAAATCTATAGGATCTTTATTTAAATTTTTATATATATGTTTATGCCTCTTGTATGTTTTATCTACATGGTAAAATCTGGCATAGTCAGCTCAAAACTCCTTAAGGGATCCTATACAGGTTGGTTTAGATAAATGAGTGCTCATATTAAAAAATATAGCAATTAGCCTAAATGCCTTTTAATTTCCATGACTGAAGCATCTTTGATCAGTAAGCTGTTTTAAAATTTGTCAAAATAAAAATTGAAATATCTTCAGAATTGTCACTGTACATTTTTGCCTGAGTTTACTGTTTAGACACTTTTTTTTTCTTTTTTTGAGACGGAATCTTGTTCTGTCGTCCAGGCTGATATGCAATGGCACCATCTCGGTGCACTGCAACCTTCACCCCCAAGTTCAAGCGATTCTCCTGCCTCAGTCTCCAGAGTAGCTGGGATTACAGGCGCCCACCACCATGACCAGCTAGTTTTTGTATTTTTTAAGTAGAGACGGGGTTTTACCATGTTGGTCAGGCTGGCCTCAAACCCCTGACCTCAGGCTATCCACTCACCTTGGCCTCCCGAAGTGCTGGGATTTCAGGCTTGAGCCACCACGCCCGGACCTTAGACACTTTTATGTATGTCCCTGATAAATGTTTTAAAATCATGAAACTATAAACCAAGCCTAAAAACAGGATGATTTTTGTTTGTATAACACTTCGATAAATAAGACCAATTTCATAGTATTGGTTTAATAAAAACAACTATATCTTATGAGTTATTGGCAAAATACCCATATACTTCAGATTCTTACTTAGGTGATCACCTGATAATCATAAGCTAGAAAAAGAGTTATCAGAGAAATAACTTGAAATGATGACTAGCTTAGCCTAATATCTTAGTTTTCATAAGTAATCCAAGTATGATTGTTAAAGCTAAATTAGGTACATGTAAAATAACCTCTGAGTCCCAAGTGGTCTGTGCTGGTGTTGGCAGTGGCTGTGATGGGCCGAATGCACCAGTCCCCAGCCTGCGGCTGTTGCATGTGGGCCTGTGCCTGCTATGGTGGTAGTGGCAGGCTGGATGGGCCCAACCTTGGGCCCCAGTAGCAATACTCAGGTGTCAACAATGGTGGACTGAGCTGGGTAGTTCCCAGGCTCTCAGATGGAGTGGCCGCGTACTGAGGGGTAGAGCCAGGCTAGGAAAGCCTGACTTCAGGCCCCTACATGCTGTGAACAGGCACTGGCTGTAGTAGGCAGGCTCAAGGTAATCTCCAGGCCCACATCAGAATGCTTGAGTAGGGGTGGCAGTGGCTGCACTGCGGCCCTGCTATTGGGGAGAATGGGGTTACTTTCAGAAGCAGCAGTCATATGCAGGTGACTGGGGAGTATTACTTCAGTCACATTTCAGCCCTGGCTGGGGCAGGTAAGCTTGTCCTTGAGGCATGTGAAAATGTTTGGCGGCTTCCTTGAGGCACGTGAAAATGTGTGGTGGCTTCCTGCTGAGGACAGCGGGGTCATTGCCAACGGCTCACATTTTAGCCCTGGAGGTAGCAGCCAGCCAGCTATGGTGGTGGCTGTGGGTAGGGAATGTCAATGAGGTTTCAGAAATATGGAGATGCAGGGACTGTTGGGACCCCAGTTAGGGTACCTTCTGGTGGGGGCTGGGCTTTCAATATGGCTGTACCTGCTTTGGGCTGAGATTGTGTGAAACCCAGTGTGAGCTCCCTCTCTTGAGCAATGCCTTTGTGTGGTCTCCAAGCAGCCTCCTATGTTAGTCTCAGGGACTCCGAGGGTCTAGGGGCTTTTCTATGGCTATGATGTGAGTCTCTGGTGGGAATGTGAACCACTGGGGTCACTCACTTACCCTTTGCCCACACTGGGGAGCCGCTCCAGGCTGCCAGCTGATCCTTGCTGAGCAAGCTGCACTGTGTTCCTCGTGTCCCTTACACTTCAGGTGTTTCCTGTCACTTCTCTATTGAACGCCGGTGTTCTGTATTAGTTGATCTACTCAGAGTGTGATTACCTGTTTGCTATTTTGGTTCTACTTTGTGGAGGAGGCAAGTACCGGATGCCTGTAGTCAGCCATCTTGAATCGCTAATTGAAGTTTGAAAGTCTAAAGTTATGTTATTTTAAATTAAGTGATAGATACTCATTAAATGTCTAAGTCACTTCCAAATAAGAAAAAAATGCTAAAACAAAAATTTCTAAATGTAAGCATACATTTGTTATTGACTTCTTAAGTTTTATAGAAAAACTATATATATTTGAGTCTATTAATTCACATAATTATGTTACAGGGAAGCATGTTTCTAAAAAATTATAAAATGGTTCTTATCTAGATAATACTGATAAGTGACACAGTGCAAAATTTATTGCTTCCTAGGTTTTCACTAGAAAAGAAGTTTTTAAGTGTTAAAAATTCTAATGTGTATATATAATACTGTATAGAAAGTGACCCAAAAAGATGTTTTTGATAAGAGAAAGTATAAGAAGGAAATAAAAATATGTTCTTTACTGAACTAAAGAATAATTTTGTCTAAATTCAGAGGTTATTAAAAGTTTGTATCAAAATATGGACTTAGAAGGAAGTAAGTAGAAACATGATGGAGAGGAACCAGTTAGTAGAACAAAGACATATGAAGAAAGTTATACATATGAAAATGCATTTTTGGTAAGGTAGATTAAAAACAAAAAAATAATAATTTTTTTATGAGAAAGAATCTTATGTGGTAAATTTTTGTCCTAAAGTCAAATGACTGGTTATGTAAGAAAGAGGAAGTGTAGGACAAAGCTGAAGTTCTGCTCATGTCATGGAATGTCTGAATAAGTGATGGAAGGTTTGTGAAAGATGAATTTATGATGGAAATTTGTGTGTGATCAGGTTGGCTATAATTGTAAGAGAATTATTTGTGTGTCTTTCTAAAGACTGAGCTTTGGTATTAAAAATACACTGATACAAAACTAACAATTTGGTTCCTTGTGTTCAAACAATAAGGTTTCTTGAAGTGTTTGCTCTTAGTAAAATTTGCTAGGTTTTGGTTTAATTCCGAAATATGTTTAAAAAAAATTTCAACCATTCAACCATCTTCTAAACTGCAGCTTCTTCCTGTTTTACAGTTTCTATTTGTGCCATATTTCTTCCTGAGATTTATTTAATTTTTCTGGATTTAGATTGAAAATTCTGTCTTTATTTAGATTATTTCATTTCTTGAGGTAGATTTTTCCTCTTGAAGCTTCTCAAGTTTCTATCTCAGAAGTTCAACTTTTGCTTTATCTAACTTTATGTGATTTGCAGGTCATACATCATTGCCTTTTGTTCTTCCTCTTTCTCCCCTTGAGAAGGTACATCTTTTTGCTTGGCTGTGCTCATAACTCTTTCCTTCAACTTTTTCATCAGCTCTCATAATTTTTTCTTCGGTCTTAACTCTGCTGTTATGGCCTGATGCTGAAATGTTCTTTCTTGAAGGCCTAAAAAAGCAAAGTTTTCCTCAAGCATAAATTCATTCTGTGCTCTTGGCATTTCTTGATGTGTCTAATTTTTTTTTTCATGTAACCAGGAAACTTCCCATGCTGTTACTAAGAGCCATGTATTCCCTTGCTCAAGGTCCTAATTTTCTGTTTACATTCCTGTGTATTATGTTGTACAATCATAACCTTGTACACTGTCTTACTACATCTGATTAAATTTAAGTACTAGGTTTACTTTCCAGTTTACCTAAAAGAGTTTTCTTTAAGGAGAAGCAATCACTCTTCAGTAGATTTGTTTTTTTCTTTTTTGGTAACAGGCCTACGAAACAAGGATTTCATGTTTTATCAAGATAATTTCCTTTGTTGCCTTTATTAGATTTTTTGATAACTTAGGAAAGCTGAACTTTGAAAAAGTTAAATTTGTTTTATTTTGCTTTTACAGTCATGTACTTTATTTATTTTGATTATCACCCTGGTTAAAGAAATACTATTATTTCACAGTTACCTGCAGTCCTGTTTTGATGAAGTGTTTTGAACCTTTTGGCATCTTTGATGAGCTTCCTCAGTATCAAAATTCTAAGTCTTTTTGACCTAGAACTAACTTTGGGATTTTTCAGCTGGGCCTTGAGAGAGCCTCAAAAAATGGAACTCTTGTCCTATAGAGATATTAGATCATTACATTAATTTGGTGAATTATGTAGGAAACATTGTCAAATGGTAAGTGATGCTAGTTATTCTTTCAATTACATTTATGGGTATGTTATTGATATGGATAATCCAAAATTGCATAAAAGGTTTAGAAACCTAATATGGCATCAGACATAATTCTGGTTATTATGTTGTATATTACAAAAATAACCAAATTTTCTTGTCAATTGCTGATTATAACAAACTTCCATCAGATTTTTAACTATGGCTCATCTGTCTCTGTCATCTACAGTTTTGATTTTTCTCTAAAAGCACTTCCTTCAGATGCATGTAAAAGACTAAGAAGTACTCTTAAGTGTAGGTTTCTAGTAACTTTAAGGTCAAAGGATGACATAAAAAATTCTTAGAACTCTAAAAATTTCTGAAATGATGAACCTGACCAATTTGAGAAACTTCCAAACAATATCAAGCTGAACAAAAATTAATTACAGAGATTAATTAACTGATGAAGATAAAAATTTTATGAGGCCAGGCACAGTGGCTCATGCCTGTAATCCCAGCACTTTGGGAGGCTGAGGTGGGTGGATCACGAGGTCAAGAGATCAAGACCATCCTGGCCAACATGGTGAAACCCATCTCTACTAAAAATACAAAAATTAGCTGGGCATGGTGGCACACGTCTGTAATCCCAGCTACTTGGGAGGCTGAGGCAGGAGAATCACTAGAACCCTGGAGATGGAGGTTGCAGTGAGCCGAGATTGTGCCACTGCACTCCAGCCTGGCGACAGAGTGAGACTCCATCTCAAAAAAAAAAAAAAAAAAAATTATGACTTTTTTGAAACTATTGATTCTTAACTTAAATGTTTTATTTTCCAAATTTAAGAAAACTTTTTCTTTTAAGCTATCGTAGTTAATACAGCAATTTGGTAAAGTCTGTTTTTGTGAATAAAGGTGGAAACATTTACTTTTTCTCTCTATTTGATCCCTCTGAAATTTGGAAACTATGTGTGGGTATTCTTGTGGTAATATGTTTATTTGTATAAGTTTAATAAAATTTTGCTGTCTCTTTAGAAAATGATACAATCGGAAGCATTAATTATAAAACAAAGCCTTAACTGGAATATCTTTTTTGAGAACTAGCATAGAATGCCCAGCTTCAAGGGTTCCAAACCTTACTGTCAGTGAATAAAAATTGTCACTTCCTGACAGTCCTAGAAACTTCAAGACTGAAGGTAAAATCTGAAATCTGCCTTGGTTTGGCTTCCAAGCCTGGAAAGATTTTTCCATCTGAGATTCTTGTCTGATCAATGTAAAGAGAAAAATGTTTTGTTTCTAAAGAAAAGCTATAAAACACCTGTTATAAGACTTTAGCCCTAGGCATTGTTTTAGAGTTCTTATTACCTACTATAAACTGACTAGATCCTGAATTCTTCTGGATTTCTCCAGTCCAACCTTTTTATGTTAGAATAGGCACATAGCCAGACATGAGCAGGTAAGGGTTCCCCCCAGGAAAGAGATCTTAGAAATGCTGCCCATTGATAGAATCCTTGGAGATACTGACAGTCAGCAAAAAGAGAACCATGGCCACAGTGGCTGCACTTGGCCTTGTGGCTGGGCTCTTCTGACCCAGAAGGGACTTAGTAAGCCCTAACCGGAGATAACTGAGTTAGGGGCTTTTCCTCACTAGTGAGCATGTGTACTCCTCTAATAACTTGCCTAGGAATAGTCTTTTGCTCGTTATAAACTCCATTCCCCTCCCATTAACACTTCCGTAATATTACTAAAAATGGGAACTGGTCTGTACTGAAGCTGTATAAGCTGAAACCAGATGAATTCTAAGAGGTAAGTTTCGTGCCTGATGTATGGGTCACACAGAAAGTTCACCAAACTGCCTGGTGCCATAACCAGAAACATTCAAACTGCAAACTAGAATGATAAGTTGATAGCTGCATGCTGTAGATAGCTTTTTTCCAAGACATTGGAACAAGACTCCATATCATAATGAGACTCTTTCCCCTTTTAACGCCTACTTTTTACACTTGGCAGGATAATGGTGTAATTGAAATTTCACATTCAGTAGCTTCTGCTGGTAACTTGACTGAACCTGAGCTATGAGATGCTTTAGTCTACCTAGTGGGTGAGTATGGCAATATTTCTCATACAGCCATTGCTCACGCTCTGCTCGAATTCAGCCTAGTCATGGGATACTAGATGATAAAATTGCTCTATGTAATCTATTGGTTAAACAAGGAAATGTCTTTGCTATTACTAACATTACATGCTGTATCTGGACAAATCCCTCAGGGAAAGGTGAGGTCTATATACAAAAAAAGTAAGAAAATAGGCCACGTGGTTAAAAAAAAAAAAGTGTCACCTAATTTCCCATGATTATTTGATTTATTTAATTGGTTTCCTTTAAGCCCAGGTTTATAGCTCAAACTATTATGTAAACTGAGATTATCATATCACTATTAATTTTTCTTTGTATTTTTCTTTTTAATTTTTGTTCTTGTTACTCATTAATTTTTTCCAGAGGTACAACCCCTATGAGAGTAATGTTGGCCTAGCACTTTGAGATGATAATCAATACCTGTGGAACAGACATATTGAACTTACCATGGACCCAGGTAGACCTAGCCTGAGAACCACTACCTCCATACCTCCTTTGAAATTGCTCAAATGTAGATAAGAAAGTTTTGACACTGACTTACTCATCAATTACTGTCTCTGATGTGGGACCAGACCAGACCAACCAGGACAGGTTCATCTAGGCACCAAGGGACAATCAAAACTTAAATACAGGAAATTGATCATCAATGCTTGTGGGTTGTGGGTAAAGATCTTGATCAAAAGGAGGAAATGTCTGAAAGCTGTAAGAATCAAAATGGAGTCACTTGTGTTAAAACCCTGACAAATAGAGCTGGGGAAGGCCATGAAGTGAGGGTTCTTATATATGAATGCCTGATAACAAAAACTATCACAGAAGACTGCAAAAACCACAATCTTGTGCAAATGTAATTACAAACTTACACACACACACACACACACACACACACACACACACACAATGCTTCTTGAGAACATCTGCCAAGCAACTGCCTGTCCAAACTTGGACTTGTGCCACCCTTGTTATTAATCTTTGTCGCCAAGTATAATTATCTCAAAATAATTATGTAATTCTCATTTTTTCTTTAAAATGCTTTGTCTTCTTTTACCTTCCTGAATATGCACATAGTTTACTATGGCCTGTGTATTCCCATTGCAATGCCGATTCTCAAATACATACCATTTTCTTTTAGAGAGTCTCCCTCTCTGTTATTAAGGTTGACACAATCAACCTAAACACAGAAGGCTGAAGGGCTTAGAGGACTTTGCCTAGAGGAAAAGGTGCTGCAATGTTCATTAGCCCATTTTCAGTTTTATAGGCAAACTAGGCCTGCCTATCACCGAGACCAAAAACTCTCCAACTTAGTTAGGCATATCTCACCCTTCTGCTATTGGTTCAGGTTTCGACAAAGCCTCCTCTTAAAGGACACCTTATCCTCTCTGCTCTAGGACCCTAAACATTGGCAACTCTGACAGGAAAGTTTCAGAATTCTATGTTCTGTCCATTATCATTCTCTTTCTATGGAAAACTCAATTCCCCACCCCACCCCCCGACTTTATTTTTACCTTGTTCATACTCTTGTGTGTTAGGGTGAATCACGGTCCCCAAAAATATCCATGTCCTAGGACCCAGAACCTATCAATATGTTACTTTACATGGAAAAAGAACTTTGCAGATGTGGTCAAGTCAAGGATATGGGGATGAAGAGATGATTCTGAATTATCCAAGGGTCCTTATAAAAGAAAGTTATATGAGAAAAAAAAGGGATAAAGGCTATGTGATATGAGGCCCTGAGTAAAAGAATGAGGGCAGCCACTAATGTTGGAAAAGGCAGGGAACAGGTACCACCTTCAAAATTCCAGAAGGAATCTGTTCTGCTGGCACCTTAGTTTTAATCCCATAAGATTCATTTTAAACTTCTGACCCCCAGCACTTGAGAGGAAAAATTTGTGTTGTTTGAAGCTCCTAAGTTTGTGATAGTTTGTTACAGCAACAATTGGAAACTAATAAATCTTTAACATGTTCTTGGAAACTATGAAAGAAGGGTATTTGAAATAGACCCTATTATGGCTCTATTATGACTTACACCATTGAGATTCTGGTGTACAGAACTGGGAAAAAGTAGTCAAGTGGGAAGAAATCCTCAATACGTTGTCTTCATAATGCTTGTTTCTTACTCTGTATGCTACTTATTAAATTTTACATATATTAGTCTGCTCAATTTTTACAAAATGTGTTGAGCAGGTAGGGAAGAAACTCTTGAGCTCTTTTTACAGCTATAGAAAATGAGGTGCACAATGTTTAAGTCATGTAGCTTAAATCATACAGAAAATCAGTTCAAAACTCAAATTCTTGGGCTCCTCACCAGACCTTACTGAATGAGAATCTTTGTAGATTTTTATGCACATTGAAGTTTGTGATGCATGAGTCCAGAACAGAGGTTGGCATGCAGCTTGCAGGTTGATTTTGTAAATAAAGATTTGATAGAACATGGCCATGTCCTTTCATTTCATTGTTTATGACTGTTTTTGTTACAATGACTGAGTTGAATCAAGAGACTTTATGGTCTGCAAAACTTAAAACATTACTCTCTGATCCTGCACAGCAAAAGTTTGCTGACCTCTGGTTAGAACACAGCACAGTCTAAAATGAGGTGTTAAATGGATGATTCTGTGATTTTTTTCAGAATGTTATAACGTGGCCAAGAAAATAGCTGTAAAATATCCAACACATTAGCCAAACTGCTTCTACCTGAATATAACCCTCTCTCCTGTTTCTGAATGTACTAGAGTGCATTGCATGAAAACCCATAGGAATTCAGAACTAAAAGTTGATAATAACCAAATAATGAGTCCATTCAGTTTTTTCAAATGTGTTAGAATAAGTGGCATTTCTGTTACTATGATTAGTGCACTGAAATAAATCTGAAATGCAATGTTAGAGTGAGATACAACTTTTTAATGGAGAAAAATACAGCTTTTTAAGCTTTAAACTGATATGAGCCATGAATGCGCAATAAAAATGATGCCACAAATTATTTTAGCCCTTATATAAATGCATTGCAAATTACATTTTCTCTAGCATTATCAAGAAATACAATAGTGTAATATTGAAACCAATATTCACACACTGCTTACACAACCCACTGTATGCTTTCATAACACGATTTTTATTAAGACCATGTACTCAACATGGAAATAACTTTATTGTGAATACGAGATTTGATGAGATAGTTGCAAAAAAAAAAGGCTTTATCTATGTATCTGTGTATCTCACACATACAGGAAATTACTGTTCAAGTGAAAGTCTAAAAGTCTGGAAAAAAGCTAGAAGCATTGTCTATTTCTCATTTCAGGAGTAGCTTCAGTTCACAAAAAAAGAAAAAAAAAATCACTGCTTATTAGAAATTTACAAATCAAGGAAAGCAGCTCTCCTCCACCCACCTTTCTTTTTTTTCTTTTATTCCTTTTTGTTTTTTGTTTGTTTGTTTTTTGGTTTTTTTTTTTCTTTTTTGTTTTGAGACAGAGTCTTGCTCTATCTCCCATGCTGGGGTGCAGTGGCACAATCTCGGCTCACTGCAACTTCCACCTCCAGAGTTCAAGCAATTCTCATGCCTCAGCCTCCTGAGTAGCTGGGACTACAGGCATATGCCACCATGCCCAACTAATTTTTGTATTTTTAGTAGAGACGGGGTTTCACCATGTTGGTAAGGCTTGTCTTGAACTCCTGACCTCAAGTAATCCACCCGCCTTGGCCTCCCCAAATGCTGGAATTACAGGTGTGAGCCACTGCACCGGGCCCCTCCTTTCTTAGAGCTAGTTTTATCTTAGTTTAAATTTTCTTTTTGAATTTCCTATAATTATCTAATGCTTTATTTGTTAATACTATGAAACTTTATGTACCTCTTAACCAAGTATTGATGACAGTAACCTACAGCCTTTAGGGAAAACACTTGAAATGGCTTTTTAAAAATTTTATATTTCAAATTAAAAATTCCAAGTATATAAAATAAAGCTATAGTAAAATAAAGCCCCATGTATTCATCACTCAACTTTTATCAACATTTTTCATTCATCTACCACCTATACCGCTGTCTACTCTCCACATCTCAATCACTACTATAACTACTCTATTTACAGTTGTTTTTCCTGAAGGTAAAATATCACATATTCTAATGCACAAAGGTTAGCTTTACAGTTTTGAAAAACAGATACACCCAGATAACCCATAACCCTAGGGTGTCATAGAAGAATTTTTTTCTCACCAGAATGTTTCTGTATTTTCATTCTAGTCAATTTTCACCATTCCCCCTTAAATCTCCAGAATTGGCAGTTGTTCTGATTTTGTTTTTTTCATTTTAGTTTAGTTTTCCTATTTGGAAACTTTTTTAATAATGGAAGCCTACAATTTCGTCTCTTTTTATTCTAATTTCTTTTGGTCTCAACAATGTTGTTGAGATTCATTCATGTTGATGCATTTAATTTCTGGCTTTTCATTGCTCAGTTCCATTCTAGTGCACGAATAGGCCACAATTTGTTTTTACGTCCTCCTGTTGATGGACATTTGAGTTATTTCAGAATAAAATTTTTGAAACCAAAAATTTGCATTGATTATATTCAGGAATTATTCTGTAAAGCTGACAAAATAAGGAACAATAATAAAGTAAAATAAATTCATGGCATTCTGAAACAAACTATATTATAAAACAAACGTAGATGTCCTGAGACTTCTCATCATCATAGACTCCTATCTAATAGGGGAAGAGTTAGTTTTAAGTATTAAATGAGTTAATACACATAAAGCCTTTATAAGCGTGCCTGTCACATAATAAGGACTCAGTGTTTCATTGTTTTTATTATTTGTAATAGGAAAATATAATGAAAACATTCTAAAATGACTCAATTAGAATAACATTTTAGACAATATGTGATTACCATAGCATATAATACGGTCAGTTTAATTCACTGTCATTTTCAGCTGGAAGATAAAACACGACTGAAAAATAGCTATTGCAGGTAAGATATCTGTGTGGATGTGAGAGTTAGAATTACGTTGGTGTGATAGTTTATTACGTTGTTTTTGCTCTCATGAATTTTGCTTTAAAGTTAAAAATTTACTCAATTTTTATTATTCTGTCTGTAATAATGGTTTAGTGGCAGTGCACTAATAGAAATAATTTTGCTAGAACAAATAAACTATATAATACATTATACACACACATGCATCTATGCTAATTTAATTTAGAATAATATAAACAGATTAATCCACTGGAAAATTTTTTAAAAAGCAATAAAGGTACTGCTTTAAAATTGTGTTGTATTTCTTTATTTTTAAATTATTTCAGCAAAATAAGACAAAAAGCTTATATTTGCTTCATTGGTATAAACCCAAAATCAAAGTAAGAAAATCACATTAAATTTTCTAAATATTTTCACTTTTAACTTTATTTAGAATTAAAAACTGTAATGCACTTTGCTGTTTTAAAAAGTGTGCTTTGAAATAGCATTGTAACTGGGAGTTATTTTCAGAATAATTTTTGTATTTTCATATGTGATTGGAGACCTTGTTTTTTACTTCATTTCTGATCCTTACCATTCTCAAGCTCTCAGAGGAATAATACAGAGAATATCAATGTAGTTAAAAATCTTAGCCTGGGGCAGTAGCCTATGCCTGTAATCCCAGCACTTCGGGAAGGTGAGGTGGGTGGATCACTGAGACGAGGAGTTTGAGACCAGCCTGGATAACAGTCATCTAAAAATCATCTTGGGATAATAGATAATAAAAGTCATCTTGGGATAACAGTCATCTAAAAATCTCAGATTTTCACACATGGACTGCTGTTTTGCCAAGTTTCCTTACATTGTAGGATTTTTCAAAAATTTATTACAGAGCAATATGTTCTTTGATATTAACTAAGTTATTTTCTTTTAATTTTGGATGATAATTTGATCCTTTGAAAACCTGATAAATATTGATGAGATTTCTAACACATTAGCTGTTTGTTTACAGCATTTTTTTACCTAAAAATTCACGGAATATACTTTTATATGATTATCAAATTATAAGATAATCGTAGAATAAATCATAAAATATCCATGGAAAAATCACATATAATACCTACATGTTTAGCATTTATATTCTCTCTAGGTAGACATCAACTCATTTTTAAAAATAGGTTTAAAACCTATTGTATCTAGGTAGATTCAACTCATTTTTTTAATTAATACTGTCATATAATTTGTATATTTTATTCAATTTTGTCTGTAAGAGCTAAATATTTAGAGGCTTATCTGAAATACTGTATTTGGCATTGCTTTAAAGCAATGTTCAAGAAAACATTTCACAGAAAGAAAATATTAATTAGGTATTAATATTCCTTATAAGACATTATTATTCCTCACTGTAATTTCTTATTTTCTTAGTATTCAAACTTATTTTATTTATATTATAAAATGTTCTAAGATATTTACTTCAGGCTTACTGTTCCACGATCCATTTGTCTTTTCTGCCATTTTGAAATGCCACATAAATTCCATGTCATTCCCGTAATTACTCAAAGATTAATAATAGTGGCTCTGTTCTAACAATTGAAAGTCTATTTTGGAGTTATGAAATGGAAATAATCAAGACCTGGAAACATATTTCTATTTACATACATCATTAGTTTCTTATTATCTCCTTGTGAAACCAATATTTTGGAATTCTTAAACCATATTGCACTAAAAAAGTTTGAGTTTGAGAAAAATGGAAGAAGATTAAGATGTGTGCTTTCTTTGCTCTTTACAATCTATCAATTTTACATCATCTTCACTAAGCTATTTTATATGTACTTCCAACTTAAAACAATTTCTCAAAATTATTTCAATAACTTTTTGCTCTATACCTTCCTGAAGCAATTCTAAAAGGTTCCTTCAGAATGTTTAAATACCCTATTTTATATCTTATTAACAGCTGTCATCAGTATTACACTTAGAAAGAGAACTATAATTGATGGGGGAAAATACTGGACAAGGCCTTTGGTATTCAATGTGAGACATCAAAGATTTTAAATGTTTCTATGTAACATAAAGTGGTAACTTTGTGTTGATCCTCAAAAGGAAGAAGAATAAATGATAGTAGAAAGGAAGGATATAGAGCTCTTAAGAATAGTTCACAATGAAATCTCATTATGCAAAGCATGTATACCTGTAAGCCATTAGTAAAGTTATTAAGTTCACAAACAGGTTGATGGGAATGGCTTGTGTGCTTTTCTTTTTTTAGCAGGGAGGGGATGTTTGGGAGTGGGATTGAGCCACTTAAACAAAAGAAGCATGACTTTTTGAAGGTTTTGAGACAGTCCCTCGACTGTCGTATGTAATAAAATTTGGAGGTTCGAGCAAAGTTTATCTCTATCTCTAGCAGGCAGGTCTCATGTAACACCTCAGTTTTATACTCGTTGTATAATAAAAAGAATCATATATCTAAACAGTAAAGTTGTCCTGTTTATTTGTGTTTGAACTTCCAAGGAAATTATCTGAGCATTCATTTTTTCTTTTAAAAACAATTACCATTAATCCTAATTAAATTGTCAATCTCTGGGCCTCACAGTGCCGACGTATAACTTGTTCTGACATTTTTCTTGTGATACCCTAAAGCTCTGGGTTCTTTATTGTTCCAATGATTGAAGCATGATACAGTAGAGCTTGCTGAGTTTCTGATTAGCAGTATTGTCAAAGCTGTAAGTTGACAACTTGTTCAATCCCTTTATTTCTATAGATATATACCTGCTGGCATGGTTCAGATAAATTAAGGCAAGTAGATTTTGATGATGAGGAACGAATGACTTATACCCTTCTGATGACAGCATTTTCTTATTAGGAAGGATGATTATATTTCCAAATTGACTCCCAATTTTTCTTTCTCCAGAAGAGCCCTGACCATAACTACTTACGGTTTTGTAACCTTGCATAAAACAGCATCTTTTCTAACAAAAATGCCTGTTTTAAATTTGACTTTCATTTATAAACAAGCTTATTAGTCAAAGGAATGTGGCTCTTTCATCCCTTTTAAACCCTCATAAGTATTTTCTGCATTCAAATTATGAAGAGAAGCTTTAACTGTACAAACAATGTGCATGCTCACGTTGGCATTTCTTTGATTTAGGTATGAAATTATTTGGCATGTTTCTAATTACTTTCTCTTCAGCTAAATCTTCAATTATGCTGTTTTCTTTTGTTTGTCTTGTTTCAATAAGTAAGAGATTGAGTAGTTATAATTTTGTTGGTAAGACATTGTCAAAATTGAAGAGATTGAGTAGTTGTAATTTTGTTTGTAAAACAAGTAAACGAATAAAAAGTTCGACATTTAACAAGGAAAATACAACCCAACAAGTTAAGCTCAACACACAGGGAAACAGCTGATCATCAAAAAGCATCGTGCTGGAACACTTCAGAAAATAGAGGACTCCAGAGGGTCTTGTCTGCTTTGGTCATTGTCTGAAAGGAGCTTTAAATCTCAATGCGTTTCCTGAAGAGTTTAGGCAAAAATATGTATATCATTATTTATTTGCAAGGTATTTTATAAGGCAAACTGTTGCAGCTCAAGCTGTATAAACATGTCTTTGATTTCTACTGAAATGTTTAATTCAAAGCAGCATTCACAGTGTTGGGGAAAATGACAAAATGTTTAAAAATAAAAATAATAGACATTGCTTAACTCAGATCTATATGTGCATTGTAACATTTTATATAGTCATTGTACTGTCTATAGAAAAAGAAGTAGAAATAAAGATGTCTGATTTTAAGAACTATTTTTCTCTAATACTACAGTTACTTCATAGTACATATGTTTTTACTGCTCAAATTGCTCCTCTTGTTATTTTCTGTGTAATTTTCAGGTGTTTATACCCTGTGCTATTATGTAATACCATCTAAATAAGAAAAATGCTAATCACTGATAGATTAAATAATATCTTACCTATATAATGCTATAGCATAAATTCATTAAGTGAGAAAAATGGGATCAGAATGTGAGGCTAGTGAAATAAAACCTTTCTTGCTAATTCATAAAAAATGTTGAATGCAGTGCATAACAGATCCACTATTACTCAAATAAAACAAAAGACATTCTAAAAAATGCTAAGACCCTTAACAAGAAATTTACCTACCTATATATTCTCGGTGAAATGTGTATCAAAATAAAGAACTCAAAAATGCACTGTCCTATTCTGTTTTGTTTTCTATAATAGGAAAGCACAGACTGGGTGGCTTATAAACAACAGATTTTCTCATTTTTCTGTAGGCTGGGTAGTCCAAGATCAAAGACATCAGAAAATTTGGTGTCTGGCGAGGGTCCACTTCCCAATTCATGCACAGTATCTTTTGGCTATAACATCTTATGGTTAAAAGGGTAAGGAATCTCTTTGTGGGGCCTCTTTTATAAGAGTGCTTATCCCATTAATAAAGGCTCCAGCCTCAGAATTTAATCATGTCTTAAAGATCCTACTTCCTAATACCATCGTCATGGGTGTTAGAATTTCAACAAATGGATTTTGGGGGAACACAAATATTTAATGTATAGCATGTAGAGCATTATGTCATTAGGGAAATACAAATTAAAACAACATGAACATACAACTACACACCTATTAGAATGGCCAAATTCCAGAACACTGACAATACCAAATGCTGACAAGAATGTGGAGCAACAGGAATTCTCATTCATTGCTGATGGGAATCAAAAATGATACAGCCTCTTTGGAAAACAGGTTGGCAATTTCTTACAAAACTAAACATACCCTTACCATAGGATTTAGCAACTGAACTCCTTGGTATTTACGCAAAGGAGTTGAAAACTTATGTCCACAAAAAAACCTACACATGGACATTTATAGCAGCTTTATTCGTAATTGCCAAAATTGAAAGCAACCAATGTGTCTTTCAGTAGGTGACTGGATAAATAAACTCTAGTACATTCAGACAATGGAATATTATTAAGCTAAAAAGAGGTGAGCTATCAAGCCATGAAAAGATATGGAAAGGCCATAAATGCATATTGCTAAGTGAAAGAAGCTAATCTGAAAAGGCTAAATACTGGATGGATATGACATTTTGGAAAAAACATAACTCAGGCGACAGTTAAAAGATTATTGGTTTCCAGGGGTTGCACAGGGAGGATGAATGGATGGCAAAGATTTTTAGGACAGTGAAATTAGTCTCATCCTTTAATAGTGTGTGCATGTCATCGTGCAAGCCTATAGTACATAAAACACCCAGAGTGAAACCTAATGTGAACTAAGGACTTTGATTGATCATAATGTGTTAATTATAGGTTTATCAAACATGACAAATGTACCACTATGGTGAAGAATGATGATAATGTAAGAGTTGAGTCTGTGCAGCTGTAGGGGCAGCAGGTATGTATGCAATCTCTGTGCCTTCTACTCAATATTTCTGTGAGCCTAAAACTGCTCCAAAAAATAAAGTGTTACAAAAAATAAAATGTATATAAGTAGTAGTACTACAAATGAACAGTTAGCAGAAAACCTAAAATAGAAAATTACCCCCAAGTATCTCACTGTAGTTGTAAAAATGCAATTTCAAAAAATAATCATTAAAATAAAAATTCATAGTGAATAGGAATGTAAATCTAAAATCTCAAATTTTATATTATAGTAAAAATTTGTACAAAAGAAGGGGTAAAGTGCTAAGTTTCTCATATCAGACAGAAAAATGTCAGTAAAATTATTTCATTCAATTAACTTAAGCTCATCTTTTCTGTACTGATTTTTTAATGTTTAGTAAAACTTCAAAATAAAATAAAACTAAAAATAATTTATCAGAAATCTAAAAGAAAACAATATTCTGATTTCAAAAGATGTTCACTTTACTTAATCATGTAGTATTGACATGAACATAGATGCTATTTGCATCATTCCTCTCCATCTTTGATAGTATAAATTTGTAAGACCGGGCTGGGTGGTCTGTTCTGTATTATTGCCAAAAAGTGAAAGTTCTTACAAATATGTTTTTAGAAAAATTAAAATATGAGAAAACCTCAATTTATTTTATTCCAGAGTTCTCCTAAGTAATTTTACTTGGAAATTTTCTTTTGCTGCTGAAACAAAATTCCTTGAGTGATTATCTAATGATGCTGATTGCCTGTGAGAAGAGGGCTCTTTGAAGATCCAAATGGGACTTCCAACCACCAAGAGGAAAGCTTAGTATAGGAATATATCCTGCCAAAATTAAGTGAGATTACTACTCCTAAAATTTTTTTTTAATGTTTCCTTGAAAAATGTCAAGGCAAGAAAACAAATGAACTGTTAGCTCCATTTTCTTTTCTCTTCCGTGGGTTCTGCCCAGAACATAAGAGTTGCTTCATAATGAACAGCAGTCCTGATGTTTTCTTTTAGGAGTTATGGGTGTCAGTATATCCAGAGATTCAAATGTATCATCCAAATCTGCAACATTTAACATTAAGATATCCTTTCTGTAGGTATGCAGCAATCAGCAAAACATGTGTCTGATTCCTTTGATCATATGGAATTCGGCATAGAAAGCATTTATTAATAGTAATCTGGAGTCTGTTCTGTACAACCAAGGTATCCTTTAGGTTTAAGCCACTGTTTTATAAATAACTGGCAGCTTTTGTAAGGTTAGATTTCTCTGACAACTCTCTAGGAAGATTGTTGGCAGAAAATGCTTGTTGGCTAATATAGCACATCCTGAAATATGTGCACTTTTTTCTTTAATTTTTAAAATATGCTACTGACTAACTAAATATTGTGAAAGTACTATTATCACTTTCTCCAAACAGGTTTTTCCACAGTTCATCCTATCTTCTTTAAAAGATTTTTGATGCAACATCAGATGTAATGATAGCTATACTGATGGCCTCCGATAATTTTTAACCACGTTTTATTTCCTTATCTCATATGATCAGCTGTTGAGAACAATTCACATCTTCATTAAATTATTCAAAAAAGAGAAAAGATAATCTAACATTTTTATTCTTGCCTTAGCTGTATCCAACATTGAGCCCATCTCATAACATCGCTCAAAAAAGGTTTTATATTTTTATAAGCCTTGCCTTCCAAAATAACCAAAAAAGAAAAGATAAAGGGGAACCTCTAAAAGTTCTAGAGTCCAAGATAACTCATAAAAGAAAGAGAATATTCTGTTTTACCTTCCCAGAGACAGGAACAGCTCACCAATCAATGATCAAATTTTAGCTGTTAAGTTTCATCATTCTCTTTATTTGACAAGTTCTTTATTTCAGAAGTCTTTTATAAAAGTAACAACTTGTTTTAATAAAATTACATACTTATAAGCATTTTATTTCCCTTTTAACTGTTTTTCTTGAGATCCCACCAAGATTTGTATGCTACATTTTAACCAGTGAAGCCAATGGACTAAGATCCATCATGTCCCTAAGAGGCCTTTTGTGCTGGGCCTGCAAATCTCATCTGCCTTGGGATGTTCCAGCCAAGCAACAAATGGGAGCTTTGCTTTCTGTTTCTCAGCCATGTGGTTAATATCAGTTTTACAGCCATTTAAATTGTTTCTATCCAGAGCCATTTATTCTTCATAACTGAAAGGCAATTGCTGAGAGGTTGACATTTGTCTTTATTTAGTGGTTTGTCTGTGGGAATGCAAAAATTTTTGTTGACAGAGTTATTCACAACTTTACAACTGGGTCATTCAGACTACTGTTTATATTATTTTAGTCATGTTTCAGATGAATGGCTAACAAATGGCCCTGTGTCACATACTGTGCCATGCTATTATCTTGTTTCATCTGTTGAAAAGGCTTCATCATATTTTCTTCTCTCTGTCAACTCTTAGACAACTCTGAGGACAACCAATTCTAGGACCATTCCAAGTCTCTGCTGTGAATGTTGTCATTTCATATACACTCATTTCAATTACAATACTTGCTACATTTGACTGAGTACAATTCTTTTATGCAAGAAAAAAAATTATAATGGTCCATGTTCGTATTTTTGGCTTTAACAAAATTCTTCATTGATGAGAGCCTTAGAACTAAAAGAGACAAAATCTCTGATACTTTCATTGATTGATTCAGTGAATTCTCAAAAAGTCAATGAGAATTTCATATAGAATTTTAAATTTATTTCCTGAAAAAATTAAATGACATAATATGAGAAAAACCCAAAATTCCCAAATTCAAATATCTTTTTTTTTTTTTTTTTTTTTTTTTTTTTGGAGATGGAGTCTCACTCTGTCACCCAGGCTGGAGTGCAGTGGTGCCATCTTGGCTCACTGCAACCTCTGCCTCCTCGGTTCAAGCAATTCTGCTGACTCAGCCTCCCGATCAGCTGGGAATATGGGCGCACGCTACCATGCCCGGCTAATTTTTTGTATTTTTAGTAGAGATGGGGTTTCACAATGTTGGTCAAGCTGGTCTCAAACTCCTGACCTCAGGTGTTCCGCCTGCCTCAGCCTCCCAAAGTGCTGGGATGAGCCATAGCACCCAGCCCCAAATTCAAATTTCTATTGCACCTCCGCTTTCCTTTTCCCCCTGATACTTGTAATGGTTAATTTTATGTGTCAACTTGATCGAACCACAAGGTACCCAGTTATTTGATCAAAAATTGTGTGGTATATCTGTGAGGGTGTTTCCGGATGAGACTGGCATTTTAATATGTGGACAGAGTAAAGCAGAGCATTCTGCTTTACTCACCCAATAAATTGAAAAACTCAGTAGAACAAAAAGGCTGAGTAAGAAGGAATTTTGACTTCCTGACTGTTTAGGCTTACAGACATCAGTCTCCTGTCTTCAGACTGGAACTAAACCACTGGCTCTCCTGGGTCTTTCTGACCTTGGATTCTGGTAGTTCTCAGCCTCCATAATCATGTGAGCCAACTCTTTATAGTAAATCTCTTTATACCTATTGGTTATTATTATAGAGAGAACCCTACCTAGTGCAAGACTTTTCTTCTCTTTCTTATTCTGCACAACTTGTGAAAAATGCTAACTGATGAGGGGCTCACTTAGAACCTCAGTGATGGTTGCAATGACACTCATATGTTTTATTTTCCTAGACACACAAAATGAACTATCTAAAGTAAAGTTTGTAAATTTAAATATAGGTGCTACTATTTCAAACACATACCCTGACAGTTTACATTAACTGTTTCCCCAGAGTAATAAAGAGCATGAATAAGTAGGAATATTTTGTAGCTACTTGAAGTTGCTGGACTTTGAATACTTATGTAACTACTAGATCCTTGACTAAAAACCTACTTTTCTTCCATGTGACAGTATCCATGTTACTATTCTGAGAAAGATTTAGTAGGCAAATGGTATTGAAAAGTCAATGTAATTTACTTAGAAATGATTAATGAACCAAACAGACATCTGTTTACACCAGCTTACTATTTTTTTTCAATTATACTTTAAGTTTTAGAGTACATGTGCACAACATGCAGGTTAGTTACATATGTATATATGTGCCATGTTGGTGTGCTGCACCCATTAACTCGTCATTTAACATTAGGTATATCTCCTAATGCTATCCCTCCCCCCTCCCCCCACCCCACAACAGGCCCTGGTGTGTGATGTTCCCCTTCCTGTGTCCATGTGTTCTCATTGTTCAATTCCCACCTATGAGTGAGAACATGCGGTGTTTGGTTTTTTGTCCTTGCAATAATTTGCTGAGAATGATGGCTTCCAGCTTCATCCATGTCCCTACAAAGGACATGAACTCATCATTTTTTATGGCTGCATAGTATTCCATGGTGACTCCTTATTAGAACCAATAGCCAATTAGTTTTATAGATACAAGCAGAATAGATGTCACAATTCAGGTAGTCCTTTTTAAACATTACTACTAATTTTTGCAGTGTTTGTGAGGACCAATGTCTTTCACAGGAACTGGAGGAATAATAAGTTATCTGATTTTGTTTGAAAATATTTCTACTACATACAGGTTTTGTGATATCTCCACCTTCTAGTAAAGAAGTCAAAACACAAAGGATAGTCATTTGTATAAGACCTGAGAAGCCATAATCCATATAGTTGTTCAAAATGACTAGTGATATCGGCTGGCCACAGTGGCTCATGCCTGTAATCCCAGCACTTTGGGAGGCCGAGGCGGGCAGATCACCTGAGGTCAGGAGTTCAAGACCAGCCTGACCAACATGGAGAAACCCAGTCTCTACTAAAAATACAAAATTATCCGGGCGTGGTGGCACATGCCTGTAATCCCAGCTACTAGGGAGGCTGAGGCAGGAGAATCGCTTGAACCCGGGAGGCAAAGGTTGCGGTGAGCCAAGATCGTGCCATGGCACTCCAGCCTGGGCAACAAGAGTGAAACTCCATCTCAAAAACAAACAAACAAACAAAAACACAAAATGACTAGTGATATTTAACAAAATAATATTCTTATATCCACCCTATGATACATTATTCACTATAGTTGGTCCCTTTTTTTGTTCACTATTGGCCTGTGGTCTGCCTTTTTTAGAGATGTCTCTTTGATTTTAGTTGGAGAGATCAACAATATATTTAACTGTACTGCTCCAATACTTCACAGAATCTTATTTATTTTAGTATTTAATATTGATTTAAAGACTAGATTTTCTTGGAGGGTCAGCAGTCATCCAGGAAATAGATAATTTCCTGTCATATTCAATTGATTTCATTAGTTCTCAAGAGGGTTCTATATTTCCTTTGACATGTTAGTACCAATATAGCACAAAATCTCCAAAACAAAATAGAATTCTTACAGAAAAAGTATCTATTACCTAGGATATCAATTCCAATCTGATGGACATGTTTATTACATAGATTAAAGAGTTTCAGAAATACATAATACCTATCACAAAGATATTTTAGTTGATTCTCTACTTAACAGGATTTTACAGGCAACCTCTATGCAAAATCACTAAACCCTCTATTCTAGAGCTTCTCCCCTGGAAACCTGAGGTGGATTTTACAATTTTGACCCTTAAAATTTTGTATGCAAAATATTACCAAACTGTATTTTTATTGTTGAATAGAAAATTAAAAAGTGAGCTTGAGTCGTGCCTCAGAAAACAAGAACTCATTACCTACTATTGCTTATCTAAGCCACTCTCTGAACCCTTTTGCTGTGTCATTTTCTTTTATCTGGAACATGTAGAGGTTTCTTAGTCACATCTGTGTTTAACACCCAAATAGACCAAGAAGTTACATTGTAGTTTGAAAGATATATTAATCTTTAACTTTACTATTGCCAATTTTTTCCAAAGTATCAGCACCAACTTTCATTTTTACAATTCCATATTATAATGTTTTCAAACTTTTAGCATTTTTTAAAAATTTATGATTTATATTCAAGTTTACCAAATACCAAATAATTTAAACATTATTTTGCTCACTCTTTTCTTGTTCTCTATTGAACATGTAGATGCAATTGCATGCTGCTTATTTCAACATGTAACATTTATGCTTTTGTCGTCTCAAAAAATTCTTTATTTCATGTTTGCTTTTGAATGAGTTTTTCTCATATAGTTGACAGTTCTTTAGTTGAGCACTTTAAAGGAATTATTTCATCATATTTAAGAATCTATTGTTTACTAATAAAAAATTGATGCCCCTTTATAACTTTTTGTAGATAATCTGTGTTTTCTCTTTAGAAGCTCTTTTTTTTCTTTGATTATTATCAATGCAATGCAATTTCACCATAAGGTGCCAACACGTGGCTTTGCTTGTATTTATCCTTTTTGGGACAGAGTGTTTTTCCTAAATATGAGAGCGTATCAGTTTCTATAATTAAAAAAAAACTTTATGTTATCTCCGTAAATATTTTCTCACTCTTATTTGCTCTATTCTCTTCTTTACTAATTCTCACTAGTGGGATTTTGGAGCATTTCATTTACTTCTCTTTCACTTTTAACTTCTAATTCATGTCTTCCGTGTCTTTATATCTTTATTTTATACTTCCTCAGATCTGTCTTCCAATTCATTAGTTAAGTCATTTACTCTATTGAGTCTCATGTTGAACCCTTCATATGTTCTTTTTTTATTTTAAAGATCATATTTTTATTTCTAGAATTCCTACTCAATTGTTTTTATAAATTTGTTATTCTGTTTAATAATGATCTGACATTCACATTAGGTTTCTTTTTCTTCTTTTTTTTCCCTTTGAACATTTAAATTTCATTTATTGGCAATCTATTTGCATTTGCTATTGTATAATCCATGTGACTATTTATGACTTTTTGTAATTGTTGACTTTTTCAAGGCAATTTGTTTCTATATGAGCTTTGTAATTTTAGAATACCTACAGCAGTTGTTTTTTATGAAATTCATCAGTTGTGGAGGTATTCCCAGAAACAGTTTCACATCCATATCTACCAGGATCTTTTAGGTTTCACTGTTCTGGACCTATTTTCAGCATGAGTTTTCTACGTTTCAAGGTAGTATGAATTTGCATGCCACAAATATGCAATGCAAGGGCTTAGCATTTTGATCTGTCATGAGGGAGTTTTTCTACTCATTAGCCATGACTATCAACCCACTCTTATGACTAATATATGCAAATATTTATAGGATATAGCCAGAGTCTCCAGCTAGATATGGTTAAAACTCATAGATCTAAAATACAGATGACGTAGAAGATTGTACTCAGATACAGATAAAGATTATTCAAATAATCTTTCAAATCTTTTTCATTATTTCAAATAATGAAAAAGCAGCTGTTTCTTGCTGCTTTATAATCGAATCCCCATTTAATGTACTACTTTTGTTTCCTAGCCTCCAATTTACTACAACCTTGTTTCCCTCTGAATTTCCAGACGCTGATTTATCTCATCTTTCAGTAAGCACTTTTTTCCCTTTAATTTAAGTCGATGTTTCTTGAGTTAACTACCAAGTCCTCTTACCTCTCTGTCTTAGTAAACTTTGACATTAAACTCTGGATTAATAAACATTCACAGGGACTTTTTCCACCAATGGCTCTGAATAAATTTCAATAAAAACCTGCCCCAGGCCGGGCACGGTGGCTCACACCTGTAATCCCAGCACTTTGGGAGGCCGAGGCGGGCGGATCACGAGGTCAGGAGACCGAGACAATCCTGGTAACAGGGTGAAACCCCGTCTTTACTAAAAACACAAAAAAATTAGCCAGGCGTGGTGGTGGGCGCCTGTAGTCCCAGCTACTCGGGAGGCTGAGGCAGGAGAATGGCGTGAACCCAGGAGGCGGAGCTTGCAGTGAGCGGAGATTGCACCACTGCAGCCCAGCCTGGGCAAAAGAGCGAGACTGGTCTCAAAAAAAAAAAAAGAGAAAAAGAAAAGAAAAAAACAAAAACCTGTCCTAGTTTTTGGTGTAGCCCCAAAGTATCTGCTTTTGGATAACTGGACTATGGAGGCCCAAGAGGGGATCAGGCTAATGCCAACTGGCTAGGAATGTCAGGCAAGCCTCCCTTTTGAAAATGAGACTCCAGGTCAGATCACCGTAACTTTGTATAGGACTGCTTTCCAGAAAGAAGATTCCTTTTCTTCTAGCACAGATATCCTCTTTAGCCTACTGCTAATCTCACAGGCTACAGAGGAACTCTCAGCCTCCATAAAGCTTATCTAAATCCTGCTGTTCTCAAGATGAAGCCAGAATTGTACCTGTTTCTCTAGCAGACTGCAGGGAAAAGTAAAGTTGTCTACAGATAGATTGTGTGTATATCTTAAATTGCTGTAATAGGATTTATTCAGGGCAAGGGCTGATATAACTGGAGAATAGGCAAGGAGTGACTGTACATCCCTTTATAACTATAAAATACTATAAAATATATATATAGTTCCATTAAGATAACATTAAACATAGTAAACCTATGTTTTATGAATGCCTTTAGACTCACATAGTGTCTGGTAGCAATCCATCTTGCAGAAATAATTCAAATCAGCTTTTAGATTAATACGACATAAAATCGTCGGCCTTAGCATGTAAGAGCAGTAGCTACTTCCTAAAAATTCTGGCTTCCGGTTAAAAACCTATGTGTGGTTTTTCAGGCCTGGTCATCAGCAACTCTGAAGAATTTACCTGGCAGGTCTCATGAGGGAAAGCTGGCCTCCCCATACCACACTGGGTGATTAGCCGGTGGGTGCATTGCAGTCTCTCTAGAAGGAGTTGCAACAAGGACACAGTGTCCCCTGGCCAACCATACTTTTATGTATATTTGTTTTCCTAGCCCATGAACCTTTATTCCTAGGTCTCCTTATCTTAGGCCTTGACCAGAGGTCTTCTTCAGGTTCCTCTGCTGAAGAGAGAGAAACTTTGAAGATACTTTCCCCATCACTCCAACTCAATAATCAGTACTTTTCCACTCCTAACCCTACATCTCTCCCTCTTCTTAGGCCCCAAGTCCATTAAACTGCAGGAGCCTTGTGTTCCAAGTTCCCATGACAGTGAGGTGACCTCCCCTGATCTATCTGACCCTCTATGGGAGCATCATTCCCTAGCGAGAAGTGTCAGAGTAAGAATGTAACAGAGGGAATCACCACTTTCTCTAGTGTTAAACTCTTGAATATGCTCTTGCAGTAAACAATTATTAAGGTCTTCACTGTTTACTCTCATGTTGGCCTCTTGTTGCTTTAGCTGACACATGGCAGCTCAGCTCTGTCTGCAGCTCAGGTGCCTGACATCTCTGACATCTCTGGTGTTGAATACTTGGCCTTGTTATTAGGTGTGGAAATACCTCTCAATTGTTCCTGTGAGCCAACTACTCTCAGTAAAACACCTGACATCATCCACACTAAGTACAAAATGTTATGGCTAGAATTAAGATAACATCAGAGTAATTTCTTTGAGGGGTCACAACTCTTGGCCTAAAAGACCAGCTAGACAGTCCTCTTTTCATTTGAATGGCTCTCATGTATAAAGTTATATCAACTGAATTCTTCACGTTGAGCTACATTAATTTGTCATTGAAATTGTTATCTGGGTAAGAAATAAGAGAGTTAATAAGCGTCTGTAGCATTGAGAAGCTGCTGGTGAAGACATATCCTAGCTTTCTATTTTTAAATAAATTACATTCGAATAAATTTAGTAAATCTCCACTGGGTTATATATTCCCCAAGACCATGTAGAAATTCCTCCTTAATTATTTTGCAAACTACTGCTTACAACCGAAGTTTTCATAGAGAAGATATTTCATTAATATTTTCCAAAGTCAGGACTTTTTTTCACCTTTTATAAAACAGATATATTCCTTTTAATTAAACAATAAGAACTGTATAGTTTATAATGCTTTCTTTTTACCATGATTTCTCAGAAACTCAAGACTAGGATTTGTTCAGTATTGTCTATTCTTTTTAATTATATTTTTAATTTTAAACCTGGTTTTGATTTTTTGTGTCTTATTTCAACTCACTTTAAAATACTTTAGGAATTATTTTCAAAAGGTATAAAAATAAACAAATAATGAAGTAAATTACTGATGTTTAATCATCAGCCAATATATAATTGTTAATTTAAGTTAGAATCAAGTAAAATAAGTTAAAATAAATGTTAATATAAATTGTTTTAAAATAAATTAAAATCTCAAAATATTCAAAGAGTATATTAAATTACAAATTTAAACAAAGACTGTCTCTAGATAATACCAAAATAATTACAAAAAAAGAGGCAAATTAAATGGTTTTATGAACTGCAGATTTTTATTAAGTTTGAATGGCATGTCTGCAATTGACCTCAGAGAAATGTAGGTGATCTTGAATAAGTGCAAAATAAGATACCAGTAAGCATTTATTTTTTGCACTTTTTAATACATCTCTCTCTCTCTCGTCAGCAGAATCCAAATCTCCTGAGTGAGAATTAGAATGTTAGAACAGTAATGCAAAGAAACGTATAGGTGAGTTTCAGTATTAGGCTCCCCAATGAGTGTTTGCTATTCAAAACAGTAGGCTCTGAGAAAAGCTGAATTTATAGTCTACTTTATAGCTATGGATTGGAAAGAGCATAGAAAGTGGTCAAAGTACCCAGGCAGGATTCCTGGATCCTAGAGGAAGGTAACCTGGGTTAGAGTTGTAAGGAAGGAAAAGGAAGCATTTTCTTGGGATTAGAAGTGGGAAGAGTGTGGAGAAAAGGGAAACTGGCTCTACAAGTGCCAGTCTGAGGAGTTCATAAGCCCAATAGAGACTGCAGAACATTCATCCAGGAAGATGGGTTAGAATGTGAAAACCAACTCCTCGTTTTCCAATGAGCCTATCAATATGTTTTACTGAGGTGCTGAATTAGCTGTTTTTAGCAAAAGCTGGCTGGTCATCTTGCTTTGGTGGTCTAACTTAAGGGTATGTATTTGTGCCCCGAGATTTTAATGAATCTTCTAATTGCCCTGAATTTCCACCCTCCTACTTCCATACTATGAGCTAGGACTCGTAAGTTCCCAGAAAAAGAGGATGGAGTCTTTGGGTCATTGAGAAGGTTTAATACAGAAGAAAACACCAGGTTATTGTACTTAGGAATGACTTGGACATCATAAAACTCATTTCCTTTGTGCACAAAGTTTAACCTTTTCAATGTATTTTCTCATTTGTAAAACTGAGATAATAATGCCAACTTGAAAGATTATTGTGAGAGTTTCAGTTATGTAAATCACATTACACTATGCCTGGAACATGATAAACATTCAATTAATTATAGCTAATAATTATTTTTGCTTAATAGAATGGAATTTCTCATACAGCTTTACCATTTCCTTTTGGCATAATGATTATATTTTTAATTTTAAAATTATTCATTCTTTAAAAATGGTAATCTCAACTATTCTATATTTGTATGTTTTATGTCTGTGTCTTCAAATATTAGCTATTATTTTTCATTTGTGTATTCAATCACTCAACAATTATGTATTGAGCACCTACTATGCAACTGAAACTCAGTTAACAGAAAATAAAAGAGGCAGAAATTCTGCTCTCTGGAGCTTGGATTCATAATAATATTATTATCATTAAGGGCCAGCTATGTGTTAGCTACCACATTATACATCTTGCACATAGAATCTTATCAAATAAATAACAATGTTTGTGATAAAGTAGAATATATCAATGGAAGGAAATAATTTCATTTATCAACATAACTACCTGATAAGGAGCCAAGTAACCAATATAATTCTTAGTTCTAGTGTAAACCACCATTAAACTACTTTTGATATGGAATAAATGATGATAAAAAATTAGTGCAGATTCTGAAGTTGAGTATGCTAATATAGTATCTCCTTTGTGTGCCTGTAATGTTACTGAGTCAAGATGAGAATGGCTTACAATATGAATTGCCTCTTTCAGTGGTGGTAGTAGTATTTGCACCAAGCCAACACTCTTGGTGACTCCCTGTTAACAATCATTAGGGTATATTTTAAGGACAGTGTCAACAGTGCAGAGAGTGACCAGAAAATGATCGTGGTTTCATGCAAAGACCAAACCTGAAACTTCTTATATTTAAGTATCGTGTTCTAACCAACGTAACTGATAATCATACATAAATTAGAGATTTTAATTCCTAGATATGTTCAGCATGCAATGAACATTCATTTTTCTTTCAAAAATGATTTGAAGTTTCCAACAACTAGACAAGTGTAGTGCTAGATGAAAAGCCAGAAGAAAATTTAAAGACAGTTGGGAACACAAAGGATCCTTTTATCTTAGTGCTGTTGCCCTTGCCATTCCCTCTCCCTGGAATGACAGAAACTCGTGTAGTTTCTTCCTCCAATTATTTCTGGTCTTTGTTGGAAAAGGGCACACTTTTGCAGTTAATAATGTAAAAAAGGCTACATTGACATGGTTAAATTCCCAGGACCTTCAGTTCTTTAAGGATGGACTAAATGGCGGGTATCATCACTTACAAAATTGTCTTGATTTTGATGGAGCTTATGTTGAGAAATAAAGTCTGTATTTTTATTTTACTTTTAATTCCATTTTTCTGTAAACCTTGTGAAGCTCCCTCATATTGCTCATACTTATTTAACTCCTCACCCATTCCCCTGACCATTACATTTGGTTTTAACTGCCTACTAAACTTGCTTTAAGGCAAATCATTGGTCAGTTCAAAGTTCACCAACCTAATGGGAATATATAGCATGTTTTTTTCGTCTCTCTAGTGTTTGAAGCAGCATTTTTTGAGAAGTCTGTTAGTTTTGATTTCCCCATCTTGTTCTTTCTTGATATTCCTTCTACTGTCTTCCTTTGGCAATATATATTTAGGTGTGGTATCCAGAACTCCTTCCTTGACCAAATTCCCTCAATAAACACACTGTCAGTGATTTTGTTCCCTGTCATAACATTCTCTATTATTATCTGTGACTATCACATTGCCTATGTCAGAGTCTGCCAACAGCCTCCCCTTTAGGGTCCGATAATTTGTTTGGGGGTGGAGTACTGACCTGTGTATCATCATCTACCCACTGGATCTCAGTAACAAACCCATCACACTATTAGATTGTGACTTATAAAAATGTCTCCAGAGATTGCCAATACTCCCCAGGGTGCAAAATTGCTCCTGGTTGAGAACCACTGGCCAAGAAAATGGCAAGAAACATTCAAACTTGAATTTAACCCAAGCTGATTTCCTTGTTCACAGCCTTGCCCACTTGCAATATATAACCCTCCATGCTGTCACAGTAGTCCTTACAAAACACAAATACAACCACGCCATTCTCCTTCTATAGTGGTTTCCCATTTGGCTGCATAATGAAACAACCCAACAACCCAGAGAACTCATATCAGATAAAAATCCTTACACTCCAATTCCCAAATATTTTGATTTAACAATATTATTTTGCAACAGTTTGACTGTGTTCCTGAATTATCCTCCTTTGGCTTTTCTCTCTGGAAAATGCAACTCTCAACTCATATATCACCAACCCCAGTAATTCTTTTCCATACCACCACACACTCCAACCCCACTCTGTCCCACCCAATGAACCCTAGATAATATTAGGCCATATTAATATTAGGCATGATTAAATGATTTTTTCATTTAGTTCACATCTTATTAGATAGATGATAGATACATATCCTATAGATATCCTATATATATACATAGATATATAGATGTCTTATATATAGAGAGAGACATATATACAGTTATCCTATCTCAGTCCCTAAACATTTTTAATACATAGGAAATGCTTTAATTTTTATAGTTTTGCTTTCTAATACAGATTATTATACATAATGGATATTCAACTGCTAGTTGATTTTTTTATTTCCAATAAATAATGCTTACTGTCATGTCCATTTCCTTTGGCAAAAGTGTGCTCCTATGAAATTTTAAACCTTCCAGCTTTCTGTGGCAGACCAAGCAGAAGTATGACTTTTTTTTTTCTCACAATGCCACCTTTGAATAATAGTAAACAAGTTCTAAACAGAATAGCTTCATATCAAAGAGCAAACATGCTGACTGACGTTGGGAAGGACTAGGAGCAGGCTGGTAACAGTTAAAAATGCATTTGACCAGTTATAGAGCAAACCAAGTTAACAGTAGCTTAATCAAATATGGATTTGCTTTTCTTTCTTAATAAGAGTGAAGGTAGGCAGTTGATGGTTACTGTGGTTGCTCAACAAACAATGACTTCAGAGTCTCAGCTCCTTTTTTGCTCTGCCATCCTCAGAATTTTTGCTTTAATTTTCATGGTTCTAAAATGGTTTCTGTTTCTTTGAATTTAATTTCCCTTTAGGGAAGGAAGAAAGGAAGGGAGGGAGGGAGGAAGGGAGAGAGGAAGGGATAATGAGTTACCTGAATCTGTTCCATTTTATCAATAAAGTACAACCTTTCCCAGAAGTTCCACTCTCAGACTCCTGCCTTCCTCATAATGGGCAGAGCTCTGTTATCTATCCAACCTCAGTTGCCAAGGGCATAGCGGGGAAGGATTTCTGGTTGCATCCTGTGTGAGGTCTAGAAATGCATTTCTAACATATGAAAAGCCCCTAGGAGGATATTGAGAGATAGCACTTCGTGGATATTTGTCAACATTCAAAACCAGTTCAGAAGTTTATAGTGAATATAAGAGCTGATTTATCCAATATTGCTTCCCAATGACTCCAAACAGAGATTACAAAACAAAGAATAGAAGTGGGTAATACGACCAAAAACAGGAAGGTTATCTGAAGAAATGCCTGTGAAGAAATTTCCCAGTAAGGACCACTCCTCTACACACTGCTCTCGAAAACTCAGTTGTTGAGAGTGATTGGAAACCTGGCATACATACAGAGCAAAAAACAGATGGTGCTTTTCTAAAAAAGTATGACGATCTGCCTGGGAATAGTTGAGGTTTTTAGTGTTGATGTTGGCGTGCAAGAATATCATCCTCTACATACCGGCATTTAGTGAGAGAGGTCCTAGCCTACTTTCTACACACATACTAAAGACAAGTTTACTGGTTCCCAGCGTGTGATCCTTTTATGGAAGATAATTAGGATATGAAGCTAAAATTCACAACAGAAGAGGATATCCATATCAGTTACTTATGTTAATTGACTCAGTTCTTTATTTTAAAACATGAATGGCTAAATAAGGATCACTAGACATTTTAGGAGCATTAAGAATACAAAAGAAATGGTCTAACATGAATAAACAGAAAAATTTGAAAAGAAAAAAATTAATTATTTGTGGATCAAACAAAACATGTAAGAATCCTGAGCATCACCTGAAAGAAATTAAAATAAGATAAACAAAAATAAGCAAATAGTAAGGTTTTTTTTTTATAAAAAGGGCTGTCAGTAAATATAAGCAATCAGAAAACAAGGAAAAATCGTGTGATTGGATGGAAATAAAATATTCTGAGGGAATCCTAAAGGTTAAATTGAAGAAAATCCAGAATATGCACTCATCAAAAAGAAACAGAGGCCAAGCCCGGCAGTGGCTCATGCCTATAATCCCAACACTTTGGAAAGCTGAGACAGGAATATCACTTGAGGCCAGGATCTTGAGACCAGCCTGGGCAGCATAGTGAGACCCCTGTCTCTAAACAATTAGCCAGGCATGGGGGCATGCACCGGTAGTCCTAGCTATTTGGGAGGCTGAGGTGGGAGGATTACTTGAGGCTAGGAGTTCAAGGCTGCAGTGAGCTATGGTTGTGCTCTTGCACTCCAGCCTGGGCAACAGAATAAGACCCTGTCTCTTAAACACACATACACACACACACACACACACACACAGAAAGAGAGAGAGAGAGAAATCGAAAATATGACAGCAAAATAAACAAAACACATCAATCCAGGAAGCTTGATATTTAACTAATAGAAAAGAGAGAAAAGAAAAGAGAGAGAAAAGAAAAATGGGAAAAAATAAATTATCTATAAAATCTAAAATTTCCCAATTTCAAAATAATATTAAAATTATTCTACATTTTATTATAAATTTAAATATAAATTTTAGAATACTTAGGATAAGTAAAAAATAATTCTAGGTGGGGAAAATTCTTCCAACAGCTAAAGAAAGAACAGTAATTTCCTCCCACAAAAGTTTACCACAGAGAAATGAGATTTCACTGGGATGATCTTCCCACCATGAGTGATTGCAATAAGCCCTTTAAAATTCGGAGGAAACCTAAGTTTCTTGTTTCAAAAGCCATTATTCTATGCTCTGCTTTATGATGTTGGGACAAGGACTTGCAAATCATATTCCTCCCTTGCCACCTGGATTCTTTGTTAATCTCTCACAATACAGGATGCTAGAGGGAGACTCACCTGCCAAAAACAAACACACAAACACACACGCAAATATATAACAAAGGGTACTGCTTTTTCCTGTTTGATTAATGTTCCTAGCTACATATCCCCAACTGTGCTTTTTCTGCCCATAGCACAGCTTTTTGTTTGCATTTTTTTCCACCACTTCCAGACCCAGTCTATTGCATCCCTTCGTACACGCGCTTACTCACAGGCTGGACCTCTCTTAAGTTCCTGAGGTCTGGGATTAACCCTATGAGGCTCCTTCTCAGAGTTCCTGAGCTGCCAGTTGAGCATCCTTTGCTACCTCAGAGCCCTAGAGATGATATCTCCTTACTGATGTTACTACTTCTATCATCTCTCTTTTTTTTATTTGCCTTTTCAGTAATGCATAATTTTTTGACATTATTTTATTTTTTGAATAGCTGATGTGATTTTCTTCTTCTTTTTGGACCCTCCCTAACACAGCCCCCACCCCAATTTTAAAGTATGAAGGCAAATTGTTAAAATTTCAAGTAAGCAAAGCTCTGAAAATTGTACTTCCCATGTGATTTTTTTTTTTTTGAAAACATAAAAGGGTGGGAGAAGTGGTCCAGAAAATTCAAGGAAAAAAAAACAAAAAACAAAAAACTATGGGATTTAAGAAACAGTGAAGTTAATCCAGGAATGCAAAAAAAAATCAAGATATAGCTGTACAGTAAGCAGAATTAATAATATCTATAGATTTAAGCAGGAAGTTGGAAGATTCTTGAAAGCAGCTCTTCAAGAAAAAAGTGGATTACAGGTGATAAATATGATTAAGACGTTAATAATCTTAGTGTAATAGTGAAAGCATAAGCTAAAATGTGGCAATAAAACTCCTTGGGAAATAAATGAAGAGAATAAGAATCTATACAAATAAACCATGGTTCAAATGGGTAGCAAATTAATAAATAGCATGATTTTGAAACATTTATGAAAATATAAAAAAACACATAATTTATTTGGATTGTTATCTCAAACTTATTTGGAAGAATGGTTAACTAGGTTTGATTATATATCCCTTTCTTTAGGACTGTTATCACTAAGTACTTTGTTCTGAAATGAACATTATTCATGCACTTTTAATAAGATAAGTTTTTTCCCCAATTTTGAGATTAACCTAGAGTAGAAAACTTTATAAGAAAGTACTTGATTGAACCCCAAATTATTATTACATAATGGAATACAAATCAAATAATCATTGTAATTTCTATTATTTAAAAAAATCTTTTCAGTGTTATACAATCTTAAAGTCGTGTAAATTAAGTGATAGACAATCACGAAATGTCTGAGTCATTTCCAAGTAAGTTAAAATACTGAAACATATTCTACAGAAGTTTAAGTTTATATATCTGGGCTTGTTAGTAAATATGTACTGTTCCACACTGAAAAATTGTTTTACATAAAGTCTAAAAATTAGAATTATTTGCTTCCTCAGTTTTACTAGAAATTAAGGCTACTATGAGCGAAAATTTTAACTAATCTATGTCAGCGGTCCCCAACCTTTTTGGCACCAGGGACTGGTTTTGTGGAAGACAATTTTTCCACAGACCGGGGCAGTGGAGATGATTCAAGTGGGTTATATTTATTGTGCACTTTATTTCTATTATGACATTGTAATATATAATGAAATAATGATACGACTCACCATAATGCAGAATCAGTGGGAGTCCTGACCTTGTTTTCCTGCAACTAAACAGTCTCACGATGATGGGAGACAGTGATACGTCATCAGGCATGATCTTCTCTCAAGAAGCCTGCAACCTGGAATCTTCTCACAAGGAGTGTGCAACCTAGATTCTTCTCACAAGGAGAGTGCAAGCTAAATTCTTCGCATGTGCAGTTCACGATAGGTTTCATGCTCCCATGAGAATCTAATGCTGATGCTAATCTGACTGGAGGCAGAGCTCAGGGAAGGATGAGAGTGAAGGGGAGTGGCTGTAAGTACAGATGAAGCTTTGCTCCCTTGCGGGCTACTCACCTCCTGCTCTGCGTCCCACCCAGATCCTAACAGGCCATGGTACCAGTCTGTGGCCCAGGGTTTGAAGACCCCAGATCTATATAATTAAAACTACTGTATGTAAGAAACAGTTCTGTATACAGAGTGTATGAGAAAAGTAAAATGTTATACGGTATGAGGATGTGGTTTTTGTTAAATAACAGTAATTTTGTTTAGGTTAAAGAGTATCTAAAAGTTATTCCAAAATAAAAAAAAGATACAATGGTATAGATAAAATTAGATTATTATAAGCAGTAGGGGGAAAAAGAATTAAAAAATTTAAGAGACTATAAAAGGTTGATGAAAATCTTATCGTGTGTAGTCAAAGTTGACTGAGATTGACAGATTTGTTTACAAGGTTTTATTAAAATTAACTTTATGGCCGGGAGCAGTGGCTCACGCCTGTAATTCCAGCACTTTGGGAGGCTGAGGTGGGCGGATCACGAGGTCAGGAGATCCAGACCATCCTGTCCAACATGGTGAAACCCCATCTTTACACAAATACAAAAAATTAGTCAGGCGTGGTGGTGGGCGCCTGTAGTCCCAGCTACTCGGGAGGCTGAGGCAGGAGAATCGTTTGAACCTGGGAGGTGGAGATTGCAGTGAGCTGAGATCATGCCACTGCACTGTAGCGTGGTGACAGAGCAAGACTCCGTCTCAAAAAAAAAAAAAAAAAGAAAAGAAAAAAAATTAGCTTTAGCCTTAATAGTAAACTGATATAAAACTAAAATTTGATTTTTTCTTCAAGACAAAATTTTAATATTATAAAAGTAAAAAGTGTTGTAAACTTCACAAAAAGGTAGGGGTAGAAAAAGAGAAAGATTCTGTGTGTCTCTTGCTGTTTTTATTAGATCTTTTGATTATTTTAAAAACTGAATTTACTCTATCAAAGAGTAAAAGTTTTTGCGTTTTGAAATATTTTATTTATTATTTTGGCTAAATGAATGACTATTTTTTTATAGTGATCTGTGATTTTATTTTGATCAAATGCTCTAAACCTTTGACAGTTTTGAGAGTCTTCCCAAAATCATATTTCAAAATCAAAATTAAGTCTTTTTGACATCAACCTAACTTTAGCATGATCCAGAGGCCCCTGAAGCATGTGAAACAGAGATAAGAAACACGCTTATTTTATGTATTAAATTATATAGGAAGTGTCAAATAAGAAATGATGTTTTCTCTTCTTTGAGCTATATTTATATGAATGTTTATTAATATGTGTTCCAAATTTGTTTGAGATTCTTAAAATTTTGATATGCCTTGGTATATGTTATTAGTCGTAATTATAATTATTATATAAAATTGTGGTAAGACACCTAAAATAACCAAATTTGATTTTTAATTGCATGTTTAACCATGGCCATTTTAGGTCTTGTCCATAAGTAATTGCGTTATTGTGGTACTTTCTTTTTTTCTGAATGCTTTTTGCAAATCCTGAAGTATTTTGTCTTCAAGGAGGTTCATAGTAAGGATAGAAAAAAAAATCTGTAACAAATACAGAAATACAGGTTTTTGACAATTATGAGGTTATGTCATTAGACTGGGTCAAAATTTCCAGAACTTTAATTTTAAGAACATAGACTCATAAAATCACTAACCCAATATCAAACAAAACAATAATTAATGAAATGGAACTAAACTGATGAAGGAATGAAATTATATTTATGACTTTTTTGTTTAAAATGTTCCCGATTCTTTTCTCTGTCTCTCTCACTGTCTCTCTCTTCAGCTATCTATAGCTTTACAGAAATTTTGTAAAATATGCTTTTGTGAGCAAAATTAAAACATTTACCTTTCACTCTACCTGATCCCTCCAGAAGCAGAAACTGTTTGTGAGTATTCTTATTTCATGGAAATACGCTATTTACACAAGTTTAATAAGAGTCTCTTTTATATTATTATAAGAGGACATAATTGAAAACACTGGTTATTTTACCAAGGCTTTGACTGGAACGTCATGTTATCAGATGTGACCAGACTGCCTTTGGAAATTAAAGTTAAATTTATGGAGCCATTAAAAATCTCCTTGGGAAAAACTGGTCTGATACCTTAAATGTATGACTCACATGGTTGTCTTAGAGTTGGGTAAAGAATGTCACTTCCTGGCAGGCCCAGGAATCTGAAGATATTTTGGGGGATCTCAAGAAGAGAGGTATTCACCCAATTCATAAAGGTATTACAAAGTTTGAGAGCAAGTCAAATTCTTGGCTTGGCTTTCCAGCTTTGAGAGACTTTTAAAAGTCTAATCTGAAATTCCTGATGAACAAGTTCCAGCAAAGCCAGCTTAAAAAGACTCTATATGAACAATCACCAGTCTTGTAAGATGTATGCAAATAATTAGGCCAAGGATGAAACATTTTGCAAATAAATTTGTCTTATTAATAATTTATCTTTGGTAAAAATGGGGAAACCAGAGAGAGAAAAATTGTTTCAGAAAAAAAAGAAACTTGTAATTACTGTAGCCTTGGTACCAGCATGGTACTAGTACCAAAATAGATATATAGACCAATGGAACAGAACAGAAGCCTCAAAATTACACCACAAGTCTACAACATCTGATCTTTGACAAACCTGACACACACAAGCAATGGCAAAAGATTCCCTGTTTAATAAATGGTGTTGGGGAAAACTGGCTAGCCATAAGCAGAAAACTGAAACTGGACCCATTCGTTACACTTTATACAAAAGTTAACTCAAGATTGATTAAAGACTTAAACATGAGGCCTAAAACCATAAAAACCCTAGAAGAAAATCTAGGCAATACCATTCAGGACAGAGGCATGGGCAAGGACTTCATGACTAAAACACCAAAAGCAACTGCAACAAAAGCCAAAATTGACAAATGGGATCTAATTAAACTAAAGAGCTTCTGCACAGCAAAAGAAACTATCATCAGATTGAACAGGCAACCTACAGAATGGGAGAAAATTTTTGCAATTGATCCATCTGACAAAGGGCAATATCCAGAACCTTAAGAACTTAAAAAAATTTACAAGAAAAAAACAACCCCATCAAAAAGTGGGCAAAGTATATGAACAGACACTTCTCAAAAGAAGACATTTATGCAGCCGACAAACATATGAAAAAATGCTTATCATAACTGGTCATTAGAGAAATGTAAATCAAAACCACGATGAGACACTATCTCATGCCAGTTAGAATGGCAATCATTAAAAAGTCAGGAAACAACAGATGCTGGAGAGGATGTGGAGAAATAGGAACGCTTTTACACTGTTAGTGGGAGTGTAAATTAGTTCAACCATTGTGAAAGACAGTGTGGCAATTCCTCAAGGATCTAGAACCAGAAATACCATTTGATCCAGCAATTTTATTACTGGGTATATATCCAAAGGATTATTAATCATTCTACTATAAAGACACATGCACACGTATGTTTATTGTGGCACCGTTCACAATAGCAAAGACTTGGAACCAACCCAAATGCCCATCAGTGATAGACTGGATAATGAAAATGTGGTACATATAAATCATGGAATACTATGCAGCCATAAAAAGGATGAGTTCATATCCTTTGCAGGGACATGGATGAAGCTGGAAACCATCATTCTCAGCAAACTAACACAGGAACAGAAAACTAAACACCTCATGTTCTCGTTCATAAGTGAGAGCTGAACAATGAGAACACATGGACACAGGGCGGGGAACATTACACACTGGGGCCTTTTGGGAAATCAGGGGCTAGGGGAAGGATAGCATTAGAAGAAATACCTAATGTAGATGATGGGTTGATGGGTGCAGCAAAACCACCATGCACTTGTATACCTATGTACCAAACCTGCACTTTCTTCACATGTAACCCAGAACTTAAAGTATAATTACAAATAAATAAAGAAATAAATTAATTTTAGAATGAACCTAAGAAAAGAAACTATAGTGCACTTGTTACTAAATTCTAGCCTGATTCATTTGCTTTTGAGTTTTTTTTTCTTTTAAATTACCTAGACTTAATCCTGAATATTCAGTTTCCTCCAATATTGGGCTATGAATCTCCAAACAAACATTTTCAATTTCTCTCCCACCCTTCTGACTTGGAATTACTAAAATTAAAATGGCCTTTTTCCTAAAGCCCTGCAAACTGAAACTGGTCACCCATGTAATAAATAGACTCCAGAGAAGTCACCGTGATGGCTTGTGCATGGACCACTTCTGTGCTAGGAAAATCTGTCAGATTGCCGCTGTCTGCCCTCCTCCAACTGAAGATGCTTCAGCTCAGATAAAAAAATCTTTGCAACTGACTGCCCTCCAGACTTGAAAAACTAGTTTATAGATGACTCCAGACATTAGTCTTTTTTTTTCTGTTTCCATAGAAATGCCTCTTAATAAAGATTTGTTTGCCTGCATCATATATAGAGACCTAGCTTTGAGAACCCATCTGCACTACCATCTCCTAAGATGAGACTCAACTGTTTAATTGGACTGGTCTATTCTCAGAAATAAAACTGACTTAATTGGGTGTGGAGAAAAGTGCTTAGATGAGTTCTTTTCTATGTACTCATTCTCAGTGTAATCTATGTTCTTTTCTTCTTTTGCAGGTCTCACGCCACTTGATTACTACCCTGATTTCTCTATCCATAGCTACCAACCCTACTTTAATATGTGCAACTTTCTGAAAATAAAATTTTAAACAGGGGACTGAAGGAAACGAGACTATTTCACTCAGAAATTTGGTTAAAGAAATAGTTGCAAGGTCTCTCTGGCCTCTCCCCTACCCTGCTGTTATCTCTGAATCACCTGTCTCTCTCGAGCACAGGATTAATCTGTTCTCTCAAGTTCCCTTACTTTCCTAGAAACCAGATATGCTAAAGAGAAACAGAGTTGCCTTCTCTGAAATTTCATTAACCAGAAAAGATGAAAACTCATATTCCAGAGGAGGAGATTGAAAACTAAACCCTACACCTAGAGCCCAGACTTTGTTCCAAATCAAACTCTCTGTTCAATTTAATTTCCAAAGAAATTATTTATTAACCATTGTCTGAGCATTAAATCTATTCATTTTCCCCATAAAAAGCATTTACTATCCCTCAGACGGCCCCATTTCTCCTAACTCTTCTTCCCCTATGAAGAAGGCGTTATACACATCTGTACCACATTGAGTTACTGGGTAATCATTTTTCTGTAATTTCCTTATGCTATGCACATTAAAATTAATTTGTATGCATTTTCCTATTAATTTGCTTTTTGTCTATTCAGTTTCAGTGAACCTTCACCCCTACACATGTAATAAATATGATGAAGAGGGCTAATAATCTTAGAGTAATAGTGAAAGCATAAAGCTAAAATAATGGCAATAATATTCTTTGGGAAAAAGTAAAGATCTGTACAAGAAAACTGTGGTTCAAAATGAATAGCAAATTATTATGTAGCATGATTTTGAAAAAGTCATGAAAATAAAAACATAATTTATTTTAATTATTATCATAAACTTTTTGGAAGAATGATGGGCAATTAGGTAGGATTCAATATCTCTTTCTGTACAACCAGTAACTACTTTGTTCTGAAGTGAACATTATTCATATAGTCTTAATAAGGCAACTTTTATTTCTTCCCTACTTTTGGGATCAACCTACAGTAGGAAGCTTTATAAGAAAGTATTTGATTGAACACCAAATTATTTAACTATGTTTTAACTATGGCTAATTAACTAATAACTAATTTATAGTAGTTTTTCAGATGCTAATATATTTGCATGGTTCAGAATAAATATATATAAAAAAGATGTACGATAAAAAAACTCACTGGCCCCTAAATTTCCACTGTTTTTTTTTTTTCTGCTATTTGTAGGTAATCACTGTTTATGTTTTGAGGGGGACCTTTACAGAAAATCCTTGTAAAAAAAATCAAGTATACATTACTGCCTTTTTCCATGAGGTAATAGTATATATTTGCTTATTTTAAAAGGCAATGATATATATTTACTTATTTTCCTCATAATGGTGACATACTACATATGCTTTTCTGCACCTTGCTTTCGCTTAGCAATGTTTGTGGAACACGGAACATTATTACTATATACATTTCTATCTTGTTTCAAAATAGGCTTAGTGCTCTATTTTGTTTTTTTTGTTTTTTTTGTTTTTTTTTTTTTTGGGATGGAGTCTAACTCTGTTGCCCAGGCTGGAGTGCAGTGGCGCGACCTCGGCTCACTGCAAGCTCCGCCTCCCGGGTTCACGCCATTCTCCTGCCTCAGCCTCCCGAGTAGCTGGGACTACAGGCGCCCACCCCCACGCCCGGCTAATTTTTTTATATTTTTTAGTAGAGACGGGGTTTCACCTTGTTAGCCAGGATGGTCTCAATCTCCTGACCTCGTGAGCCGCCTGCCTCGGCCTCCCAAAGTGCCGGGATTACAGGCGTGAGCCACTGCGCCCGGCCAGTGCTCTATGTTGTATGAGTATCACAGTTTATTTCAACTTTGAGAGAGCCACCTTGGTTGTTTCTAGGCCTTTACCATTACAACTGACAACTTCAATGAATAACCTTGAATACTTTCGTCATTTCCCACAATACACGGTAGGAACTGGAAGGTAGCAGGAGACAGAAGAGGGACTCTCATGTGCACATCTTAAATTATGGACAGGATGTCAAGCAATATTGGTATATTCCATATGAAGAATGTTCATTTTATTAATATTTAAGAAGTAAAATTTCCGAATATTTTTAGTTAAATAAATACCCATAATCTGTCAAAATTTTGTTAAGTAAATAGGAAAGGGAAATAGGTATACTATACATGGTACTAGAACAGTATGAGAAAATTTGTTCTTGCTATTTTTTATAATAAGAAGTCAATAAGAATGCCAACTTGATAAATCACTCACTAGACAGAAATAAATGCATATTATTTGAAATAATGGAGGTCAAAAACAGCAGAGCTGAAAATATGAAAGTGGCCAATCACAGTTACTTCTGTGGGTTACTATTGAGGTATAAATCATGACTCGCCAGTTAATCTCAACTCTGTGTGCATGTGTTTATAGGTATCTTATTTTAGAACAGTTAGGAATAAAGTTTATAGGAATAAACTTTAGGAATAAAGTTTATAACAATAAAATAATTAAAACTGCTTTAAAATCAAGTTTAAAGTCAAAATAATTATATATATACAACAAAAATAGCTTGCACAGAAATAAAATTGACATTATAAGTGATTATTCTTAAAAATAGTTATTTTTGATCATAGAGGAAGTTAGTGAAATAACTAGAAAACTAATGCTTCAGACACGATGTTTCCCTTAACATGCTAAATATGAATATATTGCAAATAGATCTTCATGTATAATTATATTACTCATTTAAAAATCATAGTATTAATTTTCTACAGTTTAATTACAGCTAATGTGTACACCTAATCATAAAGGTTAATAAATTATTATCTCTACTATTTGACCTTACTAAATCCCTCAGGACAATTCTTTCAGGAAATAATGCCAGCCGAGAGAATATTAATGCTTTTTTCTATCAGAACTGATAGAATTTTGGTTGATATAAACAAAGACAAACTCTCTATGGTGGTGTAATAATCTGAGTTTGGGAACAAAGGCTACAGTGTTTGCAAAGTACCCATTAAATTGATCTAAAAGTATTTGTTAAGGATTACAGAGTGCAAAGCACTAATCTAGATATTTGAGTGTGATGTCAGGTAGAGAAGTCATGAAATGAAAAGTATGATAAAGCACAAAATTAAAAAATTATAAAGCTGTGTGTGCCTCTAGAAGATGCTTTAGACTACTTCCTGGAAGAAATTAAACTTTATATAGAAAGACAATATTATTTTTATATTTAGAACATTTAATGTTATACAAACATTTACAAAATATATTTAGATTTTTAAATACATTTATATTTTAAAATAATTTAAATATATAATTAAGATGATTTTCTTGCCATGCAAATTAAAATACGTTATTTAAAATATTAATATGCTTCTGCCTTAAACCAGTAGCTATTCATGCTTAATGTATAATTTTGTTAATGTTCTTTCATTTTCATATGAAATATATATACATATTTTTGAGAGAGGCTTTCTCCATGTTGCCCAAGCTGGTCTCAAACTCCTGGGCTCCAGTGATCCTCCCGCCTTGGCCTCCGAAAGTGCTAGGATTACAGGCATGAACCACCATGCCTGTAATGTATTTCATATTTTTAATCACATAATGGAAACGTATGATTCCTACATGAATTCCCAGCCATTTTCATTGCTCCAGAATGTTGTGGTGTTATCAGGTTGCCTCTTTATTTTTCCCCTTCCTTAAAAAGTAACCAATTTATACATTTCTTAGTATTTTATATCTGTCTTTCCAAACTTATGTTCAGGGAACTTCAACAAAATATGGGTATTTTGAATAACTAAATGTACTAAAATTAGGTATTCCTATGATTTGTACTTAATCACCTTTGCTGTTATCATTGATTACTATATATTTAGATTTTTTCCTATAGCTATTTATATGTATTATTTTTTGCTTACAATATATTCTATTATAATTTTCTAATAGAAATACCTTAATCTTGTTTAGGGACACCCTCTTGTGCTTCACATCTTTAAGAAACTCAGTTCTCCCTGATATCTTGTTGAAATTTAAATGACTGATTTTCAAATTGCTGATTGAATTTTCAGGAAGTACTTTAGTAAATAATTTTACGTGACAACATCATATACTATCCTGACAGTGCTTCCTGGCTGTGTCTATTCTCCTTCTTATGCTCATATTTTAGTAAATGTAAATTTTATGTGATAATCATCACCTGTATATGACTCATTATACTGATGAAATATTAGGAATCAGATGAAGAAATGCAACATACGATAGGCCAAATTGCCTGATCCCAGTTTAATACATTCAGTGGGCTATTTAAAAAAATGACATTTCTAGACACATCTTGGGCTAAACTGCATAAATAAAAAATAAAGACAAAAACAAAGAACAAATCCTTTGATTATAAATTCACCCACAGTTAAAATGATGCAGACCTCTTCCGTCAAGAGCAGTTTGTGATCACACCATTGCACTGTACAAATATTAATGTTTTGTCTTGCACTGTAATACCTTTGCAGACCTGCTGTTGTAATATAGGTTTGTTTTATGGCATAACATTTAGTTGGTCATAATATGGTCATCGTTTTCTTGTTCCAGTTATGTTGCTCAGCTCCTATCTAGGAGGAAAAAGAAATTGCAAAATTTAAAAATTCTTCGTTTCACCACAAATTTCCCTCTTACCAGCATTCTTGGTGTTTTCTATATTCACTTCTTCATTTTCTCATACTCCATTTTATCACAACCTACTGCAAACCTAGTTCACTCACATATATTTTACCAATCTTCTTTATTAGAAGTCAATTTCAATGTCATCAATCACCTCTCATTAGACAAACTCCCAGGTTTGTATTCAGTTTCCATTTTGTTTAATTTTTTCACAGCCTTTGTCATAGAAAACAACTCTGTGATCTACTTCAAACTTCCTCTTGTTTCCTATGACATCAATCTCTGCAGGTGTTCCTTCTGCCTTGTGTATACTTCCTGACTTATTTTGAATCCTATTCTCCAGCCACTGCTTAAATAATGGAGTTCCATGGGTTCTTACAGATAGCTTAACACGCTTACTCCTCATTCCTCTTGAGAGTATATCTATTCCCACAGCTTTGTTTTTCATGAAATAGCAAATGAACTCATACAGTACATGAGGCATTGTTATGGTCATTAGAACTAGAACAGTTATAAGATTAGTCAGTAATTTCTGCCCTAATGTAGCTTATGCTGTAATGGAGAGAGACACGTAAAAAAACAAGCGAATAGACAAAATCTCTAATACATTACATGATATGTGGCATAGAGGATGAAAAAGGAGAAAAGGGATAAGGAATGTCATGAGGTTGGGGAGAAGGGACTAAAGTTTGCTATATTGAGTAATATTATTTAACAAGGTGTCACTGATAAGATGACCTTTGAGCAGAAAGAGATAAGGGTGGGAGCTACGGAAATATCTAAGGGAATTCTATTTCTGGTAGAAAATACAGTTAATGCAAAGGCCCTGGGCCAAGAACATTCTTGAGTATGATATTGTGTTTGAGGAACAGCAAGGAGAACAATTAATCTTGAGCTAAATCAGCAATCCTTGAGGACCTAGGATGTCATTGTAAAAACTTTAGCATTTAAGTGAGCTAGGATATCACTAGCTCATGTTTAAATGGAGTGTTTTGTGCATGGAAATGACAGGATCTAATATGTATAAAAAGGATCAGTCTCTTGAGAACTGTCTTGAAGTGGGGCAAAGACAGATTAGAAATACAACTTAGGGAGATTTTACAATTACAATTCAGATAAAGCAAGAGAAAGTCTTAGACAAGATAGTTTTCTGTGGAAGTGATGAAAAAACTTATTTTGAAAACATTTTTAAGACAGAACCAACAGGATTTACTCACAAAGTGTTGTGAAGCATGAGATTAAGAGGTGAGTTAAAGATAACACTAAAGTTTTTGTCCTGAGGACTTGGGAAAATGAAACTACTATGAGCTGAGAGGAAGAAGATTCCAGAAGGATCAAGCTTTTGGGAAATATTTTAGTGATAAACATTAACTTATAACACCAAAAAAGAAGTACAAACAATGAAGAGGAGATTAAGGGTCTCAAAAAGAATTCAGCCAATAAAATAAACCCCTCTCCCTCCACTTCCAATAAAACTTTTTAAAGCACCACCAATGCTCATAGATGTCTCCTTTCTCATTTTTCATTCCATCCTCAACCCAACCTAGTCCAGGTTCATTGAGCTTCACGACTCTGCTGACGTGATTCTTGCTAAAATCTCATGTGACCGCCATTAAAGTAAAATATTTTCTGTGTTCTCCTATTTAACATCTTATCAAAATTCCAGAATGATAACTGGTCCCTGGTTCTTATACCATTTTTTCATTGTCTTCTCTGCCACAATCTTTCTTGCTTTTCTTCTCCCGTTTACTTTCAATGTTCATTGTCTTTCTCCTTGGCAGGTACATTCTCCCCTATACAGTTATTTAAGCTCAAATCTTAGCCCCTTTTCTATCCCTTTGCTCTCTCCCTTGGTAATCTCATCTATAACTGCAGGTGCAATTGCCACCTCACATATTTCATTTTGTGCCCAATCATGTCCTCTGTGATTCAATTGCCTACTTGATTTTCCCTTTTGGATTTCTGAAAGGCATCTCAAATTCAATCTGTTTTGAAGTACATTTGTTTCCCTCCCTAAAACCTAGGCTTCTGTTATTCATTTGTACAACAGAATTTGGTATTTTTGTTTTTAAATTTCTCCAAGTTACTTTCCTTTCATTCCTTCCCCATAGCTAATATTTCATGAACATGATGGCTCTACTTAGAAAATATTACTTGACTTGGCCAGGTGCAGTGCCTGTAATCTCAGTACTTTGGGAGGCCGAGGCAGCTGGATCATTTGAGGTCAGGAATTTGAAACCAGCCTGGATAGCATGGTGAAACCCCATCTTTACTAAAAATACGAAAATTAGCGGGGCAATTTGATGGGTGCCTGTAATCCCAGCTACTCAGGAGGCTGAGGCGGGAGAATAGCTTGAGCCTGGGAGGCAGAGATTGCAGTGAGCAGAGATTGAGCCATTGCACTCTAGCCTCAGTGACAGAGCGAGACTCTGTCTCAATTTAAAAAAAAAAAAAGGAATAAATAAATAAAGAAAAAAGAAAACATTATTTGACTCTCTCCACTTCTCTCCATTATCCACCACCTCGTCTAAGCTACCATTATCTCCTGCCAGGGTTCCTGTAGTATGGCTGTTGTATATGCATCAGCACTACCTTCTCCCACATTCATCTTGTGTTCCACTTCCTGCTCCAAGCATTTTAGCAACACCTTTATCACAGAGATTGTCAATTTTTTTAAAATTTGTTATTATTTTTGAAACGGAGTCTTGCTCTGTCACCAGGCTGGAGTGCAGTGGTGCAATCTCGGCTCACTGCAACCTCTGCCTCCCAGGTTCAAGTGATTATCCTGCCTCAGTCTCCTGAGTAGGTGGGATTACAGGCATGCGCTACCACGCCCAGCTAATTTTTGTATTTTTAGTAGAGACGGGGTTTCACCATGTTGGCCAGGATGATCTCGATCTCTTGACCTCATGATTCGCCTGCCTTGGCCTCCCAAAGTGCTGGGATTCTAGGCGTGAGCCACCATGCCCACCCAGGTTGTCAACTTGCAGACTCAGCCTTAATAGGTTTGTAGTTCTTTACTAATGTCACACTTATTCCAGTTATTTTGGAAGTAGCACAAACAAATGCCAGATGCAGCTTCCTGTTTCTCAGTTTCTCATGAATACAGATTGAAGATAAGCATTAAGGTTCACTCTCCATTATATGCCCTTTTGAGGGCTCGGTTCTAGCTTTTGCCTTTGATGTCTATATATCTATTTTTTCTCAAGTAACTGTTGCCTCTATATATTCATGCACTTGGGTGCTATATGTTATTTAAACATAGTACATTCAAAATGTACTCCAGGTGATTGTTTTAAATAGGTTATGAGAAATGGATTACAAATAATGGCTGCCATATGAAGGGGTTTCATAGCAGTGATCCCATCAGTAAATGTTTAAGAGAGGCAACACTGGGTATGCTATTGACATGTAGAAGTATTGATGCCAGATGAAGAGTGTGCAACAAGAAATGTAAATTTATATACTACAATATAAAATATAAATTTAAAAAATTAAATATAAATTTATATACCACAATTTATATACTATATTTTATTGGAATATTTCATGCACTATAAAAACTGCCCTTTTAGAGTGACTTATATTAATGACTCTGAATAAATCAGTGAAACACAGTAGAAAATTCAAAATCAGACCCAAACTGTATGACCTATGCATTGATATACGATATACAACATATATTTATATATAATTGTGTATTAATATTTAAATATTTTGTATACACACATATATAGGTCTATTTATAAATTTTATTGCACTTTATTTGTGGGAATTATTTCTAAAATAGTCATATAATTTATATACATGTACCTGCTAACACATACATATATATGTAAACCTGGTAATCAAAAATGTGACATTTCAGGTCAGGCACAGTGGCTTATGCCTGTAATTGCAGCACTTTGGGAAATGAGGTGGGAGAATTGTTGTGGACCCGGGAAATATACAGACACCTCGTCTCAACAAAAAAATTTTAAAAATTAGCTAAATGTGGTACCATGTGCCTGTAGTTCTAACTACTCAGGAGGCTGAGGTGGGAGGATTACTTGAGCCCAGGAGTTTAAAACTGCAGTGAGTTATGATCTTGCCACTACACTCAAGCAAGAGCAACAAAGCGAGAGCTTGTCTCTAAGAAAAAATTTTAAATAAGAAATAAATAAGTAAATAAGTAAATGTGGCACTTCAAAGCTGTGGAAGGGAAACTTAATTTGAGAAATTATGTTAGCACTGTTGGTGAGCTATTGGGGAAAAAGTCATGCCTAAAAGGAAAGTGCTATAGATATTTTATGGTAAAACATGTAAAAATCACACATAAAATATAAGTCTATAATCTATATTAGACAGCAAAGATGTTTCTAAGTATGACACTAGGATTAGAAATCATGAAGGAAAAAGGCTAGATTTAACCACATAAACATTGTTTCCATAAGAAAACTAGTATCAATCAAATTTTTTTTAAAAAGTTAAAGAGAACAAAATTTTGTAAAAAAAAAAGTGTTGTGTTCATGATAGACAGTAGGTAAATATCTCTTATACTAAAAGTTATCACAATTAAGAGAATTAGTAATTATTTCAGTAGAAAAATAAGAAATTCATTTAATTCAATTCCAAATACACAGAAGAACTTGAGTAGAAAAGCCATTATTCAAATCAAAAGAGGCACTACTGAGCAAAGGAAAATGAAAACAATAAAGAGCTACCAAGATTTAACTTATTACAGTGGCAAAATTTTAGTTATCATGATAATATTTATCGCAAAATTGTGGTAAGAGTGTAAACTGGTACAGCATTTCTGGAGATAAAATTGAGTACTATGTGGAACCATTTTAAATGTAAGTATTTATGATTTATCAATAAATCAAAATTACAGAAAGAGAACTAAGAAAATAGTCAATTAATCAAAGATATACATAAAGGCATTATATATAATAGTAAAGTATCTAAAATAACCTACAAAATCAATAATACAGGCTTGGTTAAATAAGTATGAAATGCCACACCAGGAAATACTGTAAAACTAATAAAATGATTATCCAAATCTACATTATCTATAATATATTTTACACACAAATACATATACATTTTGCTGATCTAATGACAAAAAAAACCTATGACATATTGTTCAGTGAAAAAAGTGAGGATAAACTTTACTACCAGCAGAATCTTATTTTCGATAGGTATATAATCAGACATAGATGGTGATATAGTTAGTGATATAGATATGGACTTTGATATGGATAAAAACATAAATATAGATACATATTTGAGTATGTATGGCTATATATTTGCATGCATACATGTGTGCATAAACATACATTTGCAGATGAGAACTCTCAAAACCAGCAATAATACTGTTGAAACAGTAATATGATCATGTATGCCTTATTATGATAAATGAATTTGAGGAAGGCATCTTTTCAATAAATGTGTGATTAAATAAAACCTCATTTGTTTTATAAAGTTTTTTAAAATTTAGATTTCTATATCAAAACATTCTAAAGATTCAATCTAAAATGCACTCAAAATTGGAAATGTTTATTTCAGTTCCCTATAAAAAAGATACGAATACACCCTTTTCCCTCAAAGACAAGAAAGTGACCATGAATCAACATTGACTATATTAGTTTACTATTCCAAGACAGCGCCATATTAAAATACTAGTTCTACATATCAGGCTTTTCAAGTTTACTCTAATCAACTTGAAGCAGCCTCTTAATTTTAACTTCCCTTTCAGTATCTAAGATATATCCATGTATATCATTCATACCTAATAATGGCTGGTTGAATTTAGTTTACTAGCTACCAACATACATATCAATAAATAAAATTCTAGCTGTATTAGTCCATTTTCACACTGCTGTTAAATAGTACCTGAGACTGTGTAATTTATGAAAAAAGGTTTAATTGACTCACAGTTCCACAGGCTTAACAGCATGACAGGGAGGCCTCACGAAACTTACAATCATAGCAGAAGGGGAAGGAGAAGCAAGCACCTTCCACACATGGTGACAGGAGAGAGAGTGAGCAAAGGGGGATGTGCCGTACACTTTTAAGCCATCACATATCATAAGAACTCACTATCACGAGAATAGCAAGGTGGAAATCTGCCCCCATGTTCCAATCACTTCCACATTTCCCCTCTGCACTGCCCTAGTAGAGGTTCTCCATGAGGGCTCCACTCTTGAAGCAGACTACTGCCTGGACATCCAGGCATTTCCTTACATCCTCTGAAATCTAGGTGGAGGTTCTCAAACCTCAACTCTGGCCTTTTGTGCACCCACAGACCCAACACCACATGGAAGCCACCAAGGCTTGGGGCTTGCACTCTCTGAAGCCATGGCCCAAGCTGTACCTTGGTCCCTTTTAGTCATGGGAGCTAAAGCAACTGAGATGCAGGGCGCCCTGTTCTGAGGTTGCACAGAGCCCCTGAGCCCTGGGCCTGGCCCATAACACCATTTTTTTCCTCCTAGGTCTCCAGGCCTGTGATGGGAGGGGCTGCCATAAAGGTCTCTGAAATGCCCTAGAGAGATTTTCCCCTTTCTCTTGGCTATTAACATTTGACTCCTCTTTACTTATGCAAATTTCTACAGCAGACTTGAATTTCTCCCTAGAAAATAGGTTTTTCTTTTCTACCATATGGCTAGGTTCAATTTTTCCAAACTTTTATGCTGTTTCCCTTTTAAATATAAGTTCCAGTTTCAAATAATCTCTTTGTTCACACATACAAATATACTCTTTTAGAAACAGCTGGGTCACCTCTTGAATGCTTTGCTGCTTAGAAATTTCTTCTGTTAAATACCCTAAATCATCTCTCTCAAGTTCAAATTTCCAAAGATCTCTAGGGAAGGGGCAAAAGCTGCCAGGCTCTTTGCTAGCATAGGAAGAGTGACCTTTACTCCTGTTCCCAGTAAGTTCCTCATTTCCATCCGAGATCACCTCAGCCTGTACTTCACTGTCCATATCACTAGCAGCATTTTGGTCAAAATCATACAACAATTTTCTAGAAAGTGCCCGGCTTTTCTACATCTTCCTGTCTTCTTCTGAGGCCTCCAAACTGTTTCAAACTCTGCCTGTTAACCAGTTCCAAAGCCACTTCCACATTTTCAGGTATCTTTATAGAAACACCCCACTTTCCTAGTACCAATTTTCTGTATTTGTCCATTTTCACACTCTATAAAGAACTACCAGAGACTGGTAATTTATGAAGAAAAGAGGTTTAATTGACTCACAGTTCCATAGGTTTAACAGGAAGCATGACTGAGAAGCCTCAGGAAACTTACAATCATGGCAGAAGGCAAAGGGGAAGTAGGCACCTTCTTCACATGGTGGCAGAAGAGAGAAAGCAAAGGGAAGTGCCATACACTTTTAAACCATCTTGTGAGAACTCAGTCACTATCATGAGAATAGCAATTTGCCCTCATAATCAAATCACCTCCCACCAGGTCTCTCCTCCAATTCCACATGAGATTTTGGTGGGGACACAAATCCAAACCATATAATTGGCCTTATGTTGTAATCCCTCAAAAATATCATAAGTAAAATTTGATATTTTCTCAAATAACAGAGATATTATGTAGAGATTTTAGGAATATACCTTATAATATCTTTATGAGCTTTACTTAAATGGGACACAAATGAATAATGGGAAAATATATGAATATGAAATACATAGCAAGAATTTGAGTAGTTTGTAGACTGGTTTATAAAAAGCATGCTATTTGTCTCACATGTCTTGCAATTATTTTTAGTGACAGTACAGATGTGGCGATTTTCTGCAATACAAAATGTTTTTTTAATTTTATTTGATAACTAACTTGAATCTTATGTTTTCTTGTATTAATAAATTCATATCTTCCCTTTGTTTCATTCGTACTTCCAGCAACACAATTCAGTACACCTATTACCATTATAAAATTGAAAGAATGTTATTATCCCATCAGTGTTACAAAGGTTGGCATATGAAATGAAAGCAAGAGTACGACATCTTTACCCTCCTGATGTGCCAGATTCAGAAGTCATGCTATTTTCTAATTATGTAGATTGCATTCTGTGAAAAGAGATGCTGAATAGGACCAGCAGCAATAAAGTGGCATTAGCTATCTATGTTTAATATGCAGCAGAGACTAATTTAGCAAATGAAAGCCACCAGAGAAACATAAATTCTCAATAATGAGGACTTTCTTGGGCATCTAGGTCAATTCCCAAAATGGTGGTGCTATTAGAGGAAAAACACACAACCTGGTGCATGTCATTTACAAAGGTGCATTTTTATCCAAAGGAATTTTTCCCTCTACCAAACATGCCTCTCTGCAAAAGAGACCAAACAATTAATTAAGCCAAACTAAATGATCTGTGTGAATACATTAAAGAGCTGTATGCAATACACTACAATGTAAACTATCTCACAAATTTAAGGACACATATTTAAAGGATTCATCACTCACTAGGATAAAAATATTTTAGGGATAATTAACTTGCTCAGTCTGGTGACTTCTGTATTGTTCTATATGATTGCCCACTTTTCTAACACAGTGATCGCTCTCTCTCTCTCTCTCTGTCTTTGTCCCTCTCTCTCTTTCTCATTTCTGGCAGGGTATTAGAGCAGAAGGGAGATGCCATGACTATTTTGACTGTTTTAGAAACTATCGGCAAACTTTACCAGAATATTTTTCTTTTTTAAGATACCTGTTGGGGGCCGGGCGCGGTGGCTCAAGCCTGTAATCCCAGCACTTTGGGAGGCCGAGGCGGGCAGATCGCGAGGTCAGGAGATCGAGACCATCCTGGCTAAGACGGTGGAACCCCGTCTCTACTAAAAATACCAAAAAATTAGCCTGGCCTGGTGGCAGGCGCCTGTAGTCCCAGCTACTCGGGAGGCTGAGGCAGGAAAATGGCGTAAACCCAGGAGGCAGAGCTTGCAGTGAGCCGAGATCGCGCCACTGCACTCCAGCCTGGGCGACAGAGCAAGACTCCGTCTCAAAACAAACAAACAAACAAACAAAAAGATACCTGTTGGGCTTGAAAATGTGTTTGTAAGAAAAAAGAAAGCAAGAACTTCAATCCAGAAAAAAAATCCTATAATATTTAAAAAGGAAAATTAGAATTTAGATGGATAGGTAGCTCATACATTATTTGAAATTTTGCCCATAAGTCATAGAAAAAATAAATGAAACAATAAATACAAGATTTTCTAAACATAAACATTATAGAATTATAACATGGCGATTAGAAAATAACAATACATAATATTCCTAAAATGCCAAAGCTAATTGAAATTCTTGTAATAATTGATAGTGAAAGAGAAGATAGAAAACATGCAGGATTGTCTATAATATGAACATTATTGTTATAAACAAAATGTTTCAAACATACTAAAAATGGAAAAGCAAGTTTTCCAAAAGTACCATTACACAGGTTAAAAGTTAGAATCTTTAGCATATTTTAAAAGTTAGCATGCAAGGTAAAACTCCTCCCAAATCTTCCCAATCAAGAAAACATCTCCTTAGTACACCTGATTTTAAGAAATAGCTTCTCGTTTGGTGCATTTGCCCCAAGTGATATTCTCGTTTTTGCAATTTGACAATGTTGTTTGCTTAATTAAAGCCCTGTTTTCCATATTGTGTTGTGCACTTTTATAAGAAGGGTAGGGACAGTGCCTGTTTTTCTCAGGACACTACCCCCAGATGATTGCACAGTGCCTGGATCCATTATTTGATTTTTCTGAGCCTATATTTTGTCATATGCTATATGACCATCTGTAACCAATGTTAAAAAAAAAAGTTTGTAAAGCATGCATATGACTGAGCACAGTTTAAAGAAGTTCCCACAGACAAAGGCAATTGTGGATGGCAATTGTGGATGATAGAACCGCACTCTTGGCATTGTGACACGAGATGTCACTGAACTGCTTCAAATAACCCAAATGTCTTGTTTTTTTGTTTGTTTTGCTTCATTAATTCCTTCTCCCCACAAGGTTTTATGCATTTACAAGATAATGGAATCACCTTTTGAAGCAGGTTTTACATTTTTGATTGCAATACTCAATGATACCTGATTTTTAAATGATAAGGTGGGATGGAGAATATAGGATTAACAATGAACATTGTTAAGGAAGCTAAATTTTTCTTCATGTCAATGTAATCTACAATTAGTTGTCAACAAATGTCTTATCTGAAGGAGGAATATAAAAGTATTTAGGGCTTATTCCTAAAATTTGTATAATTGTTCTGTGGTTCTTACTTCCACGTTATTGAGATTAGTCACAATAAACTATGAAACAGTTGTTACTCTGCTAGTTCTACAGGTGAGGGAGTAGAGATAAGGGGAAGTTAAGGATCTAACTTACTGAAGAAGTAGTAACTTGAGACTGAATCTGATCTCTGGATGTCAAGATCAGTGCTCTCACAATTACATCAAAGCTGCCTCCTTAACATAAGGCTTGATTTTGCAGTCAATTGCTTTGACTTACAGAGTCCCTCCCTGTCCCCAGTAGTTATTGTCCCCTCAAAGAGCTTAGCCCTCAGCCAAATTGCAGTACTCTTTACACACACTTTGTAGTTGAGAACTGTAGTGCTTTTCAGCAATCTCCAGCCCTGCTGCTGTCTCTAGCTTCAGGCAATGGATTATCCTGTACTTAAGTTTTAGTTCCTTAATTAATTACCACTGCTTCAGAACATCTAGTCAATGGGAGAATCAATAAAAATTCCTTGACCTTTGTTTATTTCCCCAGGTAAAATTCTAGAGGGAAGGAGGTGTTTATAGTAATCTCTTTTTCCCTGTTGACCCATGAATGTTTTATGGGCAATCAAAATCATAGCAGCCAGCTGTTATCTCCAGAAGGCACCCTACTCTTCCATATTCCAAAAAACCTGAATACTGCTTCTCTTTCACCATTTGATTTTTATAGCACAACTCCAGCCATAGTTTCTTTTAATCAATCAGCAAACATTTATTCAGTATCTGCCATATGCCTGGTACTGTTCTTAGAACTATACCTATGTCAGTGAATCAGAAAAATGGTTTAATGGCTTCAAGGAGCTTATACATAGGGGAGACATCGTTTCAAGGGCTTGCACGAGCTTTTATTATTAATATTTAATATAGGAATGTGGTAGAGAATGTCTGTGAGTCTCAGAGCTGGGAAAGTTCTCTATGAAAAGATGATATTTAAGTATAAACCTAAAGAAGAAAAGTTAGTAGCTTTGTGAAAATCTGGAAAAAGATGACTTCAAGCAAAAGAAACAGCAGGTTCCATGTTACTGAGGCAGAAATCATTAGTCTAATGTTAAGAATTGTATTTCGTGAAAAGCAAAACGGAGAGAGGAGAATCGATAAGTGAGAATTAGGCAGGTATAAGATCACGTTGGGTCTTGTAGGCCACATATGAAGGATCATGATTTATCATGTGAAATGGGAATTCAGAAAGTTGATATTTTATAGTTTGAGGAAGAAAATGAAATCTTCTATGCTGTATAAAAGATAGACTGCATAGGAAAAAGAACAAAGAAAGGCAGGTCTTTTAGAAGGCTATTGGTAGTCAGGAAATTATGCAGGCTTGGGCTAAGATGTTAGTGACAGAAATGTGGAGATTTGCTAAAGTATGAAATATATTTTGGAGACAAATCTGATAGGAGTTACTGGATATAGGCAAGAAGAATCAAGGACCCTAAGTTTTAGCCTGAACAACAAAGTCAACAGAAGTGTCATTTACTGGGAAGTATATGGTTTGGGAGTGGACAGTACAGTACGTTGTGAGGTAGATCTGAATAGTTCTGTGAAATCCTAGAAGTTTGAGATGCCTTCTAGATATTCAAGTAAAGATGTCAAGTAATGTGTTATCTTTTACGTGTGTAGTTCAAGGTGAGGCGTTATTTGAAGCTGTAATTTTGAGTCATCAGCATAAAGAATGCATATGAAGATATGAAACTGCATGAAATCACTTGGGAGAAAATTTAAAGAAAGGAGTATTAAAAAGATAAGTAGAAAAAAACCCTAAGGACCAAACCTTAGTCACTAAAAATTTGATATAGATTCCCTGAGCAAACCATCTACTGTGAAGAGTCAAACATATTGGTTAAAAGAAAAAAAAAATCAATAAACTAGTGAGAAACAATATACAAACAGCTAGGCAGAAATAAGATCACATCGGGCTTCTCAGGCCTTATGAAGGATTATAATTTACCATGTGAAGTGGGGAGTAGGGGAAGTATAATATGTGGATCTGACCCACAATCTGCAGCAACCTGCCCAGGAAACCCCTTATCTACAATAAAGAGCCCGGGAGCCAGCCAGTTATAAAACAGACTTGTAGAAGTCAGAGTGCTATCTCTAGTAACCATCTTGGAAGCCAAGCACAAACTTCTGTAACAATTGATCCCAAATAAGAGGACTTATGAACAGATAACTTTCCTAAGCCCAAGCAAAGAAAGCCCAAATATGCATTCCTATCCAGTCACATAGCATACCCTACTTCTAGTTAGCCTGCCTTTAGTTTTCTTATGCCAATAGTCCTCAATCAGAGCATTCCTGAAGTCTTTCTTTTTTCCATAATAAAGCTTTCCCACTCTTCCGCCTGCATTTGAGTCTCTGCCAAAATGCAAGATACTATTGCTGACTCCCTTGCACTAGCAAGCTCTGAATAAATAGCTTTTCCTTTTTCCTAATTGAATTTATTTATATACAACAAACACTACCTTAAATGCATTGATGGGCTGACCAGAAATAAGGAAAAAACAAATAAACAAACAAACAAAACACACTAAATGTGGAACCCAATGAGAAAAGCAGAACACCAAAAGGGTTTTACAACTGAAGGGAATTTGCCATACTTGATCTTGAGCTTTGTTTTTTGTGACATTGTAGGGTACAAGGAACATGAGACAAGCTAACGTAAGACACAGGGGTTCTGACAGGATAATGTTTTAATAACGATGGCACACATTTATCATCAGTGTAGAAATGAACAATAATTAAACTCTTCTTTCAGGACACAGCAAAGAAAAATGCTGGTATCCAATGTTGATGAGGCTCAGCTGAGAGGTAATGAGTAATAGCACAATCCTTGAAAACCACACGTTGATGAGAGAGCTGACCATCCTCCACCCTCAACCATCCACTTCATCCATGCTAGCCTTGGTACCTGGATAACTTCATGTCATTGAGTCTAACTATGTCTCATTATATTTAAGCCATTGCATTTGGATCTTTTTTTTTACTATAGTACAATTTTCACCTTCATTAGTCAGTCTTCACCTCGCTACATCAGATCTGACTCTTACTTCTGAGGCAATTGTTTTCAAAATGTATTACATGTGTAAAACCTTCTGTGATTAAATAAGTTTCTGTGATTCTGGGATCAACACAACTAACTTAGTATTTTTTATATTAGTATTTATTTTTATACCTCTCATATGTCTGGATATAGTATAAAATAATATTATTCTATAGTCACCATAGCAAAGCATATATCAAACTTGTTTTCCAGTCAATGATTTTTTGAAGGCGTCATCACAGAAACAGTGCTTTCAGTAATATACTTTTAGAAGTATATTTTATCCTTTCTAGAACATGAATTAACAGAGATCTTTTTTACTATCTGTCTTACTTTGTTTTCTGTTGCTATAACAGACTATCACAGACTGGGTAATTTATTTTTTTCAAAAGTGTATTTAGCTCATAGTTCTGGGAACTGGGAAGTCCAAGTCCATGGTGTTGGCATCTGGTGAAGGCCTTTGTGCTGTGTCATAACGTGGTGTGGGGGATCATGTGGCAAATAGGCAAGAGAAAGAGAGCCAGACAGAGCTGGCTTATATAACAAACTCACTCCTGTGACAGTGACATTAATCCATTAATTCATTCTTGAAGGTAGAGCTGACATTAATCCATTCATAAGGATAAAACTGACATTAATCCATTCATAAGAGCAGAGGGATGAAGTTGCCAACACCTTAACTTTTGGGGGACATATTCAAATCATAACACTATTAAATCATCTTCCACTGTTCTGTTTTTGCTTTATTGAACTCTAATTTCTTTCTCTTGTTGTTTAACCTTGTCCTTGATTTCCCATGTCTTTCTAATCAAGTAACCCACAAATTCCCAAATCTGAAATGCCAATAAGCAGCTATGAACAATAGTATGATTTGAAAACAAAATTGTTATCTCATCTTTTTGTTCCAGCCAGAATGCATCCTTTCCGTTTTCAGAACACACCACTTCTAGAATAGCAAAACAGCGACATTACTATTTCTCCTGCTGGGAATGTTCTCCACAAGATGACTCCATAGCTCACATTTTCCTATACTACCTTATCGAAGAGGCCAGAGAGGCAACCCATTGAGAATACAATGCTCTGTTCACCCTTTTTCTATTACCTTCTTACCCAGCTGATTTTCTTCATAAGGCTTAGCATCACATAATGAATATAAATGTACTGGTTTATTTCCCTATTATACTTTTCCCCGAACAACTAGGAAAGCAGGTGTGTTTTCTTGTCTGTCCATATCAGATTCTGGCACCCAGAACTGTGCCTGCCATAGAGTACATTTTCAACTATTATGGAATGATTAAATAACTCAAGGCAAATATCAAATCTTCTAAGTGGAATTTTGTGGATGAGGTGTCTAGCACCATTTATGGCTTACTTGTTCCTGCAGAAATTACACATATGTTGTCAGATACTATGTATGAGGAAATTTAGGATATATATATATGTTATATATATATAACATATATGTGTTATATATATAATATATAACATATATGTGTTATATATAACATATATGTGTTATATATAATATATGTGTTATACATATAACATATATGTGTTATACATATAACATATGTGTTATATATAACATATATGTTATATGTGTGTTATATATTACATATATATGTTATATGTGTGTTATATATAACATATATGTGTTATATATAACACATATGTACACACACATATATATACACACTACATATATTTATAATTGATTTGTTAATTTTAAAGAATCTCTTTTATGCTGAATGCTGGATGAATGAATTTTAGTGCCACTATAACTGGTTTTAAGAATTGTTCTAAATGCTGGTGGAATATGGCAGACATTAATCATCTTTAATGACCTAGGTTATCAATACATAGGAAAAAATTGCATATTCAGGATAAAAGTTTATCTAGCAATAACATTGTCAAGGATTTCTCCTCATTTAAGCCAGAGTTCTTCAGTCTCCAGCTGGAAGGGAGAATTTCTGCTGAGTCTCTTTAGGAGGCCCATTAGCCCATCAGTGTGTGCTGGAATAAATAAAAATCTGTGGATGACAACCAAACCAAACCTGACATTTCTGCAGGAGGAGACGAGGGATTCCTTGTCCCTGATTTGTGCTGCCAAGAGAGATGGATGAACAAAGTCAGAACAAGAATGCAGGCACCAAACTGCTTACAAAGCCTGCTAAAAGATGCTCCTTGTAAAATATCCATGTTAGGGAATAAAGTTAGAAGACTTCAATGAGCTCTACACGTTCAAGGGTAAAGGAATTTCATTTATTCTTTCACAAAAGTATCTTTACTAACTGCTGTGCATACAAGAGTGAGGAAGACTAACAAAGCCATTGCTGAAATGGAATTTACAATATAAAGGAGAGGGCTGGGCAGATTAGTAAGCAGATTCACATTGTGTCTATTAATGTGTAAAAAAGAACAAACTAGAGTGATGGAATAAAGAGCGACTGGAGGAAGTGAAGTACTGAGAATTAAAGTGGGGGAAAGTCCTTTCATAGGAGGAGATAAACATTCACAGGACTCGTAGGGCACAAAAGAACATTCTAATTTAGAGAGAGGAAACAGTGAATGCAGAGGCCTGAATGCAAGAAACAGATCAGCATGTTCTATAAATTGGAGATTAGAACATAGAACTTAAGAAAGAGAACATGCGATAACATCAGGCAGAAGCCAGAAAGCAGATCATGCAGCAAGCATGGTGCCTAGATTTCATTCTGAGACTGATAGAGTATGTTTGGAACACATAAAGCAGGGAAGCTACTATAGTATATTAAGAAGCTATTAGAGAAGACGAAGTAGTAGAGGTAGCTTGAGCTAGGGTGCGGATAGTGAGGAGGGAAAAAAGTAGACACTTTCAGAACATGTTTCAGAGGTGGTGTTGGCGAGGTAACCCAGGGTCCCTGGGTTTTCAGGTACACACTGTATAAATCTACCCACTGGTAATTGTTTCACCCTGAGATTTTGTAGTTTCAAAAGTTCCAGGAAGAAGCACAGTCCAGGAAAAACAACAACAACAACAAAAACCTGTTGGATCCAGAGATGTCAGAGTTGGAGATAAACTTTGGTGAACTCAGCATTACCATACTAACACCCCCACCCCAAGAGGAACTGATTCACCATTTTCAATACATGCAAAGCATGAACAAGCATGACTGGTGACTGAGCCTCTGCTGCCTTTACTCCACTTCTACATGCAATGGCTCAACTAATCAGCCCAATGAAAGCTCTGTTTTCACCTTTGGTCAGGAAGGCACTGCTTTAGCAGCTAACCTGGGTGCCCTCCTTACTTGCAGGTAATAAAATCTCCTTGTTAAATTTTCCTTGGTAATGATCATTGGACTGTCACTCACCAAAGGATAGAACCCACCCATTGTGTGGGTAACAGTGAAAGTTAAAGTTGGATATTTAGGTAATAGATATATGAAACATGGAAATTAAAATGATTCCTATATTTTTGTCCTGAACAACTTTGCTAAGGATAAGAGAGGGATGGGGTGGACATCAAGACATCTGCTTTGACCACACTAAGTTTGAATTCCCAATTAGATGTCCAAGTGCAGAGGCCAAGTAGATGGCTATATACACATCTGGTGGTCTGCTGGGAAATCTGAGTTATAATTGCAAATTCGAGAGTCGTTTGCAATGACTCTCTGAAAGAGAAAATCACTGAGGTAGAGCGTACAGAGATAGGAAAGAAACAGAAAGAAGTAAAGTGAAGGAAAGAGGCGAGTAGAGGGGAGATGCTGAGAATAAAGTTTTGGGTCACCTCAATATTTAGAAGACTGACAGAGAAAGATGGACCAGTAAACAAGACTGGAGCCCTGTAATTGTGTATACTAGCAAAAAATTGATTTCTTGTTTTATTGTGCCTTTTAAAGTAGGAAATATTAGAGATGAAAAGATCTAGAATGTATGATCTAGTTGATCAAGTGGGAGAGGAAGAGACTAATTATAACAGCAAAATCCTCAAGCAGAAAAGGTGGAATAAGAACCATGGTGAAAGTGGAGGGATTAACCACTGTTAAAATCTAAGACACATCATCCTTTATGGTAAGAAGGAAGGCAGGCAGATAGGTGTATCCACACGTTCATGGATAGCCCAGGGAGAAGTCCAAAAAGTTTTCATTCAATTGCTTGTCTTTTCTCTGTGAAGCATGAGTCAGGTTATAAGTTGAAAATACAGGTAAAGGTTAGGGAGAAAGAAGTGGTTCACATAAGAGCATGCAAGTGGATTAGAAGAGAGCAAAAACATTTTGGAAAAAACAAACTAGCAAGGTTTAGTAGGGTCATTAGGCAATGATAGAGGCCCAAATGTCATGTTCTGTTAAAATGATAAGTGTAGTGTTCAGATGCAATAGGGTGACACTATCTGTAGATGATTCCAGAGGACTCAGGCTCTGCCATTCTACAGGGAAATCTTGAGATGAGTTCATGTATCACTAAAACTCAGATTAGCTCTTCACTAATCCTGAGGCCAAGCAGCAGGTCTTCCACTCCATAACAGGAAATTAAAAAAAAAAAAAAAGTCCAGGTCAGACATAATTACAAGATTCAGTAAAGATATAAGCTACACTATAGCCTCACAAGCAAAGAAATAGAAACTTAGCTGCTTTGAGATTTATCTTACTAAAGCAAAGAAAGTCATGAAAAGACATGGCGGAAATATAAATGCATATTGCTAAGAGAAAGAAGGCAATCTGAAAAAGTTACATACTATGTGATTTGGAAAATATGACATTCTGGAAAAAGCAAAACTATGGAGATAGTAAAGAGATCAGTGGCTTCCAGGAGTTGGGAGTAGGGAGCGATATGAATAGGCACACCACTGAAGATTTTCAGAGCAGTGAAACTACTCTGTATGATACTATAATAGTGGATATATGTCAGTTTTTATTTATCCAAACCCATAGAATGCACAACATCAAGAGTGAACCCTGATGTAAACAATGGACTTTGGGTGATAATGATGTGTCAATGTGTGCTCATCAACTGTAACAAATGTATCTTGTGGGGGATGTTGGTAATGAGGGAGGTTATTGGTGTTGTTTGGCTCTGTGTCCCCACCCAAATCTCACCTTGAATTGTGATAATCCTCACATGTCAAGGGTGGGACCAGGTGGAGATAATTTGAATTATGGGGGAGGTTCCCCCATGCTGTTCTCACGATAGTGAGTGAGTTCTCACCAGATCTGATGCTTGTATAAGGGGCTTCTCCCTTCACTGGACACTAATCCTCTCTTCTGCGCCCCTGTGAAAGGTGCCTTCTGCCGTGATTGTAAGTTTCCTGAAACCTCCCCAGCCTTGCGGAACCGTGAATCAATTAAACCGTTTTTCTTTATAAATTAGCCAATGTCTGGTATTTCTTCATAGCAGCGTGAGAATGGACTAACACAGTTAGGTATTATGTGGAGAAAGAAGGGCATGTGGGAAATCTCTGTACCCTCCTCTTAATTTTGCTGTGAACCTAAAACTACTCTAAAAAAAAAATTAGTCTTTTTTTTTCAAAGTTCAGTATCGGAGGTCAAAGGTTACAAAGACTACAACCAAAATATATTTCCTACCTATGATGTTACATTTGAATTGGGAATTTCAAATATTTTTCAGGTTGGAGTAATACAGTGCAGGGGTCCCCAACCCCTGGGCTGAGGACCTGTATCAGCCTGTGGCCTGTTAGGAAATGCGCAGCACAGTAGAAGGTGAGTAGTGGGCAAGAGAGCATTATGGCCTGAGCTCCGCCTCCTTTCAGATCAGTGGTGGCATTAGAGTCTCATAGGAGCACAAACCCTATTGTGAACTGCGCATGTGAGGGATCTAGGTTGCATGCTCCTTATGAGAATCTAATGCCTAATAATCTGAGGTGAAGCAGTTTTATCTTGAAACTATCCCCCCTAACCCCCAACCCTATCAAAATTATCTTCCTAGAAACCAGTCCCTTGTGCCAAAAAGGTTGGGGACTGCTGATATAGTGGGACTAAAAATAACACCAACTCTAAGATATTTTAAATTACATTTAATGGTCAAACCTGCTGACTAATAAAACTCAAATGATGTTTTTTGATGAACTAGGAATGCTCATGACTACTTTTAACATAACAGCATGAAGATTTGCTAGAAAAAAATTTGTAAAACTTACTAAAATATTTTTCATGTTATTTTCATATGAGATATTTATATTGAAAAATAGTGATTATTGTTTTTTTCACATGGCCACAATCAGTAGACCAAATATAGATGCTGATGGGACCACCTGGAGGTGAAGAAAAGGCACAAACTTTTGTTATTTTGTCCAGGATTGCTAAATTGATTACTGTGGCAAGGAGGGAGAATAAACCCATCTGATTTCTAACCAGATCCCAAAGTTGGAAAGAGGTGATATCAACTGTGCCCAAACTGAATGACAAGGAGGGGGCAATCCCATATCCACCTGCCACAATTTCCCATTTGAGTTTAGGCCTTCAAAAATCCTATCTTAATGATTTTTGAACATTGTACCCATTCTAGGTCAGAACACTGCTCTTGGAATTTAAATATATATTCAAAGCTCCACTAACCTCCTCCTGCCTCCCACGTCTCAGAAGTGTGACACAAGAAAGGTTTGTGTACAATCAAAATTGTCTATGACCTAGAATACACTTTTGAAAACTAATTTGTCTCAAAGTTCTGAAGAGTCTGACTTCAAGCGTACACTATTCAGACATTAACTTTAATGGTTCATTGCAAAATTGATGCAGCAGTATGGGCACCAAAGGCCAAATAATCATAATGCTGACTTGATTGTCACTGTCTTTAAACAAATGAGGGAGAAAAACAAACAGAAAAACAAAAAATAAAATCAATTGAGGGCAATGCAATTAGCATAGATGTTCTTGGATGATCTGACTACAATGTCTACAAAATTTAATATGGCCAATATTTGAATCAAGGGTTTATATTTAGCAGGTGATATCACCAAAGATCCTGGGATAGGCTTGGATCAGGAATATGTGTTTCAAAAAGGAGTAACTTTATTTGGAGAGACAGAACCATTATATAAACTAGTCAATGAAGAAAATGAAATAATCCTGCAGGAGAAGGATTTGGATAGTGGGCCACTCATTTAACATAAATTTGCAATGTAATGCTTCAGGCACAAGGCAAATTGCGGCTCATATGTGAATGTATAGCAGAGGTATTACATAAAGGATAAGGGAGTTTATTTTTTTCAGAAGAACATTATCGTGTGCATTTTTCAAGCACACATTTAAAAAAATGTCTTGTTAAATTGGGGAGAGTCCAAATAAGAACAATAAAAATGATATAAAGTTTAGAAAGCCCAACGTATAAGTACAGGTAACACAACTGCATTTTTACCACCCAGGAGAGACACTAAAGGGCTTTATGGATTGTCTGTAGCACTCAAAAGAACAGACTAATTTGAGGAGATGGGACCTGCTTTAAGTAGTCATTTTGGGTTAATAAACAATTGTCTTTAATAAAAAAGCAGAAAGAGTGTTTTCTTTCATTGCAAAAGAGGGTTTTGCAAAACACTTTGTTTAGAGTCATATACATTTAGAAAACAAAACCAAAAAATAAAAGCCAAAAAAAAGTTCTTTAAAAAAAGTAGTTATAGAAAAAACTAGAAATAACTGAGTTTTAGGGAAAAATCTGTAATATTCTATAGACATTTAAAATATAAACATCTTTAAATGAGAAAAAACATAAATCAGCCATGCTTTGGCTAATTATGGTAGCCTTTAATTTTATGAGGCTGATGAGACTTACTATATTGAAACATGAATGTGAAAGATTATATTGAGAAACTACTCTTTCCTTCTGAATTTGGGCAAGCTAATTGAAGAAAGTGAAGCAAAGTGCTTGTGTTTACCCTAGCCTTCACAGATATTCAGCTACGTTGTCCTTCCCCTGCAGAGCTTTCCAAGGGTGGAAGGCACTAAGATGCATAAAAGGACTTCACAGCAGAGGGAAATGAGATGAAATTTTGGCCGCTCAAGAACTTCTTAGACTTACTCTGGTGCCAACAGCTGGTAGGCAGGATTTTGGTATTACATAGCTCCTAGTAATGAAAAGTACTTTGCAAGGCACGCTTCCAGAATCCATACAGATGGTGGGAAAAATAACTTTTATTCAACTTATTAAATTTTACATTGCTTTTCTCCCAGGTAGCAAAGGAAGCAGAAAGGAGGTAGAGTGATGAATTATGATGCCAGGCAGGGAAGGGTTACTCATAGTCTCTCTGATAGGGGGACTTGGCAGGAGATTCAGAGGTCTAGAACAGCCATCTATTTTTCCCCTCTCTGTACAACATCACTGATTTCATGGAGCACAGGGCAAAAGGCCAAGTGATTCCAGTCATATGAAAAATGTGGTTGTATCTTAGAATTGCATTTTTTAAAATGTGACATGCTTTGTTGAAATGTGTTTTGGAATGCTGATTTTGGATGTAGCCACAATAGTTATTTATTGCTTTGAAAATTTATCGATAGCCTTTAATTCACGACCAACCTTCTTTCATTATATTTCCTTACTTTTAAGAGATATGACTTTCTACGAAGGGAGAAAATACATGTGTGTGTTTTGGGGACATGAGGTTGGGGAAAGGTAAGGCAGTAAGAAACAGCAGTCTTATAAAAATATAAATATTAGCACAGTTGAGCTTATTTCATAGCAATAAAATTGGTGAGTTGGTATTTTGTAATGATTTACTGGACAGATAGACATTTGATTCGTATTTGGTCTACTTCTAGGCCGTGTGACATTAAACACATTATTAAATTTCTCTCTCAGTATTCTTACTTACAAAATGTGGAGGCCAGGAGTAGTGGCTTATGCCTGTAATCCCAGCACTTTGGGAGGCCAAGGCGGGCGGATCATGAGGTCAGGAATTCAAGACAAGCCTGGCCAACATAGCAAAACCCTGTCTCTACTAAAAAAAAAAATACAAAAATTAGCTGGGCATGGTGGTGTGCACCTGTAGTCCCAGCTACTCAGGAGGCTGCGGCAGGAGAATCGTTTGAACCTGGGGGGGCAGAAGTTGCAGTGAGCCAAGATCGTGCCATTGCACTCCAGCCTACACAGCAAGAGCAAGACTCTGTCTCAAAAAAAAAAAAAAAAAAAAGTGGATAAAAATACCAAGCTCAAAAGCAGGGAATGGGTGGTAAATAACAGATTCCAAAGCATTTACAGTGCAATGTTGGCGTATGCTAAGTCCTTAAGAGATGGTGAGTTTTGAGAACGTTCAGGGTGGATGCATTTGGAAGCAGCAAGTTTGTAAATTCAGGTGTTTAGTGGTCTAAAATAAATCAAGACATCTCCTAAAGCAATAGAACTTAAAATCATGGAGCTTATTTATTACAAAAATTAAGTTAGTATACAATGGGTAGGTAACAGAAAAAAAAGCCCAAAGGTTAATTAAGAGAAAAATTAAATTCTAGCATAATAAAAAATGAAATAAATAATACAAGCACATATTTGGCCTTTCTGGGACATTTCAAAAGTCTTTTATCAAGATTTTCAAGATTATCAAGATTGTTGTCTTGTGACAACAAGACATTTTGAAATGATATGACCAAAACAGTTCTTTTCTTTCACTAGACAAATAAAGGAGCTTGAGGGGATTTTGCAACATTTGAATGACAGAACGAAAGTGCAATATATGACTAGGGCTGCTGAGCTCAATACAACATGAACTACTGGAGGACTAGACAGTGAAGCATCTGTTCTTCTCATTAAACAACCTTCTCCCTTGCCAGAGAAGGAGACTGGGTGAATTTTTTTAAACAAATGTATTTTTAAAATATTATCTAGTCAGATTGAAAGGAGGTGAAAAGGATGAAGGGAGAGAGAGAGAGAGAATACAGAGAGAGAAAAAAAGACCTGAAAAGTTCTATTAGTATTACAAATAGTCTTTTAAAGAAGAAAAATAAGTATTTTTTTCTAGTTGTATGAATTTGTACAATAACTGATTTCTTGGTTTCAGGTAATCACTGTTACCAGTTATTAATATGTATGTGTATTTTCTTCATGGCTAATTAGAAAGATTGTTGTTTTTTTCCCACATTAGTACCAAACATATTCCTAATGATGGCTCTATGTATCTATGCATAGCAATCTGCATTTGTCATTTTCCTTAGAGCCCATGTAATATGGTGTAATTTTTATTTACATAATGGAATAAGTTTGTGTCAAATTAACTGGAAGACCTTGAAATGCTTTGCAAAATAAGTCAGTTCCATTGTACGTATTAGCCATTCATCCACGCAGAAAAATGTTATTTCTATGTAGTCAAACAAAATGGAATGCTGGGTAGTGACTAAGTGATGTTTTGAATGCCAGCCTGAAATGGTAGTGGGTGTGTTTGGAGGGCCTGATATACATAGAAAACTACCTCAACTCTATAATTAAATTGTTCTATGTGTCTTTCTTTAAAAGACAATAAGATGTTTTCTGATACCAAAATATGTAACTTTTGTTTTTTTTTCAAAATATTTTGCCTTCCTAGAGAAATAAAATGTTTTATTTTTCATGCAGATTCAGATCATAAAGGGGATCATTGACTACGATAAATCATCAACTGAACATGTTAAAATTTTTTTGGTTATATGTAAAAATAGAGAAACAGGAGAGTAGAGCAATTAAAGTATACAATTATTTCTAACATTTCATTCATGCGTATGCATTATCAATAAATGAATACACATATACATGTATGTATGTGCATATGTATATATATTTGTGTGCATATATATGCAGATATGTATATGTATGTGTAAACATGTATATATGTATGTACATACAGAAATATTTGATTGTATTTTGCCCTTATAGAATTGCTTTTGTCTTCAATTTTTAACTATGTCCTCTTTCTCTGAGGCTTTTCCATGTTTTGGTAATTCAGGTTAAGATGGTATTAATTTGGCAAAAAGTAACACATTTTTTCTCTCCTGGTGAATTACTTAGATATCCTTAGAAGAAAAAAAGAAAAAGAACATTTTATTTGTGACTGAGCTTTCTCATTTTAGGAAAAGTAACTTATTCCTACCTGAGCCAAATTTTAGTTAAGTGAAGCTGGATTCAAATTCCCTACAGTCTTCTTTTGAGGCCTCTCCTTCTGGGCTTCCTGGGAGCCCTGTGCCCTTCATATTTCCCTTCCCTCTCACCTTAAAACTGGCAACTGGCTCTCACTTTGATTTTAAACCTCGGAGAGATAATATAATTGAGAAGAAAATGGACTTATGACAATGACAGATGTGTTTTTTATTCACTTCTACCACTTACTAGTGGTTTGACTTTTGACTAAAACTTCAAATAAACATAGCATGAGTAAAAATCACACTTTATATTGCAATCTAAGTATAACCTGACTCCTGACATTTTTAACCAATTCACATTTAAATATTTTTAAAATCTGAGAATCATGACTTTTTTTCAGCTCCAAAATCTTTTTTGTTGTGTTAAATCTCTTTAAAACTCCTTACTTGTATTTCCTATTTACATTTTCTTACATTCTTGCCCTCATTCATATATTTATATTAGACAACGGTTCAAGTTATTAAACTCTTTCTTCCCTTTCAAGTCACAGGATTCTTCCAAATTGACAATTAGTTTTATTTCTCTGTGTCATTTTGAGATTCCATCGACCATTTGAATTATATTGTAATGTCGAGTATGAGCACATAGCCCTCGGCAGATAGAAATATGATGTCTTCTTTAGTCACCCATTGACAATGGAATTGAAAATCTGGGACCTCACCCCAGGAGGTGTCTCTGCTCCCAGAAGCAAGCCAGGAGAGGTGGGCTTCAACTAATACAACTGCTTCCTCTTATTCTGTCTGAATCAGAATAAACAGCTTCCTTCTCATAGAGAACACATAGTAAACGAGCAGAAGCAAACCCCCTTCCTTTTTCCAAAAGATTCCTTCTCCAAGGAGATGATCTCTCCTCTAGGCAACTCAGAAATCTGCTTACTTGCACAAGCCTGGTAGATAGACACACTTCTTTTCAAGACTTTAGTTTATTGATTGTCTCTCAATTGCAACAAAAGATGCCCTGATACCTACACTTTCTCTCCAAAGATTCAGATGGAATAGGATGTCTGTACACATCTCAATAGAAAATTTTAATTATTTTAGTGGCTGGGATGTAAAAATAGTAAATTGGAAGAGAGAAATGATCAGAAACAAATGCTCAAGTCACCGTCTTCTAAATGTTCCCTTTTGAAGACTTATAAGATATAGTTAAAGCATGCAGAAAAGTAAAGTAGGTTCTGGAAATCTGAGAAGAAAGAGGGAAGTAAGATTGCCATTTGATCATTATACTATAAAAAAGCAACTACTTGATTAGAGGAAAAATGAATGACTTTAAATAAACAGAATGGCAATAGACAGTGGCAAACTATATGAAAAGAAGTATAGATATTATTTGGCGATTATGTAAAGTAAGTCAGGAGAATAGAAAAAGCTAGAATAAAAAAGGTAAGAACAACATGCAGGTGTGCACACATGCAAGTGTACATGCACACACACACAGACACAAAACAACTCCTAAGTGTAAGAAAAAAAATCAAGGTGAAAATAAAATACAACCAAGGTAACTGCAAAACTTTGTTGAAATGAATGGAAACAAAATTGAATCAAAGAAGACAAGTATTCTGTGTCTGGAAGGCAAAGTTCGTATTTTTCGAGATCTTATTTTTCTCGAAATTTATATATGTATTTAATTCGGTCTCAATTTATCAAAATTATCTTTAATACTTTTAGAATATTTAGAAGGTGAGACTAGAAAAAATACTTTTAAAAAGAAGTGTAGGGTAGGCATGGTGGCTCACAGTGTTGTCCCAGCTACTTGGGGTGGAGACAGGAAGATCACTTGAGCCCAGGAGTTTGAGACCAGCTTGGGCACTGGTCTGTACAACAAAACAAAACAAAACAAAACAAAACAAAACAAAACAACCACTTCAGCCTGGGTGACAGATTGTACAGAGTGAGGCCCTGTCTCAAAAACAAAAAACAAACAAAAAACTCCAAAATGTGTAGTTGCTGATTTATATAGCCATGGAGTATAACATGGAGTACAAGCACACAAATGAAGTCAGTTTGGTACTAATGCTAAAATAAAAACATGTGCGGAAAAATGGAAAAGATTCTTTATCTCAGGAAAGAGCTATGTTCATAAGTGTGTATCCACATAATAAATCGTGTTAAAAACACCACATTAATCAATGGAAAGTTTATCACACAAAGAGAACAATTCACATGCCCATAGCATCTAATTTCAGATGAATACAAGATGAATAAAAACTTGATTTATATATATATATATATATATATATATATATTTTTTTTTTTTTTTTTTTTTTTTTTTGAGACAGGGTCTGTGTCACCCAGGCTGGAGTTCAGTGGGCAGTCTCTCCTCACTGCATCCTTAACCTCCCATGCTCAAGCGATCTTCCCGCCTCAACCTCTGGAGTAGCTGGGACTACAGGAGTATACCACCACACCCAGTTTTTTTTATTTTTTATTTTTATTTTTTTACTTTTTGTAGAGACAAGCTCTCACTATGTTGCCCGGGCTGATTTTGAATTCCTGGGCTCAAATGATCCTCCCGCTTTGGCCTCCTGAGTAGTTGGGACCACAGGCATGAGACCACAATGCTTGGCCTACACTTTTTTTTAAAAGCTACTTTTTCTAGTCTCGCCTTCTAAATATTCTGCAACCTCTCTCTCCTGGGCTCAAGTGATCCTTCCACCTCAGCCTCTCGAGTAGCTGGGAGTATATGCATGCACCACTACAACTGGCTAATTTTTTTGGTACTTTTTTGGGTAGATACAGGGTTTCGCCATGTTGCTCAGGTTGATCTCGAACTGCTGGGCTCAAGATATGTGTCAGCCTCAACCTTCCAAAGTGCTAGAATTACAGGTGTAAGCCACCATGCCCAGCCAAAAACAATTAATGTTTAAAGTTAATAAGTAACATACATTAGGCAAAAGTTTATGCGTTCTTGCAAAATAAATTCTTTTAAAGATTGAAGTAACAGTTCAAACCAACACTACAAAGAAGAAAAAATTTTACTTCATTAAACTACTTCATTAAAAATATTGTAACATTAAAATATTTTAATTTTAAAACCATAATTTAAAATATTTGTAATGTTTTTAAAATAAAACTATCATACAATATAATGCTATCAACTAGGAGGATATTCACAATAAGGCAAAAATTGATACACATAGTCTATAATTTTTTTGCATACTGATGAAATGAAAAGATACTTCTATAAACCAGATAAAGTACCACAATAAGCAGTTCACTAAAGATAAACCACAAATGACAAACAAATATGTCAAAATGCTTATTTTATTTATAATTAAATAACTATATTATTAAAAATACTTCTACAATCTTTTTCTTTGCTTGATGAATTAGCCTAGGTTTAAAAACCTGATAATACTTAATTTTAGCAGTTTCACAAGAGACTGAAGGAAATAAATATTGATACAAACTTTAAAACATTGTGTATTCTGTATATTGAGTCCTAAAAATGTTCATAGACTCTGATCCAAATAATTTTATTCATCGTATGTACTCTAAGAAATGATCTGAAATTGAAAAAATATAAATAGAAATATTCTCAGGAGAGAGTTGTTTGTAGCAGCAAAAAAGAATGTTAACAGCTTAAATGGTCAACAAAGTAAATATTTTAATCAATTATGGTACTTGTATATACGAAAGAATGCTACACAACTATTTACATAATATCCTCAAGGCTTCCCCTGAAAAGAAAATTATGCTTTTGGCACAATGTTGAATGATAAAATGCATACTTCAATGTTATGCAGAAAATATAAGTTCAAGTATGTAAACAACATAAGCGATAAATATTATGTGATAAAATGGCTAAATGGCAGCATTTTTTTCGTTAAGTGTCAGAATTTTAAGTCAATCTGTTATTCTTAATAGCAGATTTTTAAAAACACATTTTGTTTATAGGTATCTTCACTCAGCAATTTTTCTACTATTTTGGAATATTTGGTTTCCCAAATACTCTTTTAGGGAACAAATGCTTTTATCAGTAGACAAAGTATTGAATTGCTTTGCTGCTATATATTTCATCATCATAAACTGACAACTTTTTTCATACTATCATTGATGAACTCAATTACATTCTGTCCATTTTCCCCCAAGCTTAATAAACCCTGAGTGGGCTAGAATTCAATTTTAGATCCCTTCTGTGAAATCTAAAACTATAGACCAATCTGGCTAAGAAGTACCCTGATAACTGGCCCACGTTAACTCAGAAGTTGTCAAAGCTACATTCTATCAGTAAGTGTTATTACTTTGTCATGTGTCAGATGGGGCTCTCAAATCCACTCCAGCCCAGAGGACCTGCTTAGGCAGAGCTCAGCTTAAAGCCTAGCAGGTTTTCCCATTTGCAATGTCTGGTTGACTAAACGGACTTTGGATTTGCTCTGGACTTCTACCCACCTTGGATTTGGGAAAAGGGTGGGAAAAAAAATGGAAGTCTCAATTTGATTTCTAGGCACAGACCACACTCTCCAATCTAATTTTTACCAAAGAGCCCTATTGTGGGATTTTTCAAATGTGTAACAACAACAGTGAAATTGTACTTTCCAAAATTTCCTATTTTTTTAGAAAAGAGCTCCATTTACTTCAAGAAAATTGTTGGAAAGAGGGATGTGCAGCAGTGAAGCATTAGGAGAGTTTTTAGTTCCAGAATATTACACAATTTTAATACAACCAAATGCCCACTCTACCTTAAAATAGCCTGATTCTTTCCTTGTGGTTTACTTTCTGCCTACATCTGAAAGCGAAAGGAGGCTGCTCTGAGAACTGGCCATCTCAGAATAAGAAGAAGGAAAGCAGGGGAAATTTTCTCTACTTATTGGTTTATTTGTTTTCTTTTTATTTTGCCAGAGAGCCCCATACAATAAGTTATAAGCCCCTCATTCAGCAAATAATAAAGTGAGATTCTGTCTTCCATTTGGGTGTGTCTCCATGCATTTAGTTCTAATGCTCTGGACCCATAAGGAGAAAAGCTGAATACTAAGGTTTGGCTGTCTCTTGGTTCCTATTTGAATGCCACATTGAGACAGTCAAAGTTTGTTACATATACTCTTCAACTTTAAGTTGTAATAATCCATTCTCCGTTATCAAAAGTTTGGATCAAGAAACAGAACTAACAACTTTCTCTTGATCATTAATGAAAAGGCACGACTTCTCATTTGTTTCGAAGTTCAGTAGTTGGACAATATGAGTTTGACAAGAATCATTATTTAGGTTTCCTTTATACTATTGAATACGGTTACTTTTGTACTTTAAACTGAATGTTTATGTTCCCTCAAAATTCTTATGTTGAAACGTAACCCTCAATGTTATAATATTTGGGGATGAAGATTTTGAGAAGTGGTTTGACCATGAGGGTGGAGTTCTTGTGAACAAGATTAATACCCTTATAAAAGAGGCCCTTTCCAACATGTGAAAATACAATCAGAAAATCTCTGGTCTATGAACTAGGAAGTGGGACTTCACCGGATATTGAACCTGCTGGAAGCCTTGATCTTAGACTTCCTAGCCTCCAGAGCTGTGACAAGTGTTTATAAGCCATTCCATCAATTGTTGTTTATAAGCCATTCCATCAATTTCATTATAGCAGCCTAAATAAACTAAGACACTTTGCATGTTTAATTCATGTAAATAAAGTATGTAAAATATAAAATGTGCTCATTAAATTATTTCTATTTGAATTGTGATTCTTTGACCCTTGATTGAAAACCCTGTTATAAAAATATGTTTGTGATAAGAATTGTTCTAATATCTAAAGTTATTGCAGTATATTGGAGTTACCATTATCAAACATTAATTATAATATTAATAGAAAAATTAAGTATGAATATTAGATTTCTCATGAAGTATCCCTAGATATGTTAAAGTGTAGCGTTAGAAAGAAAGATTTCTAACTTTAGAAAGCCTCCTGGACTCTAGAAGCCAACATTTATTTCTCAACATGAACCAATAACATTTTGCTTAACTATGAAAATATTTTAGAATATTCTTATTAATTTTGGATTTTGTTTTGTATATACAATTGTGCTTTGATTTTGAAACTCATAATTTGTGATTACTTTAGTTTTTGTTTGGCCCATGGATATATATTATTTATTTGTTATAAAAATTTACATAACTTCAAAAGATAAAATTTAAAGGTCTTGCCTCCTTCGCTAGGGGACCCATTCATGTAAAAAAAAGGTCCATGTTCACCTACACTCAGGTACACAGACACACAAAATATGTGCATGCATGCATACATACACACCATACACATAGACACAGCTCATTTGTTTCTTTCTGATTGAAGTGTATGGAAAATTTTGTCAGCAGCTATAAACTTCTCCCCCAATTGTAGAGGGACAATTGTGATATTAATATAATGCACTAAGTTCGCTTGTAGTGGGATAAATACTGAAGTACTTTAAAACCCTTTGTTTCTCTGCCAAGAACACATGTTCCTGTCTTTTTCAGCAGTCCCTTTAGAAAAGAATTAATTCCAGACAGCTTTGAGCTATTCATGCCAACACCACAGGCACTAAAGGAAGCAGCTTTCAGGAGAATGGCTACCTCTATCCTCACCTTAATGATTTTTCTTTTGGATCAATGCTCATAGGTTTTGGATGTCTGTGTGCAGAGTATTTATTAAGTTGACTATAATGACTGGGGATAGCACCTGCTTGGTCTGTTGATCCCCTGTATTATTGTGTTTTTTTTAAAAAAACACCATGTCTGGTTACAAAGAAATCCTCAAAAAGCTTTTCACATAAAATATGATTCAGAAATTACAAAATTCTCATCACTAAAATTTGGTATTCTGATTCTTATTCCAGGTAAAAATATGTTTAGGTATCTAATGAAAATGGTAATTAGACGTGAGTTCATTTATCTTAAAATCAGCCTTAGTTGTATTTATTTGTATTTTATTTTTGTCCTATTTACATGTCACTGCATAAGTCTTGAATATTATTTTACATAGTAAGGTTTCTTTCATTGTGCTGCCTGGTGCTCATTCCTTTTCCCCTGACATTCAGGCAGCAACCACAACTTCATGTAACTATTGTTTTGAAGAGAAAGGGCAAGTATAACTTAGTTTTTTTGTTTTTTGTTTTTTAAGGCAAATACAATTGTGTGTGTGAGAGAGTGTGTGTGAATATGTATGTATGTTTATGCTAGTAGAGACAGTTATATAGGAAAAGTTCATGAGAAAAAAGGTTTTCTGAATATCAAAAGTTTGACTTCAAATATCAAAGCTTAAAACTCTGTAGGAAGTCAGGTTGAATCAATTCCAAATACAAAGTGATAGCAAAGCTAACCTTGTCTACCCTGGGCAAAAGTGATCACAAAAGAAAGAGATGATGGTGAGACTACGTGACCCTAAAGTCCTGATTCAACAACAAGCGTCCATGAGACGAACCACCCTATCTTGTCTTGGTCTGCACTGCAGCCGTTTGCTTTTTACCGGTTACCTGGTAAACCAGCTCATGCACTCCGTGGTCTGCACTAATGCTTGGATTCCTCTGGTGGCCAGCTCCGGCTCTGAACTTGGCTCTCATCTGGCTGGTGAATGGGTTGGGGTAAACAGCCCATCTGGAGCTTGTGGTTACTATGAAGGATGTGAAGGTGTGCATAGGTCTTCAAGGGCGTGTTCAAGCCCATCTCTAAATAAGCTCACAATATACCCGAGCTCTTCCCTGGGAAGTGTGGTACATGTCCTGTATCCTCTCTGCCTTGAGGCTCTACTGAAATAATATAAAACTGTGAATGTTCCATTTCCATGACCGGGATATAAGAACAGAGCTAGAAGCCCTCTAAGGCAGTGCTTCTCAAATTATATGTGAGGACTCTTTTTTCAGAGTCCAGTTTTTTGTTTTTTAATATCTCAGCAGTCATAGGTGAATACACTTGTAAAGTGAAAATGACCTATTAGTAAAATAAAAGTTTAAAGGCAATATTTCATCTCCTAGAAGGCTGCAGAGGAGTCAGGATCACCATATTAAGCTGTATGACAGTGCTGATAAGGGAGAGGCTGGAGGCAGAGAGGGTAGCCCCAGAGCCCTGTCAATGCTGGAAAGGTTGACTCTATACACCCTTTGGCCCAAAGCCTTTATTTGCTTTGTCAGTTCCCAAGGTGTCAGAAAACTAATGATATGGACAGGAGACAGGGAAATACTGAGTACAAGAGGGTGGTTCCCTGGCAGAGGCCCTACCTGCAAGCCTGGAAACCCATGGCCCTAAGTGGGAACAGGCATTCCTATTTTCATGCCCAAAAGTTGCCTTTTGGCCCGCCATGCTCCCCTATCCTGTGCCCATATAAACTTCAGACCCCATGCTACAGAACCTATGAGGAGATGAACAGAAGAGAAGAAAAATGGCAGAACAGTGTGGTAGAGAAGGCAAGAAGAAAAGGAACGTCTGAATGCTGAAAGGAGTCTGGCTGGGGATGATCAGAGAGGAGATCAGCCACTGGGTGGCCAAACTGCAGGGGAAGATCACCTTCCCACCCCATCCCCATTCCAGCTCCCCCTCCATCCCACTGAGAGCCAATGCAACCACTTAATAAAATCCCTGCATTTATCCTTCAAGTCCATGTGTGACCTGATTCTTCCTGGATTCCAGACAAGGACCTGGGTATCAAGAGGGCACTGAGCTGGTTAACACTTAAGCCATCTGTGGACAGCAAAGCTAAAAGAACGCACTGTAATACACGCCCACTTGGGCTTTGGAAATCATAGGTACCCACCCCTACATGTTACCATGGGGATGGAGCCCCAAAGCACTCACCTCAGCTCCTGCACCTGCCCGTCTCCATGCTCCCCTTCCTATAAGGGATTTAAGTGCATGGTGCTGAACACACAAGCCACACCCCTGTCACACATCCTGTAGGGGGGTCAGGGAACTCTCCTGCTTCACTAACACTCTGCCTTTGCCAAGGTTGATGACAGTGCATCATAAATACTCCTACCCTTAGGTTTCAGGAGGAAACTTATGAGGTGCCTTGTTACAAATTCCAAGAATACCCCAGCAAGAATAAATTCATTATACACATTAGTGACCCTGATGATAACCATACTTTCTTAGCTAGCGTTCCTTCTTTTTTCCTCATTGCTTTCCCAGTATTTCCTAAGTTCATTTCCCAGATAAATTATTCTCACTTGAATCATTGAGAGGGAGCAGGGACCCCTCTTGGCCTGTAGGCCCACCCAAACATAGAATTAAAGAAAAATCTTGAGTTTCTTCCAGGGACCTAGCTAGCCTGGAGAAGTATATAAGGAATTTGATAAGCAAGAAGGTGATAATAGCTCAAAATAATAGGCAAGGAAGTTAGAAACTAAAGATAACTAACGTCCCTGAATTGTTTTGCTGAAACCTGGATCCACACCAAATGGGTCCACTGGCACATAGACCTCAGATAAAGGGGTGCTAAGGACTAAACTCTGACCACTTATGTTCTTTGTTCTACATTTTTTCCTGAAGGGCCTGGAGGAAGCCACATCCAGGAGCCACAAGCTAAAGTTCTTTTCTGCCCACCCCAAATTTTTAAACAAAGCTTCTCTTTTTTAACCAACTGCAAATCAGAAGAACTTTAAATCTAAATATGACCTTAGGCCAAACACTGTGTAACCTCTATGTATTGATCTATGATTTTGCCTGTAACTTCTGCCTTCCTGAAATTTACACTTGCTCTTAAAAAACCCTCATCTTCAAGCCATTGGGGAAGTTGGGACTAAAGCCTGAACCGCCTGATTCTCCTTTCTTGGTGCCCTGCAAATAAATGCCTTCCTTTCTCCTGCTGCAAACCTTGGCCCGGTGAGCCTACGCCAGTTTAGTTTGATAACATCATAGGCTCAGGGACTGATTCTGAGGGAATAAAACCAAAGTTACCACTACTAAAGTCCAGCCTGCCAGCCAGAAAATGAAGGAGAGTAAAAGTGGGAAAAATACCTATATTTGACTGAGAATTTACTCCACAGAGCCTGCATTTTTTTTTTCTTTTTCCTTCTTCTTTTTCTTTTTAGACAGAGTTTTGCTCTTGTCACCCTGGCTGTAGTGCAATGGTGCGATCTCAGCTCACTGCAACCTCTGCCTCCTGGGTTCAAGCAATTCTCCTACCTCAGCCTCCTGAGTAGCTGGGATTACAGGCACCTGCCACCATGCCAGGCTAACTTTTGTATTTTTAGTAGAGACGGGGTTCCACCATGTTGGCCAAGTTGGTCTCAAACTCCTGACCTCAGGTGATCCACCTGCCTTGGCCTCCCAAAGTGCTGGGATTACAGGCATGAGCCGCTGCGCCAGGCTGAGCCTGCATTTTTTATTAGAAATACTTACATTACCTTGACTTGGCAAGAGTACATTTTCTACATTTGAGAATAAACGTGGTCTTGAGAAGCCACGTAAAATAGAAATCAATCTTTCCACCCGTGATATTGTAGCTGGCACAACTTCTATGTGCAATTCTATGATTATATGGCTTGTTACTGATAAACTACATTTTCTATTTAATAATTTAAGTAAGAATATCCAAAAGAGATAAATATAAAAGGAAGTGTAAAGTAATTGACAATTACTATTTTATAAAAGGTAAAAAGGATAATCTAATGGCATGTGGGCAGGAGTTTAATAAAGATAAGAAATGGGCAAAAGCTCTCTACTGTTTCTTTTTGTTCACTAATCTCCCTCCATGCAAGTGTATGCAGGGAAAGTTTCTAATAAGGAGAACAAAGTTAACTGAAGTTTACTTCTTGTGAATGCTTTCTATAAAAAAAAATTTTTATTTCATGAAGTCTCAGTATTTTACAAATCAAACTAGACCCACAAAGAAATATATAATTTATGATTATACACAAATTATAAAATAACCTAAAGATACTATAGCATTTGCAGAAAGGTAGAAAAGATGACTTCTCCAAAATAATCATTGTAAAACCCACCATTATTTTTCTGTCCACAAGGAACACTCCCATCTCTCTAAGAAACAAATTGCGTTACTGCTGGAGCTGATAAAATATCAGTGGAAACAACTCTATCAAGCTTCCTATTATAAACTATCATTCTAGGCTTTATAGCTTGGCTCTTTCAAACTAAAGTATGTTGGGCAGAGACTAAGCATACAAATTTCCAGCCAAAATACATTAAGTCTGGTTGAGCTGTCTTTTTTTGGAAGATGCAAATTGGAGCATTGTGCTCTGCATGCAGTTAGTGCTTGGCATGGGGCTGCAAGAATGCCTCTCATAGTGTGACAAAATAAAATAAAATAAAATAAAATAAAAAATGAAAAACTTTTCAGTGGGAAATTTTAAAACAGATTGGTTATTATTTCAAAATGTACAAATTTTAAGTAGTTACATTTAAGGTGAATTTTAGTTCATGAAAATAATATTTTAACATCACATAATATAATCTACATAATACTTTTCATCCAAGTTCATGGGAAATGGTCCATTTGATGGTTTTATTGATAACTAAACCATTTGAAGGAATCATTGACTCATAGTAGCATCTATGATTACAGCCTTCTGTGGTGACTGAGGGAAAATGGCTTAGATTAGCAGATATTTTATTCAAATAGCTGTGCTTATGAGTTTTGCTTCAGAGATGCAGGAATAGTATCAAAAATTTAACCCAAAATAGTTCTGGACATATCAGAAAGTGTAAGTTTTGGCTTCTGGGTATTCTGTATCTATAAATCCCTTTTTTTAAGTTCATGGAGTTTGGTCTCTTCTTCTGTGCTTCTTTTGCACTGAAACATTAGCATAGTAATGGGATATTATAGCAAAATGTTATTGTTCTGAGGCAGTAGTCAGTTCACCCAAGTTATTCCACTCAGTTGATGACCTAGTCCCTTCAAAATTACTTTGAAACTTGCTGGTTCTTCCTTCATTCAAGAATATTTATTGAGTTTCTATGATATGCCAGGCACTGTGAAGATAAGAGAAAGATAAACAAGGTTCCTGTCTTTGTGGAGTTTACACAAAGAGTTTGCGATGTTATTAGTAACACTGCTATTAGGTTGTCAGAGGGCTTCAGGAAACTGAAGAGCAATACTAGAAAATATAAATTGGTATACTCAAGTGGAAAAAATGTTTTACTCATTCTTGCTTCATTTAAAATTTTTATATTAACACAATAATAATATTAATTTTTAAAAATAAACACAACCTTCTTTTACACAATCTATACCTTTTCATGACTGTAGAAAACTTTTTTTAAAAAACATTGACTATCAATTCTTTGTTTTTTTGATAATAGCTCGTGAGTATAATGTTTCCTTAAATAGAGAACTAACTGAACTTTCTCCTTCCTTTAACTCTGTATTTTGGAACTTCATGATAAATCTTTTTCTCCACTAGTTAATAATGATATTGACTGCAAAAATCAATAAACATGAAAAGTAATGACCTCTAGTAATTTACTTTTATTAAATCTGCAGAGAGTTTTGATATCATTTACTCTGCAACTCAGTCGCTGATTTTATTTTATTTTACTTTTTCTAACTGGTACATTGCTTTGTTCTCAGGTGGAAAAGGAAGAGGAAAGCACGGCAAAATTCAACTAATGCATCATTTTGACACATCTGTTGTTTGGTCAGTGGTGTGCAGTCTCCCATTTCTGATATAATAAATGTTTACGGTATTTCTATTTTAATGAATGCCCTAGGCTCCAGAACCTGTTTGTATACTTCCGTAGCATATATCTTTAGTGAGGAGATGGTGTTGTCTGTTTCAACTAATAGAAAGTAAAACTGAATGGAAAAATTAGGTTTGAGAGCCGCTGCCTCAATGCAACCTTCCCAGGGAATCAATACAGAGCTGCGGGGAGCGTCCGGAGGCCAAAGTGGCAGCAATTGGGTCAATTAAAGGAAGTGAGCGCAAGTTTCAAAGGAAAACAGACGTTCATTTTCAGCAGGTTAGTTTGTTTCAATAACCAATCATTTTCTCCTTTATTTCATAAGAATGAATGGGAGTTTTCTCAAAGAAAATCTCAGAATATAGAACCTCATCCCCTTGACGTCTCAATGTCTCTGAAAAAATGGCATGATTAGATGTCATGTTTGACAAAGTAAATACATAACACAAAGTAGATGGTCGGGGTTGCAATAAAAGCAAAAATAGACAAAGGAAATTACATCAAACCGAAAAGCTTCTGCACTGCAAAGAAAATAATTAACAGAGTAAAGAGACAATCTAAAGATTGGGAGAAAATATTTTAGCCATACATTTGATAAGGGGTAATCATACAAGATATATAAGAAACTCACATAACTCAACAGCAAAGAAACAAGAAACACAATTTTAATATGACAAGGGGCCTGAATAGACATTCCTCAGAAGAAGATATCCAAATGGCCAGCAGATCTATTTTTAAAATGCTCAACATGGTTGATCATTTGAAAAATGTAAATTAAAACCATGAAGAGAGATCATCTCACACCTGTCAGACTGGGTTTTATAAAAAAGACAAAAGATAACAAGGGTCAGTGAAATGCTGGGAAAAGGGAACACTTGTATACAACTAGTGAAAATGTAAACTAGTACAGATCTCACGGGAAACTATATGGAATTTCCTCAGAAATACCTAATGTTAATGACGAGTTGATGGGTGCAGCAAACCAACATGAC